>NC_000001.11:186934587-187559587 GCF_000001405.40 Homo sapiens | reverse complement strand
GAGCTGTTAACTACAATAACCAGTTTAGAGAGGAACATAAATGACTTGATGGAGCTGAAAAACACAGCAAGAGAACTTCGTGAAGCATACATCAGTATCAATAGCCACACTGACCAAGCAGAAGAAAGGATATCGGAGTTTGAAGACCACGTTGCTGAAATAAGGCATGCAGACAAGATTAGAGAAAAAAGAATGAGAGAAAAAAGAATGAAAAGGAATAAACAACGCCTCCAAGAAATATGAGACTATGTAAAGAGACTGAGACTATGTAAAGAGACTGAACCTATGACAGATTGGAGTAACTGAAGGTGAGGGGGAGAATGGAAAAAGCTGGAAATCACACTTCAGGTTATTATCCAGGAGAACTTCCCCAACCTGGCAAGACAGGCCAACATTCAAATTCAAGAAACACAGAGAACATCACTAAGATACTCCATGAGAAGATAAACCCCAAGAAGCATAATTATTGGATTCTCCAAGGTTGAAATGAAGGAAAAAAATGTTAAGGGCAACCAGAGAGAAAGGCCAGGTCACCTATAAAGGGAAGCCCATCAGATTAACAGAAGACCTATCAGCAGAAACCCTACAAGCCAGAAGAGAGTGAGGGCCAATATTCAACATTCTTAAAGAAAAGAATTTTCAACCCAGAATTTCATATCCAGCCAAACTAAGTTTTATGAGTGAAGGAGAAATACTATTCTTTCCAGACAAGCAAATGCTGAGGAATTTTGTCACCACCAAGCCTGCCTTACAAGGGCTCCTGAAGGAAGCACTAAATATGGAAAGCAAAAACCAGTACCAGCCACAGCAAAAACACACCAAAATATAAACACCAATGACACTAGGAAGAAACTGCATCAACTAGTGTGCCAAATAACCAGATAGCATCATGATGGCAGGATCAAATTCACACATAACAATATTAAATTTAAATGTAAATGGACTAAATGCCCCAATTAAAAGACACAGACTGGTAAATTAGATAGAGTCAAGACCCATCGGTTTGCTGTATTTAGGAGACCCATCTTATACGCAAAGACATACAGGCTCAAATCAAAGGGATGGAGGAAAATAAGAAGGGCATTACATAGTGGTAAAGGGATCAATTCAACAAGAAGAGGAAACTATCCTAAATATATATGTACCCAATACAGGAGCACCCAGATTCATAGAACAAGTTCTTGGAGACCTACAAAGAGACTTAGACTCCCACACAATAATAGTGGGAGACTTTAACACCCTACTGTCAATATTAGACAGATCAATGAGACAGAAAATTAACAAGGATATTCAGGACTTGAACTCAGCTCTGGATCAAGTGGACCTAATAGACATCTGCAGAACTATCTACCCCAAATCAACTGAAATTCATTCTTCTCAGTACTACATGGCACTTATTCTAAAATTGACCGCATAATTGGAAGTAAAACACTCCTCAGCAAATGCAAAATAACTAAAATCGTAACAAACAGTCTCTCATAACACAGTACAATCAAATTAGAACTCAGGATTAAAAAACTCACTAAAAACCACACAATTACATGGAAATTGAACAACCTGCTCCTGAATGACTCCTAAGTAAATAACGAAAGTAAGGCAGAAATCAAGAAGTTCATTGAAACCAGTGAAAACAAAGAGACAAAGTATCAGAATCTGTGGGGGCACAGATAAAGCAATGTTAAGAGGAAAATTTATAGCACTAAATGCCAACATCAGAAAGGTAGAAAGTTCTCAAATTGACACCCTAACATCACAATTAAAAGAGCTAGAGAAGCAAGAGCAAATAAATCCAAAAGCTAGCAGAAGACAAGAAATAAACAAGATCAGAGTAGAATCAAAGGAGATAGAGACATTTAAAAAACCCCTTAAAAATCAATGAATCCAGGAGGTGTTTTTTTGAAAAGATTAACAAAATACATAGACTGCTAGCTAGACTAACAAAGAAGAAAAGAGAGAAGAATCAAATAGACACAATAAAGAATGATAAAGGGGATATCACCACTGATCCCACAGAAATATAAACTACCATCAAAGAATACTATAAACACCTTTACTCAAATAAACTAGAAAATCTGGAAGAAATGGATACATTCCTGGACACATACACCCTACCAAGACTGAACCAGGAAGAAGTCGAATCCCAGAATAGACCAATAACAAGTTGTGAAATTGAGGCTGTAATTAATAGTCTCTCAACCAAAAAAAAAAAAAAAAAAAAAAAGCCCAGGATTAGACAGATTCACAGCTGAATTCTACCAGAGACACAAAGAGGAGCTGGTACCATTACTTCTAAAACTATTCCAAATAATTGAAAAAAGGGACTCCTCCCTAACTCATTTTATGAGGCCAGCATCACCCTGATACCAAAACCTGGCAGAGACACAACAAAAACAGAAAACTTCAGGCTAATATCCCTGATAGAAATTGATGCAAAAATCCTCAACAAAATCCTGGCAAACTGAATCCAGCAGCACATAAAAAAACTTTACCCAACATGATCATGTCAGTTTCATCCCTGGGATGCAAGGCTGGTTCAACATATGCAAATCAATAAACATAATCCATCACATAATCAGAACTAAAGACAAAAATCACATGATCATCTCAGTAGATGCAGAAAAGGCCTTTGATGAAATTCAACATCCCTTCATGTTAAAAACTCTCAATAAACTAGGTACTTAGAGAACATATCTCAAAACAATAAGAGCTATTTATGACAAATCCACAGCCAATATCATATTGATTGGCAAAAGCTGGAAGCATTCCCTTTGAAAACTGGTACAAGACAAGGATGCCCTCTCTCACCACTCCTATTCAACATAATATTGGAAGTTCTGGCCAATGCAATCAGGCAAAAGAAAGAAATAAAGGTTATTCAAATAGGAAGAGAGGAAGTCAAATTTTCTCTGCAGATGATGTAATTCTATATTTAGAACACCCCATCATCTCAGCCAAAAAGCTCCTTAAGCTGATAAGTAACTTCGGCAAAGTCTCAGGATATAAAATCACTGTGCAAAAATCACAAGCATTCCTACACACCAACAATAAACAAGCAGAGAGCCAAAGCATGAATGAACAAACATTCACAAGTGCTACGAAGAGAATAAAATACCTAGGAATACAACTTACAAGGGATGTAAAAGACCTCTTCAAGAACTACAAACCACTGCTCAAGGAAATAATACAGGACACAAACAAATGGGAAAACATTCCATGCTCACGGATAGGAATAATCAATATTGTGAAAAGAAACTATCATCAGAGTGAAGAGGCAACCCACAGCATGGGGGAAAATTTTTGCAATCTACCCATCTGACAAAGGTCTAACGTCCAGAATCTAGCAGGAACTTAAAGAAATTTACAAGAAAAAAAAAACCATCAAAAAGTGGGCAAAGGATATGAACAGACACTTCTCAAAAGAAGACATTTATGCAGCCAACAAATGTATGAAAAAAAGCTCAACACCACTGATAATTACAGAAATACAAATCAAAACCACAATGAGATACCATCTTATGCCAGTCAGAAGGGCGATTATTAAAAAGTCAAGAAATAATAGATTTTCGAGGGGCTGTGGAGAAATAGGAACACTTTTACACTGTTGGTGGGAATGTAAATTTGTTCAATCATTGTAGAGGACAGTGTGGCGATTCCTCAAGGATCTAGAACCAGATAACCATATGATCCCACAATCCCATTACTGGGTATATATCAAAAGGAATAGAAATCATTCTACTATAAGGACACATGCACACGTATGTTTATTGCAACACTATTCACAATAGCAAGGACATGGAACCAACCCAAATGCCCATCAATGATAGACTGGATAAAGAAAATGTGGTACATATATACCATGGAATACTATGCAGCCATAAAAAGAAATGAGATCATGTCCTTTGCAGGGACATGGATGGAGCTGAAAGCCATAATTCTCAGCAAACTAACACAGGAACAGAAAACCAAACACCACATGTTCTCAGTTATAAGTTGGAGCTGAAAAATGAGAACACATAGAGGGGAACGACACACACTGGGGCCTGTGGGGGTGCATTGGGGGAGGGAGAGTGTCATGAAGAGTAGCTAATGGATGCTGGGCTTAATACCTAGGTGATGGGATGATCTGTGTAGCAAACCACATGGGCACACGTTTACCTATGTAACAAACCTGCACATCCTGCATATGCACCCCTGAACTTAAAATAAAAGTTGACGGAATAAACAAATAAATAAATAAAGTAAAATATGGTAATGACAAAGGGAAAAGAGTTGCTTTTGGTCTCTTTAAATAAAAAAGGAATGCACTTAAAAAAATAAAAATAAAAAATAAACTATTTCCTCTGGCTCAAAGACTAAAGAATGTTAGGCTGCCTATCTCAGGAATTCTAGTGTTGAGGTGATGAGAGACAACCCTTATGATTTTCTCATCCCGTTTCTAACGTGAGGAATATTCAGCGCCTCTGTTTCTTCCTCCCTACTCCAAGCCAAGCTGGTCTCTCCTAAACATCACTGTTCTAGCTTCCTAACCTCACTCTGTTTTCTCTCTTAATCTTCAGTCAATACAAAAGTTCAAGTCATCTCTTCAAAATATATATCAGCATATCATACTGTTTTCTATTTCAGTGCTTTTTGATAGTTTCTCCTAATAATACAAATAAAATCTAGTGTCCTCAGTGTTCTTTTATACTGTGGTCCCCGGCAACCTTCCTAAATATGTTTCCTATTTCTCTATGGTCCCTTCTGCTGAAGCCATACTAGCATTCTTCTCAAACAGCCCAGTCATGTTCCTATCACAGGGCCTTTGCATCCACCATTGCCTCAGCCTAGAATGCTCACCCCACAAATGTTTGCCTCACTCACCCTTTCACTTTATTTAGTTCTCTGCTTAAATGTCACCTCCTCAAGGAAGTCTACTCCAACTACCTTAACTATACTAACCCTCCCATCTATTCCCTTATATTTCAGATATTTTAGTTTTATCTTATATTTTAGACATTTTATCTAATACCTAATAATATCTTATAATTATTATATAAAAGAATATTACTTATCCATTGGTTTATTTACCTATTGTTTAATTATCTCATGAAAATTTAAATCCCATGAGGACATGAAGTTTAATTTTTCGTGTTATACATATATTTGTTCACTGTAGTATTTTCAGCATGTAACCTTGCAGATAATTCAGCCTTAAAAAATTGTTTGTGGAATAAATGTCCTAGCCACTTAGACAATAATACCAAGAGAAAATTCCTCAAACAACAGCTCCCATTTTTCCCCCATTAGAGGAATTTGCTGTTTAGGTCTCATGTCTTGTAAGTTGTTTTGGTTAACGAGAAAACGGTAGTAATAAAGACCCATCAATGTCAAAGCAGGTGGATTTTCCAGGACTTAGTACTAATTTTAAGGGAAAAAAGATCAAATAAGTTGTAGAGAGAAAGAAGAAGATAAGTGTTGACAAAGATTTTCGTTGTTTTGAGAAAGTAAGATCAGAGATTGAGGGAAGCAACTGGGCCACGTGAGCCACTTGCAGTCAGATTGCTAATTACAGGTTTAATAGTTACAATTTGCTTTGTCAGGCTGTGCAGGGTGGCTCATGCTTGAAATCCCAACATTTTGGGAGGCTGAGGTGGGTGGATCACTTCAGCCCAGGAGTTTGAGGTATTAGTCAGGTATGGTGGTGCACACCTGTAGTTTCAGCTACTTGGGAGGCTGAGGAACAAGAATCGCTTGAACCCAGGAGGAGGGGGTGCAATTAGCCGAGATTGCACCACTGCACTTCAGTCTGGGCAACAGAGTTAGACTCTGTCTCAAAAACAAAAACAAAACAAAACAAAACAAACAAACCCCACAACATTCTGCTTTGTCTTGTGGCCTCCCCCACAAGGTCATGATAGACCCCAGCTACCCATTCAAAATTTGGATCAGATGTCGAAGCTGATAACACCTCACACACAACACGAGGGTATAAAGCTTTATTACTCACCTACCAAGGCTTTCTGGAGAGGGTGAGGTTGCTCCCAAAGATTTGCTAAAATGACTTCAAAGAACCAGGGATACTTGGCTTCAGATTTTTTTGGTGGTTAGAAACTGGGGCCAGGCGTGGTGGCTAACGCCTGTAATCCCAGCACTTTGGGAGGCCAAGGCAGGTGGATCAGGAGGTCAGGAGATCGAGACCATCCTGGCTAATATGGTGAAACCCCGTCTCTACTAAAAATACAAAAAATTAGCCAGGCAAGGTGGCGGGCGCCTGTAGTCCCAGCTACTCAGGAGGCTGAGACAGGAGAATGGCATGAACCCGGGGCGGGTGGAGCCTGCAGTGAGCTGAGATTGCGCCACTGCACTCCAGCCTGGGCAACAGCGAGACTTCATCTCAAAAAAAAAAAAAAAAAAAAGAAACTGGGACTGGGCTGATAGTACCTTAGGTGGGTAGTAACCAGTGTGGTTTAAACCACTCACCATTGACAAAGAAGAGAGCATCTAGGCTTTAATTAAGCTTGTGAGGCACAATGAGATGAGAGATTGGTAAGTCTTAAGGGCTGCCAACAGCCAAACATCAAAAAACGATGTCAGGTTCTTTATTAAACTTTGCCACCTTTATCTGAAATTTAGCTTTTTATGTTGTGAGATTTTTTAATCCTCTTTTTGTTTTTCAAATGAACTTTTCCAATACAATTTAATAACCACTTCTTAATTATTTAAAATAATGAACTTAAGTCACAAATATGAGTATCTTCCTGGATTTTTTATTTTGGTCTTTTCATTATTATGCTTTCCAGAATCACAGTATTTTAAATATTACAATACTTTAAATAGCGTATTATACTGTTTTATATATTTCATGGATAGTGTATTTTTTCTTTTCTTTTTTAAATGTTTTGGCTATTCTTGTGCTTTTTATTATTAAAAACTTTAGAATCAGCTCCTGCATTCCTCAGATTTAAAAAGCTATTAAATTTTTAATTGAGATATCATTGGATTATATGTTAATTTATGAATATTTGATGTCTTTTTGCTATTTAATGTTTATCTTCTGATATGGTTTGACTGCGTCTCCACCTAAATCTCATCTTGAATTCCCACGTGTTGTGGGAGGGACCCGGTGGGAGGTAATGGAATCACGAGGGCAGGTCTTTCCCGTGCTGTTCTCATGATAGTCTGTCTCAGGAGATCTGATGGTTATTTTAAGGGGGAGTTTTCCTGCACAAGCTCTCTTTTTTTTTCCTACTGCCATCCATGTTAAGACCTGACTTGCTACTTCTTGACTTCTGCCATGATTGTGAAGCCTCCCCACCCATGTGGAACTGTAAGTCCAATAAACCTCTTTCTCTTGTAAATTGCCCAGTCTTGGGTATGTCTTTATCAGCAGTGTGAAAATGTACTAATACACCTTCAAAACACAGTATGCCGCTCCCCACTTACTCAGGTCTCTTTTTGCATCTTTAAATGGGAAAGCATTGTCTTGGTAGAGGGCTTGTTCAATTCTTACTAACAGTTATTTCCTTATATGTTCTAATAGGCTATTGGCAGTATATCAAGAAACCAACACTTGATTTGAGTTGTTTTTCTATTTGGTCTAATTATCAAACCCCTATTAGTTTGTAAGTTATGTGACTTATTTTGGAATTTTAAGGTAGGCAATATACATATAGTGCATGTTTTGAGTCTTCTCTTCTAAAAATAGATCTCATTTTTCTCTTTCACATAGCATTGGCTAGGGTCTCAAGTACAAAGTTGAATAGTCAGGTGCTATAGTCTGAATGCTTCCCCAAATTCAGATATTGAAACTTAATTCCACTGTAGTGGTATTAAGAGATGAGGCCTCTGGGAAGTGATTAATTCATGAAAACTCTACCCTTGTAAATGGATTAGTGCTTATAAAAGAGCTGGAGGAAACTAGCTTTGGCCCTTTTTTCCTTCTATTCCTTCTGCCATGAAAGACACAGTGTTCATCCCTCCAGAGGATACCACAACAAGGCACCATCTTGGAAGCAGGGAGACTGGGCCTTCACAGACACTGAACAGGCCAGTGCCTTGATCTTACACTTCCCAGCCTCCAGAACTGAAAGAAATGCATTTATATTCTTGATAAATTACCCAGTCTATGGTATTTTGTCATAGCAGCACAGAGTAATGAGAGGTGACAACGTGCTATCAGCCCTCGCTCGCTCTCGGCACCTCTGCAGCCTCGGGGGCAGCTCTGGCTACGCTGGAGGAGTCCTTCAGCCTGCCGCAGCACTGTGGAGGCCCTTCTCTGGGGCTGGCCGAGGCCGGAGCTGGCTCCCTCTGCTGGCGGGGAGAAGTGGAGGGAGAGGCGCCTGTGGCAGCTGGGGCTGCGTAACCTGCTCGCGCGGTGGGGGTTCTGGGTGGGTGCAGGCTTGGTGGGCCTAGGTGTGGCCAGCCGGCGCCTGCTGGGCTTGATGGGGGACGAGCTCCCTCTGGGCTGCCGGTGCCGGAAAGTCCTGCAGGGAGTACCATTGAGAAGTGAACCCCACTGGGCTTCTGGGTTGGGTGGGGACCTGGAGACTTTTCTCACTAGCTAAAGGGTTGTAAACGTACCAATCAATGTTCTGTGTCTAGCTAATCTGATGGGGACTTGGAGAACTTTTGTGTCTAGCTACAGGATTGTAAATGCACCAATCAGCACTCTGTGTCTAGCTAAAGGTTTGTAAATGCACCAATCAGCACTCTGTCAAAACGGATCAATCAGCTCTCTGAAAAACGGCCCAATCAGCTCTCTGTAAAGTGGACCAGTCAGCTCTCTGTGAAATGGACCAATCAGCAGGATGTGGGTAGGGCCGGATAAAGGGATAAAAACAGGCCACCTGAGCCAGCTGCTGCAACCTGTTTGGGTCTGCCTTACTTTGGGGGGGCTTTGTTCTTTTGCTCTTGGCAATAAATCTTGCTGTTCCTTGGTCTTTGGGTGTGTGCCATTACTGGGGAGGTCTGCAGCTTCACTCCTGAGGCCTTTACAACTGAGGTGGGTGAGACAAGGAACCCACCACAAACCCAGCGGGAGGGAGGAACAACTCCAGATGCACCTCCTTAAGGGCTGTAATGCTCACCGCAAAGGTCTGCAGCTTCACTCCTGAAGCTAGCGAGACCACGAATCCGCCAGAAGGAAGGAAACTCTGAACACGTCTGAACATCAGAAGGAACAAATTACGGACACACCATCTTTAAGAACTGTAACACTCACCGCAAGGGTCCGTGGCTTCATTCTTGAAGTCAGCCAGCGAGACCAAGAACCCACCAATTCCGGACACACTAAGACATCAGGTGAGAGTGGGCAGGCTTGTTTACTACTGCTGACGCTAGCAGAGATGTTCCTCATATGACAATGGTAGATATAACGTCATTTTTGTTTTCTAGTAGACAATCTCAACTTGTTAAAGGAATGTTATTTTTTATTTGTAGATTAAGAATTTTATGCAACATAAAGGTTTAATTTTGCCAACTGTTTTTATTGTATTTTTGTATCTTTTGAAATGATATAACAGCATATTTTTCTTTACTCTATTAATATAGATAATTAAGTTAATTTTAATGCTGTGTTCTCAAGTAATCCGTACCTGGTCAAGTTCAATTACTCATTTAATACTAGTGGATTCTATTTAGGCATTTTGCTTATGTTTAACAAGTCGGTTTATTGTTTAGAGATGGAGAGTACTTGTGTCAGGGTTCCATCAAGGTACAGAAAATATACCAGTTATTTGATTACAGGAAATTTAACGTACAGAATGATTAATAGAACATGGGTTACTAATAATGAAGGTTGGGGTAAAAGAGGACTGTAAGCGGTCCAGAAATAGCAAGTGCAACAAAGCAGCTACTATTTTTAGGCCAGGGAAGAGAGTCCGATAAAAGAACTAAAGAGTAGGAGAGCTGCCTCCCCTGAAACAGATACTCTCCAGTGGTAAGACTCAGATTTCTTCATCAAGAAAATGGCTACCACAGTAAAATGCAACCTGCCAAAGATGAGAAAACTCACCACCAGTCATAGACCAGAGCTAATTTCTGTAAGTGGGATACATTACCTGGACAATGTGGCTGGTTAGAGGTAATTGGAAAGACCGGCTGGTGAGGAGAGCATGGCCCAAGGGCACCGCTAGTGCTCAGCAGCACAGGCAACTGGGCTCTCAAATTGTATAATGATAACAAAAGAAAGCCAGAAAGCAAATGTTTTCCTGATGATGTTGCCTTGCATCAGCCGACAAAGGAGGAAAGTTTAGTGTCCAGACCCAGTATCACAAAACAGGGTAAAGAAGGGTGGATATGGGGCTGTGAAAAGACAATTTGGTAACTGGCTAAGACTGCGTGTTTGTTTTTTGTTTTTTTGTTTTGCTTTGTTTGAGACGGAGTCTCGCTCTGTCACCCAGGCTGGAGAGCAGTGGTGCGATCTCAGCTCACTGCAAGCTCTACCTCCCGGGTTCACACCATTATCCTGCCTTAGCCTCCCGAGTAGCTGGGACTACAGGCGCCTGCCACCACGCCTGGCTAATTTTTTGTATTTTTAGTAGAGACGGGGTTTCACCATGTTAGCCAGGATGGTCTCGGTCTCCTGAGCTCATGATCCGCCTGCCTCGGCCTCCCAAAGTACTGGGATTACAGGCGTGAGCCATCCCGCCCGGCCTTGTTTTTTTTTTTTTTTTAAAAAAACTATTGGTATATTTGTTTGTTTAGATAGCAAGTAAATGCTAGCTATATAACAGGAGTGAGAACGATTTTTAACTTCTGTTAGGATTTAAATTATGCATAGCACTTATTTATTAAAGATTAGTATCAACAACACAAAACTCTTCTGCTGGCTCTGGACTCTAACTGGATTTAATCACTGGGTCTGTTACTAAATGCTTGAGAGAACTTAAGCTTTTAATCTCTGTGTCTCATTTTAGTCTTCTTTAAAAGTGAGAATAACATGAGTAAACTCATTGCTGTGGATGGCTTTCCTCATGAGGCAGACTCTGGGATGAAAAATAACATGCCAGAAGTATTAGGACTACTGATGGGATCAGAGCAGGTGAAGGCAAAGAAAGGGAGGGGGGTTGGCAGAGGGTGAAGTTTTACTTCAATGCCAGAAAAGAGTGTGACTTTGGCTAAGTTGCTCTCCCTATGGTTAAATGGTTCAGTGTATATACCTTAAAAATAAAATTAGGCAGTTACTTACATGTGGAAGAAGCTGAATTTGTCCATTGAACCTAAGAGGCTTAAGACAAATCAATAGATGCTAAATACATATACACACATGCATACACACACACACATGCACACACATACACATACATGTGTGAGAAACAGGAGTGGGAAAAGTAAGTATAAACTTTACAGTTTTTAGTCAAGAAGTCAAATTTTTTGTGAATCATAATATTAAAACATAAAATTGCATGTGTTAATACTGCTGTGTATATATTTGAGTGGTGTTTTAGATCTGTGCCTCACAAAACTCTGTATGATGGTTATCTTAATCTTCAGATAAGGAAATTAAGAAATAGAGAGGAAAAGTGATTTTTTTTAAGATTACAAGGCTAGAGAGAAGTAGATTCAGGACAGGAAACCAGGTATTCAGTTTTTCATGAGTCTTTATCCACTGACGCTTCTGTTTGCCAAAAGTGTCAGATGCATATGTATGAATTAAAAAATGCATTTTACTTCAGAGTTCAATATAAGTAATTTTGAAATACATGTAATAGTTATATGTGATTCTCATTTATTCCACAATTATAAGAAATGGGAATACCTAATGAACTGATTCATGTTTTTTTCAAGCTAATGTGAAAATATAAGTATTAGAATGAATCTCTCACAAGAAGTTTCTTTTTTCTGAGACAGGGTCTCACTCTGTCACTCAGGCTGGAATGCAGTGGTGTGATCATAGCTCACTCAGCCTCAAACTCCTGGGCTCAAGCAATTCTCCCACTTCAGCCTCCAAAGTAGCTGGGACCACAGGTATGTGCCACCATGCCAGGCTGATTTGAAAACAAAAAAATTTAGAGATGGGGTCTTGCTGTGTTGCCCAGGCTGATAGCAAATTCCTGGCCTCAAGCAGCCTCCCAAAGTGCTGGGCTTGCAAGTGTGCACCAACACACCCAGCCTGGAGGCTTCTTAAAGAAAGATTATTCATTTTTCCAGTAGTCCAGAATGACAATTGCATTGTAATTTTAGGTAATCTGTGTCAAGTTAATTTAGGTTATTTAAAATTTCTCTGAGAAGTAATTTCTGCTAGAAGCTTTTAAAGTAGATTGCAAAGAACGCTATTCCTCAAAATAGAGGAACAGTTTACATTATCTGTTCATTTTCTTTCTTACTGGCATGAATATTTGAAATCAATTTGTAACAAGCAACATGTCTTGAGTTTTCTTTATTTGCTACTTCCTATCTAGACACTTCATAGCCCCATGCAAAGAAAACATACACTCAGTTAAACCACATATAGCATGCATCAATAAATCCATGCTGAAATTATCTTAGAGATGAGAACTTATGATATCTTCACAGAAACTATGAAATAAATTATTGCTTTAATCTTAGGTTTGAAACACAGGGACTGACTGCCAGACCTTTTTAGAATGTTGAAAACCTACAAGTATTGTTCCAAAATGTTGCTTTGTTTAGCTATGTAATAAATAGATTAGCCAGGAGTAGACACGTAAGTACAGTATGGGCACTGTATATACATTAGCAAGAAAATGTTTTTCCGTACATTTTCACCCTGCAGTATTATGGAATAATTACCGTTATTCGTTCTTAACATAAAGGTAGAATCCAGAAAGTTTCTTCCTATTTCTAGCACTGATTTAATTTGCTGATTTAATTTGGAGGGCATAAGGACAATGAATGCATGGTGAAAAATGTTTATGAGTGTGTAGGAATGTGTGTGTGTGTGTGTGTAGAAAAGGAAAGTTGTCCTGGGGAAAAGTACTGGATTAAAAATTTCTTGATTGTTGCAGGAGGGCACTGTATTGCCAGGTCCCTGGATGTGGTGTGAAGACTGTTCTCTACAAAACTCTAGAAGGCACGATTTTCATCAGATTCACAGCCAGCGTGGCCATACGCAGTAAGCCTGTATTAGGTAGCCATGTTTATTGCCCCAAATACTACCGAGCCATAGGCAATAACCTGGCTTTCTTTTCTGTAAAAATTATGTTAGTAAAACTTGACTACCTTATTTAGAAGTTTGTGTTAAATCAAGTTTAGCCTGAAGTTGCTTGCTTACGTATTTTAAGTTCAGCCTAAAGGTCTCTCTATACGTGTGAACTATAACCTAAATGGAGATATAAACAGACTGTAACCTATTCTCGTGCCAGTCACCGAGTTTTGGCCAGTCAAAGGGGGACAACTGTTCAAACCGTGTTCAAATAAGGCAAACATATAAACAATCTGGCTGTTTTTCTACATCATGTCTTTTGTTGTTGTTGTTGTTTTGAGACAAGATCTCGCTCTGTCACCCAGGCTGGAGAGCAGTGGTGCAATCTCAGCTCACTGCAACCTCCACCTCAGCCTCCAGAGTAGGTGAGATTACAGGCAAGCACCACCACGTCTGGTTAATTCTTGTATTTTTAGTAGAGACAGGGGTTTCACCATGTTGGCCAGGCTGGTCTGGAACTCCTGACCTCAAGTGATCCACCCGCCTTGGCCGCCCAGAGTGCCGGGATTACAGGTGTGAGCCACCACACCTCCCCATGTCCATTTTCTGTAGGCCACTTTCCTTTTTCTGTTTATAAATCTTCCACCACGTGGCTGTGCTGGAGTCTCTGAGCCTACTCTGATGCAGGAGGTTGCACAATTCATGAATTTTTCTTTGCTTGATTAAACTCTCTAAAATTAATTTGCCTGAAGTTTTTCTTTAAACAGTATAAAGATGGCATTAAATTTAAAATAGGCCAAAATGTTTTGAAACAAACCTTAAGTGAATGTCAACCTTTCACTGAGATCAACACCACAAAGGTGAGGTAAGACTTTCAGCATTAAGAAATGAACCAAGAAAAGCTGGCAATAAAAACAATAAACCACTGTCAAAAACAAAACAGTAGAGCACCTAAAAAAGGGGGGAGGGGAAGAGAAAAGAAAAGATAAATAGATAATTATATGCATGGCAAATATTATATTAAAAGTTAATGGGTGCAGCACACCAACATGGCACATGTATACATATGTAACAAACCTGCACGTTGTGCACATGTACCCTAGAACTTAAAAGTATAATAAAAATATATATATATATATAAAGCATTTATTAGTGCATATCCTTTGTGAGTAAAGATTAAAATCTGGTCTACACTAATGCAGGCTAATCTCAGAATGACTTCACAGCAGGAAGGAAACCTAAGTAAGACAGAAAAGATATACTTAAATATGAAGGTTAAATGTCCTAAAGAAAAGAAACACAATTTTATGAGGTCATAGAGTATAGGAATCTGTCTTAATCTGAGTGTCTAGAAAGTTCTGGACAGCCATTGAGCTGAGATTTGTCTGGTGAGTAGGGATCAACTGGGCAAAGAGGGTTGATGACATTGGAGGTCATTTCAGAGAGAGGTAATCCACATTCAGAGCTGTGATGGGAAGAAACATGGCCTGTCTGAGGAAGTGGAGAGAGACCCATGTGACGGATGCTCAGAGAACCAGTTATTGAAAGAAGCCCGAAGAATGGGCAGAATTACATGTGAACAAGTGGTTCTTATGAAATTGTTTGGTCTGTAAATTAAAAGCAATAGGGTAATCAGAGAGAGTTTTAAGTTGGGTAAGGTTTGACAGTGGTTTGGGGATGGGGTGTATTGCAAATGGTAAGTTCCTCATTTTGAAAATATGACTATGAATACAGTACAGAGAGCTGCTTTGGCAAGGAAGGTATTTGGAGAAGGCAAAGGTGGTTGCTCCCTTGATTGCAATTTGTACAGGGATTACTAATTCTACATTAGTACTGTTAGAATTCAAGAGATGTTAAGATGGTAATAAAAGATTTGGCACTGGATCTCAATACAAGAGTTGATAGGAAGACAAGATTTCTGGCTTGTGCATCCAGAAGTTTGGTGATGCCATTTCCTAGGACATGAAACAAAGGAAAATGACCAGGTTTGAGATAGGAAAGGATGAGATGGATATTAGGAGAACAGTTTGGGACCTGTTGAAAGTAAGGATCTTTATAAGGTATCTAAATGGAAATGTCTATATGAGTCTGAACTCAACAAAAAAGATTTTGAAAACTACATAAATTTGCTAGTTATTGGTATGCAGAGGGTAGTGAATCACTGGTTTGAATGCAATGACCTATAGAGAGGGAGAGCAGAAAGGAGAAATTAGTCTGATACTAAGCCCCACAGAATCTTAGCTTTTAATGGCTAATTAATGGGTGGGGAAGGGTGAACCAATGGTGCCTGAGGCGGGGCCAGACAGCTTGAAAAGTAGAAGCCAAATGAAGTCAGAGTTTCAATAGGGAGGATGCGGTGAATAGTGTCACACAGTGCTCTGGACCCCTTTATGATGAGGATTGAGACATATTCCTTGGCTTCTCACCCAATTCAAAACATTTTCTCCGACTGGTGGAGGAAGATTGTTATCAGTTAAAATACAGCATGCCACTTGGAACTGGACAATATAGAGTTAAAGAGATATATGGATTATTGGTTTCCTTAGAAAAATGAGAAGGTATAATATTGTGTCTGAAGTTTTAACCAGTTTCAGGAGTTCACTTAAGAAAACTTGGGCTCCTGAATGACTACTCGGTACATAACGAAGTGAAGGCAGAAATAAAGATGTTCTTTGAAACCAACGAGAACAAAGACACAACATACCAGAATCTCTGGGACACATTCAAAGCAGTGTGTAGAGGGAAATTTATAGCACTAAAGGCCCACAAGAGAAAGCAGGAAAGATCCAAAATTGACCCCTAACATCACAATTAAAAGAACTAGAAAAGCAAGAGCAAACACATTCAAAAGCTAGCAGAAGGCAAGAAATAACTAAAATCAGAGCAGAACTGAAGGAAATAGAGACACAAAAAACCCTTCAAAAAATTAATGAATCCAGGAGCTGGTTTTTTGAAAGGATCAACAAAATTGATAGACCGCTAGCAAGACTAATAAAGAAAAAGAGAAGAATCAAATAGACGCAATAAAAAATGATAAAGGGGATATCACCACCGATCCCACAGAAATACAAACTACCATCAGAGAATACTACAAACACCTCTACGCAAATAAACTAGAAAATCTAGAAGAAATGGATAAATTCCTCAACACATACACTCTCCCAAGACTAAACCAGGAAGAAGTTGAATCTCTGAATAGACCAATAACAGGAGCTGAAATTGTGGCAATAATAAATAGCTTACCAACTAAAAAGAGTCTAGGACCAGATGGATTCACAGCCAAATTCTACCAGAGGTACAAGGAGGAACTGGTACCATTCCTTCTGAAACTATTCCAATCAGTAGAAAAAGAGGGAATCCTCCCTAACTCATTTTATGAGGCCAGCATCATCCGGATACCAAAGCCGGGCAGAGACACAACCAAAAAAGAGAATTTTAGACCAATATCCTTGATGAACATTGATGCAAAAATCCTCAGTAAAATACTGGCAAACCGAATCCAGCAGCACATCAAAAAGCTTATCCACCATGATCAAGTGGGCTTCATCCCTGGGATGCAAGGCTTGTTCAATATACGCAAATCAATAAATGTAATCCAGCATATAAACAGAGCCAAAGACAAAAACCACATGATTATCTCAATAGATGCAGAAAAGGCCTTTGACAAAATTCAACAACCCTTCATGCTAAAAACTCTCAATAAATTAGGATTGATTGGATGTATCTCAAAATAAGAGCTGTCTATGACAAACCCACAGCCAATAGCATACTGAATGGGCAAAAACTGGAAGCATTCCCTTTGAAAAGTGGCACAAGACAGGGATGCACTCTCTCACCACTCCTATTCAACATAGTGTTGGAAGTTCTGGCCAGGGCAATTAGGCAGGAGAAGGAAATAAAGGGTATTCAATTAGGAAAAGAGGAAGTCAAATTGTCCCTGTTTGCAGATGACATGATTGTATATCTAGAAAACCCCATTGTCTCAGCCCCAAATCTCCTTAAGCTGATAAGCAACTTCAGCAAAGTCTCAGGATACAAAATCAATGTACAAAAATCACAAGCATTCTTATACACCAACAACAGACAAACAGCCAAACCATGAGTGAACTCCCATTCACAATTGCTTCAAAGAGAATAAAATACCTAGGAATCCAACTTACAAGGGATGTGAAGGACCTCTTCAAGGAGAACTACAAACCATTGCTCAAGGAAATAAAAGAGGATACAAACAAATGGAAGAACATTCCATGCTCATGGGTAGGAAGAATCAATATTATGAAAATGGCCATTCTGCCCAAGGTAATTTACAGATTCAATGCCATCCGCATCAAGCTACCAATGACTTTCTTCACAGAATTGGAAAAAACTACTTTAAAGTTCATATGGAACCAAAAAAGAGCCCACATCATGAAGTCAATCCTAAGCCAAAAGAACAAAGCTGGAGGCATCACACTACCTGACTTCAAACTATACTACAAGGCTACAGTAACCAAAACAGCATGGTACTGGTACCAAAACAGAGATATAGATCAATGGAACAGAACAGAGCCGTCGGAAATAACGCCGCATATCTACAACTATCTGATCTTTGACAAACCTGAGAAAAACAAGCAATGGGGAAAGGATTCCCTATTTAATAAATGGTGCTGGGAAAACTGGCTAGCCATATGTAGAAAGCTGAAACTGGATCCCTTCCTTACACCTTATACAAAAATCAATTCAAGATGGATTAAAGACTTAAACGTTAGACCTAAAACCATAAAAACCCTAGAAGAAAACCTAGGCATTACCATTCAGGACATAGGCATGGGCAAGGACTTCATGTCTAAAACAGCAAAAGCAATGGCAACCAAAGCCAAAATTGACAAATGGGATCTAATTAAAGAGCTTCTGCACAGCAAAAGAAACTACCATCAGAGTGAACAGGCAACCTACAAAATGGGAGAAAATTTTTGCAACCTACTCATCTGACAAAGGGTTAATATCCAGAATCTACAATGAACTCAAGCAAATTTACAAAAAAAGAACAAACAACCCCATCAAAAAGTGGGCGAAGGACATGAACAGATGCTTCTCAAAAGAAGACATTTATGCAGCCAAAAAACACATGAAAAAATGCTCATCATCACTGGCCATCAGAGAAATGCAAATCAAAACCACAATGAGATACTATCTCACACCAGTTAGAATGGCAATCATTAAAAAGGAAACAACAGGTGCTGGAGAGGTTGTAGAGAAATAGGAACACTTTTACACTGTTGGTGGGACTGTAAACTAGTTCAACCATTGTGGAAGTCAGTGTGGCAATTCCTCAGGGATCTACAACTAGAAATACCATTTGACCCAGCCATCCCATTACTGGGTATATACCCAAAGGACTATAAATCATGCTGCTATAAAGACACATGCACACGTATGTTTATTGCGGCATTATTCACAACAGCAAAGACTTGGAACCAACCCAAATGTCCAACAATGATAGACTGGATTAAGAAAATGTGGCACATATACACCATGGAATACTATGCAGCCATAAAAAATGATGAGTGCATGTGCTTTGTAGGGACATGGATGAAATTGGAAATCATCATTCTCAGTAAACTTATTGCAAGAACAAAAAACCAAACACCGCATATTCTCACTCATAGGTGGGAATTGAACAATGAGAACACATGGACACAGGAAGGGGAACATCACACTCTGGGGACTGTTGTGGGGTGAGGGGAGGGGGGATGGATAGCATTGGGAGATATACCTAATGCTAGATGACAAGTTAGTGGGTGCAGCGCACCAGCATGGCACATGTATACATATATAACCTGCACATTGCGCACAAGTATCCTAAAACTTAAAGTATAATAATAATAAAGTAAAAAAAAAATTCATGGGGCTATATACATAAGACTTGTGCACTTTATCACGTATTCTGGAAAAATCAATACAATTCAAAACAAATAAATGCATTTCCACTTTTTTTTTAAAAAAAAAAACTTGGTAGCTACAGTAGGCACACAAATTCATATGTCTAGCATTACACCTAGCATTTACATTTTCATTAAAATGTAAAATCATTAGGAGAGGTATTAACTTACTAATAAAAATGGTTGATTACTGATCAGAAGCATTTTCATGAAAATGATAGCAGATGCGTATTAGATTCCGAGACAGACAAAATATGCCAAAGCAAATCAGTTTGGGTGAATTGTTCCCTCATCAATTCCTGTTTTAAGGCAGAGTTATATATTTATTGTCTCAGAAACAGACTAAAATGATTAAAGGTGAATTGGAAGAGAAATAGGAAAGTAAGTGGGTAGATTATAGGTTTTTCCTAGTAAAAACCTTCTTCTCTTTTATAAGTTAAATGAAGAGTGGAATTGTTCCTGGGATATAGGGACTTAGCATCTCTGCATCAGTATTTGTGGATGATAAAATATCCTGTTGTTATAAGAGTGAGTAGGAAACAACCTTGTCTATATCAATACCATCTTTATATCATTAATTCATCCCGTGAAAAATATACCACATGCATTCTAGTAAATATAGTAATTTTAATAAGATAGCATATTATAATAATGTGGAAAATAAAATGATACCCAATTTCAGAGACTTGCTTACATATCTTTGATGGGTATTGAGATCAGAATGTAAAATAACTATGCTAGAAGTTTTTTCTTGTTTATGAACTAAAGTTGTTTGCATAACCAAGTAAAAATGTGTCACTGAATTACATACTGTGTTTATACAAGACACACAGATGAAATAAAATATATCACAACACATGAGGCAAGAAACTTAAAGATGCATGATACTGCTTTTCCCATAGTCAGAGAAGCACGTAAAATATTAAATTTCTCACTAGTGGGTTCTCCATGATCTCTTCCCTGTTCCTAACCTGACTTCTTATTTTCAGATCTTATCTCCCTTCCAGTATGAAGGGAATATTTTCTTCTAATATTCAAACCTTCACTCACATTTTGGGAAAAAAGTCTCCCATCCCAACTCTGTATCACATGTTCTCCTCCTAGAATATACTCCTGACATCTGGAACAGCTGGAAAATAACAGCAGGTTTTAACAGTACCGTTAACAGTCCCCTGTGGCATCATCAGTCCCACAAAATATTCTAGGGCAGCACTCGGTTGACTCTCTCCCCTAGCATGATTTCAGACATTTTCACCCTCACACTCTCCCAATTTCTCTGATTGGACTCTTTGAATCTTTCCCTCTACTGTGGGTTCACACACACATTGACACTGTACGTGCACACACATATCAGTTGCTTAAACTGAAATTGTTGAGTTTTACATCTCTCTTCTACAAAGACCATACTTTCTCAATGTAAAACATTAATTTTCAGAAGTAGTCCAATCCAAAGCCATATAAGGTGATAAATTGTTTTCTGACTATCACATACTTCAGATATTCTAAGCAATAGATAGTGATTCACATTTGTATATATGTAAGTCCAGATTCTTCATTCCTGGCTCTTAAATGAGGCACTTCAGAGTACATATTGCCGAGACATAGGGGCTACATATGCAATTATTTCTAATAATACTAATAATACTGTATACTAGGTTCTGATTCTTAATCGGGCCCACTTCACATTCAGGCTGTGAAGAGAGGGAGGTTCTGTTGCAGTTACACGTGTCTTCACACATAAGTGAACATGAGGCTTCACGTTCTCCAACATTTTGAAATGTTTTTCTAGGCTCTATAGGGCAAATTGTGTTTGATAGGATTCCCTTTCTGTCACCACATAATTGATACTTTACACATCTTCAGGGTTGATTCATTCTTTAGTCATTAATTGATTGTCTCAAATTGTTATTTTGTTCACTTAAAGTTTGGCTACTGTTCATAGGTTGTTTTATAAATGAGTGAATTGGAGTAGAGTATCTTCAAGCTCTTTTTTTATTTTCTTTCTATATGATTTGTGCAGATTGATTTATACACTCACCTACTTCAGTTACCATTACACAAGTTTGGGCTCTGCCTTTTTAAATACACTTCTTTTATCTCCTAACAGTACTAATGCTCCCCATTCTATTCCAGCAAACCGAGCCCTATGAATTCCCAGATATTTTTTCTATATTCAAAGAATTTCAATTCTCACTGGAAGAAGACAGTTGAATAGCTGATAACAGCAGCAAGGGTATATTTCCAGTGCTTTCTGATCATTTCCTGTAAAAAAAAATGAGAAATTGTCGTGTTCTGATAGTGTTCAGTGATTTTGAAACAATTTTGCTTAGGCAGATACCAGGCTGACTGCATAAAAATCACCAAAGATGATTTTTAAAATACAACTTCTCAGTATCTCAGTATGTCTGGAGTGTGGTCCAAGAATCTATATTTTTTAAAGCTCTTCCAAGCAATTCTGATGCGAAGCCAAATTTGAAAACCTCTGCTATGCTCTGTTTGCTTCAGTTTGCCATCTAGCAGATTGCACTGTTCTAAACTGCTTCATCATTTAATATACGTATATGCACATGAATTCCAAAGTTTGTCACTTACTATCGATGAAATCTTGGCCAAGAAATTTAACATGTGAGTGCTTTAGTTTCTTCACTAATAGTTATTTTTAAGCATAAAATGAATTATACGCATCTAAAATGCTTAGAATAATGCCTGAGATAGAAAGATGTTAGTATTTTCATTTTTATTAATCATTTATTTTTTAGTCATCAGACATTTATGATGAATTTATAAAATTTCAGGCATAGCTTTTCAAACCTGGGGAATAGTAAATAAAGATTATCCCCCTTTGCTGCTGTCCCTAGAAGTGTAGTATGGAAAACAGATTTGTAAGTAAATAACCAAAATTGATGTGTTTGGATCAAAGACCTAAACATAAGAGCTAAAACTATAACACATTTTGAAGAAAAATAGGGGAAAAATTATGACATTGGCGTTAGCAATTTTTTTTGGATATAATACTAACAAAAGAAAAAATAGATAATTGCACTACTTCAAAAACTTGTGCATCAAAAGAGACTATTAATATAGAGAAAAAGCAGGGAATGGGAGAAAATTTTGCAAATCATATATTTGTTAAGGGATTCAATCCAGAATATAAAAAGAACTACAATTCAACAATAATGACAATGACATAAACCTGATTAAAATATAGGTAAAAGATTTGAATAGGCATTTTTCACAAGGTATACAGATAATCAATAAGCACATGAAACGATGTCTAACATACTGGTCATTAGAGAAACGCAAATCAAAATCATATCAAAATGAGATATCACGTCACACGCATTAGACTGCTATTATTAAAAAAAACAACAACAAATGTTGACTAGGATGGAGAGAAACTGCTTTCTTGATGTCCAGAGTCATTTTAATCTGCATATTTCTGGTTCACAATTAATTGTCTAAATTATATGTAATTTTAAAGGACTACTATCAAGGGAAGAATCTTATGTTAGAAATTTGTATATTTTCAATGATAACTTCCAAAATGCCTATGACAGATCATAGTACAATAGCTTTCAAGTTAAATCTGCACAGTGTTGACTGTGTTAGCTTCCAGTAACAGAGTTTGTCCTGCTTACTGCCAAGTGGCATATAGACCCCAATATATGACCAAATAGGTCTCTAGAGCTACAACTATAGAAAAAAAAGTCTGCAGACATAAAAATTAGGGTGAGAATGGTTGGGAAAAGAGTTACAAACTTGGTTTTGGTTTACTCTGAACAGGAGATTTTGGTTGTAAAACTTACTAAAGGCGAGAAATGTGAAAACAATGAGATAACATCGTATACCCATAATAATGGCTATTATCAAAAAAGGGAAAGAATAGTAACAACAGATGATAGTAAGTGTGATAATTAATTTTACATGTCAAATTGGCCAGGCCACAGTACACAGACACTTGGTCAAACACTATTCTAGTTGTTTTTGTGAAGGTATTTTTTAGATGCTCAAAGGCTAAATCGGCAGACTTTGAATAAAGCAGATTGTCTTCCACAGTATGAGTTGGCCTCACCCAATCACATAAAGACTATAATAGAAAAAGACTGAACTCTCCAGAGGAAGAAGAAATTCTGTCTTTGAAGTGAAACTACAGCATTAACTCTTCCCTGGCTCTTCATCCTTTCAGCCTACTATCTTGCAGATTTTGAACTTGCTAACTTCCACTATTGTATGAGACAATTTCTTAAAATCTCTCTTTCTCTCTCTTGCTCACTCGCTCTCTCATCTCTCTCTCTCTCTATATATATATATATTTATTTAGATACACATGTATGTATGTGTGTGTATATATATTTATGTGTGTATATTGTTTTTAAAAAATAATTGAGTTTTGTGTGTGTTGAGTATCTGTGTGTATATATAAATATATATACATGTATATATACAAATACATATATACATGTATATATACACACGTACATTCTATCAGTTCTGACACACATACATTCTATCAGTTTTGTTTCTCTGGAGAATCCTGCCTAATACCATGAGAACATGAAGAAGTTAGAACCCTTGTGCATTGCTTGTGGGATGCAAAGTGGGAAGCCACTGTAGAAAATGGTAAAGCAATTCCTCATAAAATTAAACATAAATTACCATATTAATCATATATCCAGCAATTCAATTTCTGGTTATATACCAAAAAGAAGTGGTAGCAGGGACTCAAACAGATATTTATATACCCATGTTTATAGCAGCATTGTTACTATAACCAAAAAGTAGAAGCAATCAAGATATTCACTAACAGAATGGACAAACAAAATGTGGTATATACATACACTAAAATATTATCCAACCTTAAATAAAGAGGAAATTCTGACATATACTATAACATAGATGAACCTTGGAGACATTATTCTAAGTGAAATAAGCCAACTCTAAAAAAAAAAAAACACTGCATGATTCCACTTATATAAAGTACTTAGCACAGTCAAATTCATAGAAGTAAGAAAAGTAGAGTGATAATTGCTGGGAGACGGGGAGGGAAAAGTAAAGAGTTGTTAAATGAGTATAGAGTTTTAGTTTTGTAAGATGAGAAGAATTCTGGAAATGGATAGTGGTGATGTTTACACAACAACCTGAGTGTAGCTAATACCACTGAACTCTATGTCTTAAAATGGTGCAGGTAGCAAATTATGTACATTTTACCACAATTTTTTAAATCGAAAATAAGTTTTGGTATAAATATATAAAAACAACCATATATTTTAAGAATTGCTAAAGTGGCAGTGTTGTCACTATTAAATGAGAAGGCAACAAAACAATTATTTAATGGGTACATATTTTCCATTTTGCAAGATGAAAACAACCCTGGATTGTGTGTTTTCAACACACACACAACAATGTGAATATATGTAACACTACTGAACTGTACATTTAAAAATGGTTAAAATGGTAAATTTTATGTTCTATATGTTTTACCACAATAAAAACTCAACTATTTAAAAAAAATCAATGTATATGGAATTAAAATGGAATTAAATTTAAGGAGCTGTGGGTTCACAGAAGAAAGGAACAATGAATCCTGCTGCATAGGATAGTGTGGGAGAACATTCATCTCTTCTTAACAGAAAATACAATGATATTAATATTATGTTTTAAAGGGTTAAGAAAGGAGCACTGGAAGAACAGAGAGGATCCATGCGCAGTGTTCAGAGTCAAGTGAACATTTTAACCAATTAAAGTATTTCAATAATTTGGAGTTTGAGGGTGGAGGATGCTCAAAAATGAGTTGAAAAGATTGCAGGACTCCTTCCTGCCCGCCCGCCCGCCCTCCTTCCTTCCTTCCCTCCCTTTCTTTCTTCTCGCTTTGTTGCTCAGCTCACTGCAACTTCCGCCTTCCGGGTTCAAGAGATTCTGTGCCTCAGCCTCCTGAATAGCTGGGATTACAGTCACATGCCACCATGACTGGCTAATTTTTAAATTTTTAGTAGAGATGGGGTTTTGCCATGATGGTGAGGCTAGTATTGAACTCCTGACCTCAAGTGATCCGCCCACTTCGGATTCCCAAAGTGCTGGGAAGACAGGCATGAGCCACCGCGCCCGGCCTTATTTCATTTTCAAACCTGCATGATCACATGAATTATTTTGGAAATTGTTTTAAAAATACAGTATCAGGCCCTGAGACATTTCCCTCATCCTGAGTTTCCTGGAATAATTACTCAGTGTCTTTCACTGCTTGGCTTATATTCCTTTATTTTATTATTATTATTATTATACTTTAAGTTCTGGGATACATGTGCAGAACGTGCAGGTTTGTTACATAGGTATACACGTGCCATGGTGGTTTGCTGCACCCATCAACCCATCATCTACATTAGGTATTTCTCCTAATGCTATCGCTCCCCTTGACCCCACCCTCTGACAGGCACCGGTGTGTGATGTTCCCCTCCCTGTGTCCATGTGTTCTCATTGTTCAGCTCCCACTTATGAGTGAGAACATGCAGTGTTTGGTTTTCTGTTCCTGTGTTAGTTTGCTGAGAATGATGGTTTCCAGCTTCATCCATGTCCCTGCAAAGGACACAAACCCATCCTTTTTATGGCTGCATAGTATTCCATGGTGTATGTGTGCTACATTTTCTTTACCCAGTCTATCACTGATGGGCATTTGGGTTAGTTCCAAGTCTTTGCTACTGTGAACAGTGCTGCAATAAACATACATGTGCATGTGTCTTTATAATAGAATGATTTATAATCCTTTGGGAATATACTCAGTAATGGGATTGCAGGGTCAAATGGTATTTCTGGTTCTGGATCCTTGAGGAATTTCCACACTGCCTTCCACAATGGTTGAACTAATTTACAGTCCCACCAACAGTGTAAAAGCATTCCTACTTCTTCACATCCTCTCCAGCATCTGTTGTTTCCTGACTTTTTAATGATTGCCATTCTAACTGGCATGAGATGGTATCTCTTGTAAATTTTTCTGAAGTTCTTTGTAGATTCTGGATATTAGCCCTGTGTCAGATGGATAGATTGCAAAATTTTTCTCCCATTCTGTAGATTGCCTGTTTTCTCTGATGATAGTTTCTTTTGCTGTGCAGAAGCTCTTTAGTTTAATTAGATCCCATTTGTCAATTTTGGCTTTTGTTGTACCATTGCTTTTGGTGTTTTAGTCATGAAGTCTTTACCCATGCCTATGTCCTGAATGGTACTGTCTAGGTTTTCTTCTAGGGTTTTCATGGTTTTAGGTCTTACATTTAAGTCTTTAATCCATCTTGTTTAATTTTCAACATCTTGAGTTAGTTTTTGTATAAAATATAAGGAAGGGGTCCAGTTTCAGTTTTCTGCATATGGCTGGCCAGTTTTCCCAACACCATTTATTCAATAGGGAATCATATCCCCACTGCTTGTTTTTGTCAGGTTTCTCAAAGATCAGATGGTTGCAGATGTGTGGCATTATTTCTGAGGCTCTTTTCTGTTCCATTGGTCTGTATATCTGTTTTGGTACCAGTACCATGCTGTTTTGGTTACTGTAGCCTTACAGTATAGTTTGAAGTCAGGTAGCATGATGCCTCCAGCTTTGTTCTTTTTGCTTAGGATTGTCTTGGCAATGTGGGCTCTTTTTTGGTTCCATATGAAATTTGAAGTAGTTTCATATTCCTGTTTATTTATTTTAGTGGTTTTAAAAAATTATGGTACAGTACATTGTCTCAAACCACATTTTGAAAGTAAGCAAAGTAAAAGTAATAAATGAATGAATGAACGAATGAACAACAACAATGAAAAAAGAGGTGTTTGGAGGTATGAGCACTGGGTTGGTTGTTTTTGCATTTTAAAGGTATACTAGTTGTTTAATATCTCTAGGAATTGACTAACCCTTGGAGAGACACTTCCCTACAGGGTCAGCAAGGCTCCAGATATTAAAGCATCAGAATACAGAAAATAAAATATATGATTAAGATAGTTATATATCAAGGAAACAAAACAAAAATCTCAGTAACAAGATAGTTAAGAGTGTCACATTCTAGCACTGTAAAAATAGATGCTCTTTTAGATTAGAGATGACATTACTAAGCTCTTTCTGTCAGGTAATGAGGTCAAACTGAAATTGCAATTAATTTAGTTGGGATTTGAAGTTTAAGGAGAGAGAGCAAATATAAACTGTTCTATAAATAAAGCTAGTTTTGAAGACAGAATGCTAGGGTAGGATCTAGAGGGGGAAGTTTGTCCTTTTTTTCAGAAGAAAGATTTGGATATCCTTAGACTAAATAAAAAATCATTATAAAGGGAGAACTGTGAGATAGAGGGGAGTGTGTATAATCTCTGGAGCAAAGTGCTGAGTGAAGAGGATCTGAATCACAGGTGGAGTGGTTAGATTTGAGTAAAAGAAACAATCGTTTCCTTGGGTGCAGATGTACTTGTGCATATGTCTATGTGAATGTAAATGAGATCATTAACTTCTGACAGCCTCTATCATCTTTGTGCAGTAGATGAAAGGGAATATAATGACAATTTAAAAGTTGAGGGGAATATGAGTTTCTTAAAGTGGCAGGGGAAAAAAGTGTTGGCAATAGTCCAAATAAAATTGAAAAATATAAATTTGTAGTCACTCCAGTGTGCATGATTCTGCCTTTTTTTTTGGCAGTCCACAGCAGTCGATGTAAAATATTCTGAGGGTGGATTCTTAACTACATTTATAGTTTGCAGTTTCATGAATGTGGAATTATGGACGCGTATGTTAGGAAAGGAAAGCCAGCTAGGGCAGAGATAATGGTAAATCTAGGTGGAAAGAGGTCAAAGAACAAAGTACTTTGAAAGGTAAGAGACATAGGAAGATTAATGAAGTATAAGAGCTAACAAAAGTGTTCAAAACAAAATACTGGAGTTTAGACTCTGCAAGGCAATAAACTCCAACTTGTATAAAAGTAACTCCATCTTTGCAGTTGTACAGGCCAATCCTTGAAGTCACCCTTGTCTTCTCTGTTTCTAACATAGCTCCATCCAATCTCTCAGTAATCCTTCAAATACATTTAGATCCCAACTACTCAGCACCATCTCTCTTAGATTAATTAGACTTTCTTCTTCCACCTTGCCTTCCCAGAGTCTATCCTCAGCCTGTAAGCTAGCGTAAGCATTTTTAAAAAGTAAATTCATGTCACTCCTCTGTTCAAAACCCTGTATATATCCCCATTTCACTCTGAGTGAATCTTTACAATAGCCTCTCTGACTTCACCTTCTACAATGCTTCTTCTTGCTTAATTTTTTCTATCGTTGTTGCTATTCCTCAAACTCAGCAGGCATACTTTCTGATTTGAACTGGCTATTCCTTCTCCTTCAAATAATCTGACAAACTTCTTCACTTCTTTCAAGTTTGAGTCCAAATCATGCTTTGTGACCACTCTTTTTCCGTAAACTGTCTCATTCACCGTTTCTCCTTAAGCTGCTCTTATTTTTTCTTTTCCTTAATAGCACTTTTTTTTTTACCTCTAACATATATAATTTACTTAATTATTAAAGTATTGCTTATCATCTGCTCCCTCTCAGTAGTGTGTAGGCTCCTAGAGAGAGGAATATTTGCTCACAAATCTATCCCAACTGTCTAGAACGGTGAATGCCACAGAATTGTGTTAAATTAAAGCTTTTTCAGTTAGTGATTTGGAGAAGTTGAAGTAAAGAAACAATGACAATAGGCACCTGGTTATTTTCCTACAAGAATGAATAGTTCAAAAGAGATTTCAGCATAGATGAAATTTGAGGTATGTTTAGATTCCTTCATGCTAGACACAGGAGAGGTAGGTGCTTAAGAGATGTCAGCATTGAGCAAATAATAGATGATTATATACAGATCAAATGAAATGGCAGTCAAGCCATAACAGATTGAATGAAGATACTCTGTGCCTTGTTTACCTTTTGCCTCATTTAGGTGCTGCTGTTCTGTGAATGTGTCCCCCAAGTTCATGTGTTGAATACTTAATACCCAATGCAGAAGTGTTTGGAGGTGGGGCCTAATAAGAGGTGATTAAGTCACGAGGGTTATGCTCTCATGAATGGATTCATGTCATTATTGTGGGAGTAAGTTCATTATCACAAGAGTGGGTTGTTACAAAAACAATTTCAGCTATCTCTTGCTGTCACACTCTCTTGCCTTTCTGTCTTCCGCTGTGGGATAATGCGACACAAGGCCCCTAACCAGATGCTGGTGCCATGCTCTTGGACTTCCTAGACTCCAGAACCATGAGCCAAATAAATTTTTATTGTTTATAAGTTATCCAGTCTCAGGATTCTCTTATAGCAACACAAAAGAGATGACAGATAGATGGCTTTGCACATACATCATGGAGTTACTCTTTTACATGTATTTTATATGGTAGAATATTTTGCTTTATTTCATTTTCTGCAAGATATTGGGATAACCTTTGTCATCTCAAAGACAAGCTAAAAAGTTTTAGAAAGGAAACAAAAGTCAGAAAATCTTGGGTGTAAAATAATTTCTGGATTAATCACATTGTCTCATTCTTTTATTTTGCTTAAATGAAAAAAAAAAATGCTTCCAGCTGGAGTAAAATTCAGAACAATCCAGAATAAAAGAACAATTTTCTGATTCTGCTACAAAGAAATGAATTACACAAATGATTGCTTTCACATTATCCAGGGCAACATTATCCCATCAAAAATCTGTGTTATTCAATTCTTTTGTACTCTTTAATAAACAAAACCTGCAAGTTTGTAAAGTTACATAAAGAATATATCACTATCATTTCAGGCAATGTGGTATTACAACTTACAAGAAATGCCTGGGAGCATCCCACTTGCACCTCTTCAGAGACAGCTTATTTTCTATCTTGAAGACTATAAAGTAAAAAATGAACATAACAAATGTTTCAGTTTGTTCCCTAGACATAGTGTAAAGCAAAGGTAATACATAACCGTAATATAAAACATGGCAATCTCTTTCTTAAGGTGTTCATATTTAGCAATATCTTTGAAGTTTCATTCATTAGGCAAATGGGGAAACCAGGACTATTATTTCTCCTGAAAATAATTTTTATTTAAGCACATAATGTAGAAATCTACATCGTTATGTGCTCTTATGTCCTGTTATATGGAGGGCAACTGCAAGACATCTCATTGCATTAGGCTGCAGACCATTAACTAAAATCATCAGAACCTACCCATTCTTTTTTATCAGAATGTAATAAAGGCATATATTCTCCCACAGGTTTTGGTTGTTCTCCAAATATTTCCTCTCTGATATATAGTGTTTTAATTTGCATTTCCCTAGTGGCATATGATGTCGATTATCTTTTCCTATGCTTGTTTTCTATCTATATATCTTCTTTAGTGAGGTCTATCGATCTATTGCCCATTTTTAATTGGATAATTTGTATCCCAGATGTTTAGTTTTAAGAGGTCTTTGTATATTTTGGATGCAAGTCATTTATCAAATATATGTTTTGCAAATATTTTCTATCAGTCTCTGGCTTGTCTTTTCATTTTCTTAACAGTCTGTTTCACAGAGCTCAAGTTTTTAATTTTAATAAAATCCAACTTCTCAGACTGTAGTTTCTGTCTTTCCTACTTAGCGGCTGGTGGTGAATTTTTGGACTTTTAAAAAAACTAATTTGGGTTCTCTTTTTCTGAGTGAGCTAAATTTATTGATCCTACTTCATTCATCACGTTTCTTGTTGACTATCTGTTCCTTTGCATCCATAATTTTCCTTGATACATCTTCTAATATCCCCCAAACCACTCCTTTTTCAATCCTTTCTATTTGCTATGTATGTTACAATTTTATAAAATTCTTTAGGGTTCATCTTTGAATGGATAGATGGATTATGAATTTTGCTATTTCTTGCCAAAATCTTTTTAAGATTGGCTGTATAAAGTAATTAGATATTTAATATTATTTTTCAGATTTTTTGTAAAGATAAGCTGCCTCTGATTAATATCTTCTCTCATTGTCATGAGTATTTAGAAATATATAATTTTTTAGTTGTGATATTGCAGATAAAAGCCACTGCTGTTTCTCATGTAGAACTCCTCCTGCCTGCATCTTTTTAAGCTTAGTGATAGCCACCCAAGCATTGAAATAAATTTCTACTAACAACATAGTTGAGGAGGCCTCAACTTTCCAGCCCTAAAGCTCCCATTCTTATTCTGTGAATGAGAAAAACTAATATGTTTGTGAAATCCAACAACATGAATATTATGACTCATCTTCTCTCTTGAGATAGTCACCATTCATAAGTTTAATGGAACATAATATTCAAGGCGTGTCTATATTTATATCTGTATTAGATATACCATTTATTTATATATTATCCATTTATAAATTGATGATAAAGACATAGGTAAATATAGATACAGAAGGCACTTTTCATGCCTAGCATACCGAATTCATTTTAGTTGTGTCTGAAATGCACATTAATTCATGGCACAATATTTCACATTTTCCTTTTCTAATCCTACTTGAATCATTTGAAAATTCAGGAGATCAAAAATATTCCTTCATTACTGGTTCAAAAATAATGATATAAAAGGAGTATGGGATGGGTAGATATGCAATTGAGCTGATGAGAAATAACCTGAAGAAAATGTCTTTAAAAAGTAAATACCTTAATTTAAAATTATTTTATTGCTAAAAATGCTAACAATCATCTGAGACCTTAGCAAGTCACGATTGTTTTGCTGGTGGGGAGTCTCGCCTTGATGTTAATGGATGCTGACTGATAATGCTGGTGGTTGCTAAAGATTGGGGTAGCTGTGGCAATGTCTTAAAATAAAACGACAATAAAGTTTGCTGCATTGATTAAATTCCTTTCACAAAAAATTTCTTTTTCTGTAGCATGCAATGCTGTTTGATAGAATTTTATCCACAGTAGAACTTAAATCAGAATTCGAGTTGACTCTTTCAAACCCTTCTGCTGCTTTATGCACTAAGTTTATGTAATATTCTAAATCTTTGGTTGCCATTTAAAGAATGTTTACACCATCTTTGCCAGGAGATCCCATTTCAAGAAACCACTTCCTTTCCGCAGCCATAAAAAGCAGTTTCTCATTCATTAAAGTTTTGTCATGAGATTGCAGCAATTCAGTCACATCTTCAGGATCCACTTCTAATTCTAGTCCTCTTGCTATTTCCATCACCTCTGCGGTGATTTCTTCCACTGTAGCCTTGAACCCTTCAAAGTCATCCATGATGGTGCAATCAATTTCTTCCAAATTCCTCTGAATCTTGATATTTTGGCCCCTTCTCATGAATCACAAAATGTTCTTAATGGCATCTAGAATGGTGAACCCTTTCCAGGAGATTTTCAATTTACTTTACCCAGATCCATCCAAGGAATCAATATCTGTGTTAGCTATAGCCTTCTGAAATATATTTCTTAAATAATAAGACTTGAAACTCAGAATTATTCCTTGATCCATGGGCTGCAGAATGGATGTTGTGTTACCAGGCATACAAACAATATTAATCTGCTTGTACATCTCCATCAGAGCCCTTGGGTGACTAAATGCATTGTCAATGAGCAGTAATATTTTGTAAGAAATCTTTTTTCCTCAGTGGTAGGTCTCAAGAGTGGGCTTAAACTATTCAGTAAGCCATGCTGTAAATAGATGTGTTGTCATACAGGCTTTGCTGTCCCATTTATACAGCAGAGGCAGAGTAGAGTTAGTATAATTCTAAAGAGCCCTAGGCTTTTTAGAATGGTAAATGAGCATAGGCTTCAACTTAAAGTCAACAGTTGCGTTAGTCCCTAATAATAGAGACAGCCTGTCCTTTGAAGCTTTAAAAGTGGCCATTGACTTGTCTCTAGCTATTAAAGTCCTCGTTGGCATCAGTCTAAGGCTGACTTGTCTACGTTGAAAATCTGTGGTTTAGTGTAATCACCTTCATCAATTATCTTATATCATCTAGGTAACTTGTTGCAGCTTCTACATCAGCACTTGCTACTTCATCCTGTATTTTTGTGTTATAGAGATGGCTTCTTTCCTTAAACCTTGTGAACTAACTCCTGCAAGCTTCAAAATTTTCTTCTGAAGCTTCCTCATCTCTTTCAGGCTTCATAGAGTTGAAGACCGATAGGGTCTTGCTCTGGACGAAGCTTTGACTCAGAGAATGTTTTCACTGCTTTTATCTTCTATTCAGACCATTAAAACTCTTTTCTTATCAGCAATAAGGCTATTTTGCCTTCTTATCATTCATATGTTGACTGGCATAGCATTTTTCATTTCCTTCAAAAATTTTTTCTTTGCATTCACAACTTGGCTATTTTAAGAGGCCTAGATTTGGCTTGTCTCAGATTTCAGCATGACTTCCTCACTAAACTTAAGTATTTCTAGCTTTTAATTTAAAGTAAAAGAAGTTTGACTCTTCCTTTCACTTAAACACTTAGAGACCATTGTAGAGTTATTAACTGGCCTAAATTCAATATTATTCTGTCTCAGAAAATTGGGATACCTTAGGAGAGGAAAAGAGACAGGACAATGGCCAGTAAGTGGAGCAATCAGAACACACACATTTGTTGGTTAAATTTTCTGTTTTATATGGGCATAGTTTTGGCACCCTGAATCAATTACAATAGTATTAGGTTGGTACAAATGTAATTACAGCTTTGCCGTTAAAAGTAATGACAAAAACCGCAATTACCTTTGCATCAACCAAATAGCATCGAAAATCACTCATCACAGATCACCATAAGAGACATAATCATAATAATTTTAAAAAGTTTGAAATAGTGTAAAAATTACCAAAATGTAACACAGAGACATGAAATGAGCACATGTTTTGGAAAAAATGGCAATGATAAACTTGTTCTGCACAGAATTGCCACAAACCTTTAATTTGTTAAAAAAAAATATGCACATACAAAATATTTAAAGTGCAATGAAAGGAAGCACAATAAAATGAGGTATGCCTGTAAACACATTTAAATAAGCACTAACACTTTCCATCATTCAACAATGTTTAATGATAGTAGTATATGTTTAGTTGTGTATATTTTTTATTCTTTTTATAAATGAAGGTGGAAATACATTGAATATAATTTAAAAGTAGGTCCTATGAGTTCTGTTTTTTGGTGTCCTATAACTTCTAATTACAGCTGTGAAACATAAAATCATATTAACTATTTTATCTTTTTAAAAAAATAGGTGCCATGAAGGTTCAAGAAATGGAAGGAGACACTTTCATTTCTTTCCTTTGGAGTGCATTGTCTTTCATGTTTCTTGTAAAGGTACAACTTTCATGTAAATTTCAGTGAACATATTCTTTGATTTGTATCTTAAAACCATCTCTCCAAATCGAAAATGACCTTTGAAAAATTGTCTTTTGATATGTTTTTTCCCAAGTTGCTTCAATACAGAATTCTAGAATTACACATTGAACATTTACTTAATATTTGTCATTTTTATTCCTTTATTCTATATCACATGTTTCTGAATTATGCTCTAAACAAAAGAAAGTTGGTAAACAAGAAAATTTAAAATTTGATCAAATAACAAATTGAGTCTCTTCATGTTCAATAAAAAATATTTTTAAGAGCCTGTTATGATTAAGTCAGTGTGCAAAACACTAGTGCCAAATATTTAAAGACTGAATGCCTAATAATTAAAGGTATAGCTAGTACAATATAGATGTAATTCAAAAGTATTTAATAAGTACAATGTGGAAATTATGATGCTAAGCAAGACTGAGATATGGAAAATTCATACCCAATTGGGAATTCCTTTTCATGAAAGAGCTATCATTTGAACTCAGCACTAATTATAGACAAACTTTAACAGTAGAAAAAAGAGGAAAGGATTCCAAAGAGTTTAAAAACTGATCCCTCATGTATCTATAGGTTTCCTGAAGATAGTTCTGCAGCATTTTGATTATCACAGGGAGATACTCAGAATTAACACTAATTCTCCAAATAAATCGATCCTCTGAAGACTGTTGGCTCTTAGCAGTTGCTAAAGCCAAGTATTGTTGGAAGTTTGATTAGAAATCAGGTCCTTTGACTACAAGAATTAAGAGCTTAATTTTGAAGTTCATAATTTTTAATTTATATCCCTAATGTTATTAATATTTATTCATTCATTTATCTATTTATGAAATATCTGGTGCTTACTATATGCTGGAAACAGTGGTGCAAATAGATATTTTCTCTTACATACTTTGCATTCTCTTACATGAGAATTAGAATAAGTGGGGGTAAATGTTAGGAAATCAAAGGAAATGTTTACAATTAGTAAAATAAAACAGAAGCAGGGTGGGGCATGCTGGGGAAGGGGAGGTGGCAATTGACAATTTTAAATGGAGATGTCAGAGAAGGCCTTCCAAAGAAGGTAATAATATTTAAGCCAATACTTGTTGGAAGTAAGGGAGTTGTTCAAGTAGACATCTTTGGGGAAGAATGTTCTTGGCAGAGGTAACTTCCAGCTGGCTTAAAATCTCTAAGGAGAGAATGTGCTTGTAGGGTTTAAGAACCAACAAAGGGGGAACCAGTTTGTGCCAAAGGGAGAATGGGAGAAGGACAAACAGATCAGATCAGAGAGGCATTAAGGACAAAAGATGTAAGTCTTGTTGGCAGTGTAAAGGTTTAGGTTTTGACATTGAATGAGATGTGAACTCTTGGAAGGTTCAGCTCAAATAGGGAACATATTTTGACTTCCGTTTTTAAAGTATCATGCTGATTGCTGTATTGAAAATAGACCATAGTGGAGCATGTCAAGTAGAAGTTTGCACACATTTTAGGAGATGATTGCAATAATCCAAGCAAGAGATAATAAAAATTTGGACCAGCCTGTAAGCAGCAAAAATATGAAAATAATGTATCTTCGTATTTGAGCAATGATGGGGCAAAAGTATGATCTTGGAGCAAGTGCTTTATTTTGAAGCCCACCTGATAATGGGAAAACTAATATGCTGACATAAAAACAAATTAAACAACAACAAACAAAGTGCCTCAAGGATGACTTGAAATCTGTGGAATATAGAATAGTTGGAATTTAAAAGAGGTCAAGGTAACAAGACATGCTCAAAGAGTAATTATTAAAGCGATTATGCACACATAGTGTGTAATGGAGAGTTTAGTCAATAAAGTAATTCAATATTTATTTAACAAATATTCGTTGGGTGCTTTCTGTGTGGCAGGCCCAGATCTAGTTGTTAGTGATAGAATTAGGACACAAGGCAAAACATAAATCTGCTGCTTTAAAGTTAAAAATCTAGGCCAAGAGGATCATGAAGAAAATTTTCAACCTATGTTCATCTACAAAGTCATGTCTTAAGCAGCATATATGGTTCCAATACTGTATCAAAAGCATGCACACAGTTAAATTCATAATCGTTATACAAACGTCTTAAATGTATAACATTCACTCCATTGATTCTAATAGTCTATTTTAAAATATATTTAAAAATTTTTTATAATTCTTGCTTTGAACAAAATTTTGTTAAAAATGTACCATATGTTTGTCTTTCCCCATAAAAAAGGCTTTAAAAATATGTATGTGTATATATATGTATATGCATATATAAATATATATTTATACATACATATATACATGCATATCTGTAACTGTGTATCTATCTATCCATCGATCTATCTATCTATCTATCTATCTATCTATCTATCTATCTATCTATCTTTAAGATGGAATCTCACTCTGTCAGCCAGGCTAGAGTGGAATGGTGCAATCATGTCTCACTGCAACCTCTGCCTCCCAGGTTCAAGCGATTCTCATGCCTCAGCCTCCCGAGTAGCTGAGGTTATAGATGCGCACCACCACATCTGGCCAATATTTTGTGTGTGTGTTTTGTTGTTGTTGTTGTTGTTTTGTTTTTGAGACAAAGTCTCACTCTGTTGCCAGGCTGGAGTGCAGTGGCGTGATCTTGACTCACTGCAACCTCCGCCTCCCAGGTTCAAGCAATTCTCCTGCCTCAGCCTCCTGAGTAGCTGGGACTACAGGCATGCACCACCATGCCCAGCCAATTTTTTGTATTTTCAGTAGAGACGAGTTTTCACCATGTTGGCCAGGATGGTCTCGATCTCTTGACCTAGTGAACCGCCCACCTCGGCCTCCCAAAGTGTTGAGACTACAGGCATGAGTCGCCACACCCGGCCATTATTTTGTATGTTTTGTAGACACAGGGTTTCACCATGTTGGTCAGGCTGGTCTAGAACTCCTGATCTCAAATGATCCACCTGCCTTGGCGTCCCATGATGTTTGGGATTACAGGCATGAGCCACTTTGCCTGACCTAAAATATTATTTATTTTCTTTTAACACTCTCTTAACTACTTAGGCAAATAACCGTGCAGTCTTCTTCAGGTTATTACTTGTCAGGATCAAGATAATTTAATACCTATAACTATTTTTATGTTGTTTTTCTTTAGGCCAAAAGAGGTATTAAGACCAAGGGTTGTCAATATGAAATTTTGAGAGTTTGGAGCACAGTTTTATTTTACTTGTATTACTCAACTACTTCTGACATAAAAATTCATCTTCTGCTCCTCTGTCAGTTCACTCAAACATCAAGGTTCTGTCAGATTTTTTTCACTTTAGATCTGTATTTTAGTATTTTTAAACATATACTGGTTAGATATATTTTTGTGCATTGTTCCTGCTGTAGCAATTACAATGTGAATATGAAGAATTTAGCTTCTGTTCCTCATTGGTATGTGAGTATACCTTTTTCCTTTCTGTCTACTTCCCATATTTAGGCAGCTTCTTATAATAATGACATTATTATAAGCTCTACATTAATAGAGTCCTGTATAATGTATAAATTCTCTAAGTTGCACTGTTTTATTTCATTTTCCCTTAGTGTCCATAGAGGTGAGGGGGAAAAAGAAACCACTCAGGTTATTACTGGTGGCAGAGCTGGATCATTAACCACAAGCCCATAAGTTTCAGCATACTATTTTCCATATTATTTTCAAGACAGTTTTAAAAAAGATCATTCGTAGAGATAGTTATGAAAATAATTTAAAGCATAAATAAATCATACCTTCTAACTTAAATTTATGTAGATACTTATGTGGTTCCAAACATCAATATTTTTATTCCAAAATATTTATTGAATCTTTATTAAGCATTATACTTGGCTATCTACGGTAGAGATATATATACTGATGTGTAGGTAAACATTTAACAGTTGGCTTTCTGTGGGGAGAAAAGCCCTTATTTGAAGTTTTTGTGGTCTTCTTTTATATAAATATTATGACTATGGTTGATTTCAAGCTATCAACTTGATATTTACTGAATGCCAACTTTAAGAGAGATGTTCACAGTCAGCTCTGGAAAGCTGGTTACAAAATCTGGTTCCAGCTCATGCTCAGAAAGATGACCATACAAAAGGAAAAATAAGATATTGACAAAAATAGACCCTGCCAAAACCTCACAAGGCAGTATATAATGTATATGAGAGAGTTGTGGAAAACAGTTTAAATATTTCAAAATGGAAATGCTTGAATTCTTGGTCTGACATTATAACTTTGAAACAGTGAAGAGTATCCTACTATTCTTTGCTTAAATTACTTTTTCTCTTCTAATTTCTAGCATGTTGCTGACTTGCCACAACTTAGGGTTTTTTTTTTTTTTCTTTTTCACTTGGGCAATCTTTTCACTTTAAAATTGCTTTTTCCCATGAAGTAGCTTTTTTTATTTTTATTTCCATTTAACCATAGAGAGTTATAAATTGGCGCTTTACTGTTTGTCAATAAGAGCTCTAAAAGCCAGTCCACTGCTAGGAAAGATATGGGACTGAGGTCTGAGATTGATTTTAGTTAGTATTTATTTAGAATGATCACAGAGAACATTTCTTGACAAAAAGCCCATTTCAAACCCTTAAGAAAAAGTGAAAAACTTCATCTTTCCTGCCTAAAGGTAGCTGCCGATTTTCAAAAAGCATCAGCATTGTATAGCTCTATGGTTTTCCTATTTTCTGTGGCAGAAGAGGAGCCATAATATTTATCCTGTCTAACATGACCCAGTGTGATCCATCTGCTTTCCTGCCTAAATCTCTTTCAAAAATTCTCTGTAGAATTTACTGCTACCTTGGAGTCACATTGAATTATACATAAGAACATTTTCCCTCTACACGTCTGCTCTAAGTGGTGAAATGCAAAAAAAAAAAAAAATGTTTTCTGCAGTATATATGTAATTTAATATTTGGTCAATTTTATTTTAAATCTTCTAAATATTTTTATTGGATACACTTAAATATGGGGCATTGTTTGAGTTCTTTTTCATGGCTTATTTGATTGCTACTATTTTAAATAAATATTTGTGCAACTCAAACTCAAAAGAACAGAAACAAATTTTTTTTCTGCATTGCAATCTGTTCTGGCTTGAAAAACATGCAATATATTTTTAAATTTGGTGCCTGCCACTATACATTATCAGAGATGAGTGTGCATAACCAAGTTTTCATGTTCTACTTAGTATGCTGATAATTCAGGTTGGCTGTTTTATCATCACTTTAACTTGTCTAGGCCACCAAAGATCAATGAGAACTTGAAATTAACTACAGGTAGCTATTCAAAAAGCATATTGTTGCAGATGTAAAAATGTGCGTGTGGTTATGAAAAAGAAAAGTCAATTCCATTGTATTATATCATGCATACATCCCTTAAAATTGCTTCATCAATATATAATGTGTGGCAGAAATAAGTAAAATAAACAAGAAGCATTCTCCTTTTCTCTATTTTCTGCCATTTCATATTAGTTTTAATGAAAATACTTTGATTCAGTACATCCCGTGGAGACTGGGAAAAATATTTCCCTATAGATTTTGTTGTTCAATGGTTATTAAACAGACACTGGATAGCTGCATTTTTTTCTAAGACATTGATTTCACTATTATTATACTTCAGTAAAGTGGGATTTATAGAGCCATATTTTCATCTGTATAATTCCAGGAAGAGGAAAGCTTGATGAAAGATTTATGTATTTATTGAGAATGACTAAGGAGATAATTTGTAGTTTGTTAAGAAAAATCATGTATTAATAAAGTAAAATACTGTTTATTTCTGAGATGCCAATGAAGGTGGAAAACATTACAGAGTGTAATATCTTAATCTTTTAAAAATATTTTGTTACATTTCTTATATAAATCAGAACAGTTTATTACTTGATTGTATTTTATCTATTTGAGATTTTAAAAAGTATAAAATCAACAAGCAAATTTAAATGTCATATAAATTTAGAATTGTACCAAAAAGTAAGTAACATTAAATGAATATAGAGAGCAAGTACAAACAAATATTATAATAGAGCAGAGTGAAAGAGAAATGCATTTGATTTGAATATAAGAAAGAGCCAAAAAGGCAATATCTGGCACCTACTCCACAAATTCCTAGAGCCATACTTTCCAAAGTCTCCATTACTGAACTTGGTAGCTTATATTATCACTAGTAATAGCAATAATCATTTAATTTGTGAAAAATACTAGATGCTTAGTAAATGAAGAATATATAATGGGTTTTATCTCTTAACAAGCAAGTAAAGCCTTTGTAATAATCAAGAGGAAGAGCATAATTTAAACAATCTTCAGACCAAATTAATAAAATGCTCAGAAATGTTATAGGGAAATTAACTGACTTCAAACTTTAGTTATCTTTAAACTGTTTTAGAAGCAAGTAAATATAACTAGACAAGCAAAAATATTATCCCAAATCCTTTATGGAATTATATGGGTTAAAGGAAGACAAAAATAAATATAAGAGTAGAAGGTTCTGGTTCTGTTCTTTAAGCTAAGAACATTTCCTTCAATCCTAACACTTCTTGTTCTTTCAAAAGAAATTGGAGTACTTCACAGATTGAACAAATGTTCAAATTTTAGGACACTATTTACTAATGGAAGTAGTCTGTACATTAAAAGGTGTGTGTGTGCGTGTGTGTGTGTGTGTATGAGTGTGTGTTATATACGGAGTCTCTCTTTGTAGATAGGCCCTAATGTGCTTCTCACAACTTTGGATGTCTGCCTATACATTTAGCCAAATAAGGGTTAGCTTCCAAGAACAGGATTTGAGATCATGTGTCATCACCACTTAGACAAAGAGGCCAAATTGTGTTCTCCAACCAATATTTACCAGAACTTTGATAGAAGGATATTAGAAAATAGATAGTAACAAAGCAGCGCTTCGTTCCTTTTTTGTTATAGCTCCCTTAACAAATTTACAGATGTGAAAGCATTCACACCATAGGTTTTAGGCATCCTTAGGTCAACTAGCCAGCACCCGAAATTACAGCGAAATTTTTCCTTTTCTACTTCAGGCATTAATTTATAAATGTGTCAGCAAAGACAGCTTATTCATTAGCACATACATGCCTCAAGATTCAGTTACACCAAAGGGTCACCAGGGACTAGATTTCAGAAAATTGTCCAAGAGTAAGGAGGTATTTACTTCCTCATCTTATCATCTCTTGAAATTTTACATTGAAAGCAGATGCCGATTGAATTGCTGAAACCCGACACCTCATTAAGATGAAAATAAGGACAAGTGTGAATAGTAAGTGGTAGAATAGTGACCTAGCTGTTGGAATTCAGTTGATAACTTGTTAGCATCTCATCTTGAAGCCCAAAGCCCTGGTGATGTTTAACATTTTGGGTAGCCTAAATATCATTTGTGGCTAATGTTACACATGAAAACAAAATGTGTGGGTAAAATGCATCTCATGTATTCATTTTCAGGAAAGCAATAGAAAAGGATAGAGTCACATATGGCATAGTCACATATGGTAGATGGTTACCACTTTGATTCTGCCTCCTGTGAAAACATATGCAACTGATTGACACAACAGAGTGTACACAAGGGGTGGCCAAGAGGAAAACAGGGATCATGCGTATGTAAATAGCATTGCACATTAGCAGCTGCAGGGTTGGGATATTGGCTCCCATGGCCAGACTAAGGTACATAGATTTCTGACTTTCTGTCTGCCAGAGGTCAAGAGAGATACAAAGCAAACAAGTCAGTCCTGTTTTGGCAGGTGAGACCAGAGATATAAATAAAAAATAATCAATGAGGTTGTGAAGGGAAAATGGTCTTTAACTTTCTCAGAATTATGCAGAATAAAACGAACAGTTTATTAGAGTCTCAGAACTCAACATTTTATTAGATTTGTACTAAATTATTTTGCTGTGATAAGAATAGAATATACATACAGCACCTAGATGCTATATACACTAGTCCTCCCTTATTTGGGAGGAATATGTTCCAAGACCCCCAGTGGATGCCTGAAACTTCAGATAGTATTGAACCCTACATATTCTATGTTTTTTTCTATATATACATATGATGAAGTTTAACTTATAAATCAGATACAGTAAGAGATCAACCATGATAATAATAAAAGATGACAATTATAACAATATTTGAGTATCACTACTCTTGTGCTTTGGGATGATTATTAGGTAAAATAATGATCACACTGACACTGAGATAACTGCCACCATCTATCTGAAAAATGAGATGGCTCATAAATGACTAACAGGTGAGTAGGGTATGCAACAAAGGGATGATTCATGTCCCCGGTGAGGCAGAGCAGGACAGTAGGAGATTTCCTCAAGCTACTCAGAGCAGTGCACAATCTAAAACTTTTACATAGCTTATTTCTGGAATTTTCCATTTAATATTTTTGGACTACTGTTGGCCACTGGTAACAGAGACCACAGAAAGCAAAACCTGTGAGAAGAGGGAACTATTGTACACATAGAAAACGTGAGCTATTGAGGAGAAATATTTAGAATTTATTAGTAATCAAAACTAAAAAATAGTTTTTCCTCTATTTTCATTTTGAAAGTTTTTTGAATTGTACCAACAGTTTCAACTTTTTCTTTACAAGCTAGTAAACAATGGTGTCAACATATGTTTTCTATTGGCAAAATAATAACACCAAAAACCAAAAAATTGACATACCAGGTAGAATACAATGACTGCAAGTAATATTTTTACCATTTTGAGATTTATTTTTAGTCTAATTTACTTTGAACATGACAGCCATCCATTTCTGTTCCTGATGTCTTAACTTCATCTGCATTAATATAATCTTCATTATTATCCATAAAATCAGAAAATAGTAATGAAGTCAGTATATCGTATATTGTAGCATAATGATGTCACTGTCTTTATGTATTTTTTTAGTGGCGTATTATTTATATGTAGAATACAGTCTTACACAAAACCTGAGTATATAAACATGTAAAAACGAGGCTTTTTAAATAGAGCAAGTCCAGAAATACATGTACTCATTCTGCCTGTCTCCATGAAACTATTGGTTGGAAAATTACATACTGCTATCTTAGAAAGATTGGAAGTCACAGATACTAGTACGCTCGCAGCCACTGAAAAATATGTCGTGCTCTGTGTAACCTCAGTCTCCTCATCAGTAAACTGGTGCTAGAGAATGGAGGAGGGAAATTTATCAAGAAAAGCAAATCAGACAAATTGAAGAAAGCCTGTTGTGAAACTATTTAAGTATTATTTTTATTATTGCACATGGAAGTTGTGAACAACAAAAAATGCTTCACTCCTTTTGTGACACTGATGAGTCCTTAGAATGTAGCATAGACACATGCACACGTATGTTTACTGCAGCATTATTCACAATAGCAAAGACTTGGAACCAACCCAAATGCCCATCAGTGATAGACTGGTTAAAGAAAATGTTACCATATACACCATGGAATATTATGCAGCCATAAAAAAGGATGAGTTCATGTCCTTTGCAGGGACATGGATGAAGCTGGAAACCATCATTCTCAGCAAACTAACTCAGGAACAGAAAACCAGACACTGCATGTTCTCACTCATAAGTGGGAGATGAACAATGAAAACACATGGACACAGGGAGGGGAACATCACACACTGGGGCCTGTTGTGGAGGATAGCATTAGGAGAAATACCTAATGTAGGTGACAGGTTGATGGGTGCAGCCAACCACCATGGCACTTGTATACCTATGTAACAAACCTGCACGTTCTGCACATGTATCCCAGAACTTAAAGTATAATTAAAAAATAATAATAATAAATATTTAAATGGCAAAAAAAGAAAAAAAAAGAATGTAGCGTAGAAAGAAAATATCAGCTGGGTCAGAATAGTTCCCTCTGTCTAACACAGATTTTACAGGACTTGTCCATACAGAGGTAGAGAGTGTCATTGCCCTATTAATTATTCATGAATGTGTTTGTCACAGGCTACGCTGAGAATCATAAAAACATTAAAAACAATTATGTAGAGACAAATAGTTTTAGAGTGAGATGGTATGCTGACTAAAACCAAATATAAGGACTCTTTCTCTGTTTCGTCAGTGAATTGTTTCCTCAAAGAAAATATGGGAAATCTGTTAAACATTTTACGTAGTTATATTGTTCTAATAATAAGATAAAAACTAAAAGTTTTGGCTATTAAAATTGATATTGCCTTAAATGTTTATTGCTGTAGATGAGGAAGAGTTTCATTGTGAATAAGTTTTCCAGTGCCATGCGTCATGTGTAACAGAAACATATTTAGTAAGCAGACATGATACACCCACATAGCATAAATTGATATAATGTGTATCAGGTGTTTGTGAGGGAATGCAATATAGTTCAAGCATTCAACTTTAGCGTAAGTGAATCTTCTGAAAAAATACATCAGAGACTTGTATAATGAGTGCTAAAACAAATGATACAACAATATGTCCCATATTGATGAAAACATAGTATTCTTGGCTCACATTCTCTGCCCGATCTCATTTGTGTATGAAGCAGGTTGAATTTTTTTATCCTCAACAAGGAGTTGTTGTGAGTGGTTAGGAAGTAACTACCTTAAGATAATTTGATTTCTCAGTTCCACATCAATTGGGTATGGTACTTTTCACTTTCTTTACCCTTGAACTTTTGGTGGCATTAGGGATGTCTAAAAAATGTTCTGTGTCAACCTAATAACAATGTTTTCTCATAGTTTATGAAATTGACTCTTTTGGATCCCACTTATTCTATCTTGTCCTTATTGTATTCACAATTCCTGCTGAAAATGCCTACCACAGTAACTGTCATCTTTCCCTGAATCTTAGGAATATGCCATATAATCATGCGAACATTGTGGAATCAGGACATATTCAATTGTAATAAATTTAAACTTCATTTCCATGAATACTGACTGACATTAGTTGTTTGGGGTGTTAACTCTGTATCCTTAAATTTATGAGAAAAATATCGGTACAACTCCTGGCAGGCCAAACAAGGGTTGGTAGATGTAAACAGGTAAGCAAATATTCTGGAGAAGGTAATAACTGATTTTGCTGACCTTGTTAGAAAACACTTGCTTAATTTATGCAATGAGCAACATATTATATTTCTTCTTTTATTTTTCTGTCAGAGGTGGCTGACATACTTTCACTGTCGAGCATCCTTTCTTGGCCATTATTAAAGTCATATTTTCTTTGGTCAAAAGATGTGCATGCTGAACTTTACAAAAAAAAATACAATAACCTTTATGAAATCACCCAAGCATTAATGGTGACACCAGTCATGCTACTCACTGTCAGTATTCTCACTGTGCTATATTAGAAAAAAAAAATGGCAGATGAGGTTGACCAAAAGTATACTTCCACTAAGGCTATGCTTTATCAAGTGTTTTGGTCTTTAGGAATAAGTTTGTTAAGACAAAGTTATTGGCCCCACGAACAATTATGAAGACAGCACATTTTGATTAGTTCCCTCTGTTTATTTTGCTTGAAGATAGACTAACAGCATCTTTATACATAACAAGGAAGGCAGAGTAATTGATCAATATCTTCAGATATGAAGTAGCAGTCATTTTACTTCAACCTGTATGTCAGTTAATTTTTAATGTATGACAAACTATTCCAAAACTCAGTATTATGCTATGACAACAGTTTATTTGCTTACAATTCTGTGGATCAGCAACTTTGGCTTAGCTTCACTGGTTTGGCTTATCTATGTCGCATGCAGTGTTGGCTGGGTTCGCTCTTACATTTGTGATCAGCTAGCAACTGAAAATAGAAATAGGTTTTTCTATTGCTTATATGTCTGATGGTGCAGTGGTTGTTACCAGTGATAATGGAGTTAAGTACGCATATCCCACTCATCGTCTAGCAGGCTAATCCAAGCTTGCTCACATTATTGTAGTCACAGTGTTTTCATGTGCAGCCAACAGAGGGCAGTTCCCAATGTATAAGCACTGTTTGAGCTTCTTCTTGCATCACGCCTGATAATGTCTCATTGGCCAAAGCGAGTCACGTGGTCAAATCCTGATTCATAGGGTGGAGAAATTAACTGCATGAGATGGAGTTACTTCTCCATCTCATGGGGCATACTTCAAGTCACAGGAGCAGCTCCAAGTTACATTACACAAAGGCATTCATATAGGGAAGTGAAAAATTGGTGACCATTTTTGCAGAGGATCACCACTCAAGTTCTGGATTATGAACTACAGTGATGAGTCAGACTGCATGGATTTGAATCCTAGTGTCAGCATGTACTATTTTAATTTGGACAAGTTCCTAAACCTCTCTGTGCTGAAATTCCCTCATATACTAAAATATATAATGTTATAGGATCTTCTCATAGAGAAGATTAAATGAGTTGCTTCTTGTGGTTGTTTGAAGAGTGCTTGTGCATAGTAAAAGTTCAGTAAATGTTATTATTCTCTTAGCAATACAAATAACTAATATGTGTTATCTTTAAAGTCTGGGAAGCACATTCCCATCCACATAATCTCTTCCTTTCTATATCCACACATTGCTTGCTCTTATTTGGATCTGGGATCTTGCCCATCACCTCTTTATTTTTCATATTCAGGTTTATTTTGTTAATAGCCAACTGTAGTCTTCACCAAGAGTTAAAGATGGAGTTTTTTAAAAAAGGGGACCCTATATTTAAGACCCTGGTTGATGTTTTGTTCCTTTGAGCACGCCAAACCTGTTTCTAACTCAGGGCCTTCAAACTTGTTCTTCTCTGTCTGGAGCACTTTTACCCTGTTCTCCCCATGGTTGGTGCCATCTCACTATTCAGACAGCATTTCAAATATCATTTCCTCACAGAGGACTTCTCTGCTTGCCGTACCTAAAAGAGTCTCTCCTCATGAATTACATTACCTCACTATCACATGACCAGTTTTATATACTACATTGCACACCTTACTCTCTAAAACGTTTATTGTCATCTTCCCTCACTTGAATGTAAGCTCCATTCGTGCAAGAATCATCAGTGCAGGTATCTCTAACCCCCACAAGAATGCCCTGTCTGTAATAGGTTTTCAATACATATTTGACAAACTTATTGAAAGCACCCTGTATTCCTATGTGCCCCAAAGTCCCTGACATTATACACCCTGAGGGGGTTCTTGGTAAAAGTCTGTTTAATAAAGGAGGCAAAATTTATTCAGTTTGTCAGTTTATTGGCATATTATGGAGGTCACTACTTAGATAGGGGATTTTTAAATTAAAAAACAAGTAGCTAAAACATCAAGCTAGAAATGATATTAAGGACTGAAGGAAACTTGTATAGTACAGAACAAAAGTAATGGATGTGCTTGAAAGCAATAATTCAGTTAGGTCTCTATTATCTGTGCTAATGAAGAGGAGCAATGAAGCAGATGATCCATAACAACAGATAATGAAAAACTATTTGCATTTAGCTCTGGGATGCATTATTCAGAGTCCCTACCTTGTAAACATGTTCTGTTCCAAAGGTCATTTGTAAATAGGTTATTTTGGTCTCAGACTACATTTCCTAGAAAATAATATAGCTGATTTATAGTACTAAAAATATTTAGGAACTAAAGAGAAGCTAGAACACCATTATACCATTTTAGTAAGAAAAAAGCCTTTCGGTTTCCAAGTAGATACGTCTGGAAACTGTTCTCACTAGCCACAGGTCTGCTTTCCCCCATCCATCTTGAAGAAGCAAAAACTTCTCTTCTGCTTCCACTACTTTCAACTCCAAATTAAAGTCTCTGGTAGCTATACTCCAAAGAGGGTTGTGGTAGGTGGTGGGGGTAGATTCTGGGATAGTATACTGGGGCTATAGTAAAGGTCTGCAGGTAGTAGACAGACATTATCAGAGCTGCTCCAGTAGCTTTGTGAAGACTCTTTTGGAATGGGAACCCATGGGAGATAGGCAGCCCCCTTGAAGTCAGGTGTCTGACACCCCTTGAAGTCAGGTGTCTGACATGAGGAGATAAAAAGATCTGTGACAACTAGCTTGATATTGCTCAATGCATCAAATTTCAGATCAATTCTAGAAGGTGTGGCCATAAGAATAGGAGATAATAAAGTTGGAATTTTGTGAAAAGGTAGCATGCAAAGTGACAGACAATGATATTTTAGCAATATAACCATATGTGAAAATAAGTCTGAAATTACATGCATTATGACACTGTGTATAAAGTTATTGTTATTTTTTTTTCTTGAGTCAGAGTCTCCCTCTGTCGCCCAGGTTCGAGTGCAGTGGCACGATCTCAGCTCACTGCAACCTTCACCTCTTGAGTTCAAGTGATTCTCCTGCCTCAGCCTCTGGAGTAGCTGGGACTACAGACGTGCAGCACCACACCCAGGGAATTTTTGCATTTTTTAGTAGAGATGGAGTTTTGCCATGTTGGCCAGATTGGTCTCAAACTTCTGACTTCAAGTGATCCACCCACCTTGGCCTCCCAAAGTGCTGGGATTACAGGCGTGAGCCACTGTTCCTGGCTGACAACTATGTATAAAGTTAAATACAACTAAAATAACTAAAACTTTTAGGATATATAGATGGAATAAAATTATATAAAAGAAATCAAAGGAATGACAGATCTGGAGATCAGTGTGACAGCTATCAGGGTGGGAGGAGAATGGAATTTGAGGACCATATGGTTAAGTGCAGATTTTTGTCAAAGACCTAATTTAGTCCTGGGTGCTTTTTTCTATCCTCATAATACTTATTCCCTTATAGACATTCTCTTATTTTATTTTTATATTCTTTCGCTCTCCTCTATAGTGTACATTTCTAAATACATTGTTTTTATTTTCCAGATTTATTATGATGCTCCAAGCACAGACAATTAATTTTAAGTGTAGTGGCAAGAATAGGTGTCATTGATTAGGTGATATTTGGTCAAAGTTGGAAAAAGGTTAAATAATTAGTCATGATGATACATGAAGAAAGAGCATCCTAGGAAGTAGGAACAGCTACCACCAAGTTCCCAAGGTGGAGCTTTCCTGAATTTTTAAAGGAAAGTCAAGGAAGCCAGTATGGCTTGAGTGAAGTCTGCAAAGGAGTGAGTACTAGGAGATCAAGATAGAGAAAAAACAAAGAAGCCAGAGCATCTGGGACCTTTCAGGCCATTGTAAAGCCTTTGTCTTTTACTGTGTGCACAACGTGTGTGTGTGTGTGTGAATGTGTAGGTATGTGAGACAATCGAGGTTTTGAGCAGATGAGTGTTATGATGTAACTTATGTAGTAAAAGACTTACTCTGGACATTGTGTTGAGGAGAGACAGTGTTGGGGTGAGAGGCAAGGCTGGAAGTAGCCCAAGTAGAATCCGTTAGGAATCTATTATAAAATTTGAGAAATAAAGATGGGCTGGAAAGGGGTAGTAGTGATGGAGGTGTTGAAAAGTGGCCAAATTCTGTAGGATGTGAGAAAAAGAGAAGAATCGCAATGATGGTAAGGTTTTTGGCCTCAGCAAGTGGAAGACTGGAGATGCCATCTGCTGAGATGGAGAAGACTATGAGAGGCATAAATTTTTAGAGAGACAATCAGGAGTTCTGTTCGAACACACTAAATTTAAGATTTTTATCACATATTAAATAAAATTTAAGTTGGGTAACATAATATGTGAGACTGGAGTTCAAGAGAGAAGGAAACCTAGGCCAAAGAAATAAAATTGAGATTTTTTTGGCATTATGGATAATATTTACAGTGTTGGGCTTGGATGAGATCATCATATGTTATCAACCACTGTGTAAATTATCATTGGAAATTGAAAAACAAAATTTAGCTTTTATATTCATTCTTCAGGTTTGAGAAAATCTTTTCAAAATGAATTTTATTTCCAATAACCCTTTTCTACTATCTCCCATTATACATACTTCATTCGGGTTTGTTTTTCATTTATATTATTTATTTGTTCCTATGAGGTATATTACTTCTCAAATCTAAGTTTCATTGCCTGTGGCCTTTTGAATGCTGTCAGTGATTCACCCTGGTAAAATAAAACTTTATATTTAGAACATGGTCCTGTTATCTGTTATTTTATTGTCTAATTCAAATTCTTTCTTCACTGGGAAGTGAATTGCTTCATCTCTATTTAGAGTTGTAATTTGAACTCTAGAAAGAAACAAATTCTTCAAAGCCATTAGGAGGTTGACACATAATCTTACCAGTAAAGGGAAAGGCTGCACAGCCAATTGACTGTCTTCTATTTACTTAGTTTATTGACATTGTGTTAGTCTCAGAAAACTGGCATATCATTTTAAGAGGAGGCTTTGTTTCCCTAATCTTGTATCCTACACAAGATCCCCAGAGTAGTAAACACTGTGTAGTACCCTTAGATGGAGAATTTTAAAAAATAAAACAAGATATTGTTCGAACAAACATTCAAATTTCTAGTAGCTAAACATCTGTTAAGGTTTATTTTTTTAATCACGTGAATTTTCTAAAGATCCCTTCTGCTGAATAATATTATTTTTATATTCATCACTATCTTTAACCACATGCTCAAATTTCTTTCACCAATAATGCTGCTCCTTGACCAGTTTTACTCCGAGTATTTTACATGTATTTAGGATATTTTTCAGTGTACTTTTTAATATTGATGACAATATCAGATCTTTGATCTGCTAATACATCTTGATACATATGCTTTTGAACTTATTTGTAAAATTGATGTCAGTGTATTAGAGTTTATAATGGGAATCGGCTCATATGATTATGAGGCTGCAAAGTCTCACTATCTGTTGTCTGCAAGATGGAGAATCAGGAGAGTGGGTGGTGTATTTTGGGAGGTGATGATGGTGTAAGTGAGTCCAAAGGTCCGATAACCAGGAATGCTGATGCTATGCCCTAGGGCAGGAGAAGATAGATGTCCTAGCTCAAAGAGAGAGTATTCAACCTTGCTCTACCTTCTTCTTCTATTTGGGCCCTCAATATGTTGAATGAGACCCTCCACATTGTTGAGGGCAATCTCCTTGACTCAGTCAAATGATTCAAACTCTAATCTCTTCCTGAAACACCCTCACAGGAACACCTGAAGGTAATGTTTTGCTGCCTTACTGGACATCCCTTAACACAGGCAAGTTGACACATAAAATTAACCCTCATGGTTGGTAAATAATTTTTAAAGAAATTTGCCTAGAATTAAAAGTACATTGTTAGGTGTGTTTGTTATCCACATATTTAAAAAATAGTCGCTGTAATACTAAAGGATGTACCATTGATTTTATTGTTATCAGATCACCACATAATAAAAATTGACTTCTCAGACTGTAATCATTTCTGCTTAGCTTTTCGAAATGTGGATTCCATATTCATGTCTTTATTTCATTGTGCCTTCTATATTTCCTTCAAAGCAATGAATTTAAAACAACTGAGTTGCTACTATTGCCGTGTATTGTAAATTTGCAGAAAAGTCTAGGATGAAATTCAGAAGAAATGAATGCACAGATACAACTGGGGAAGATTTAGCCTTATAGACGTGGTTTTAGTGGTAGTGTTGTAGATGGACTATGAGTCTATAGATTGCAATTTTTAATTTATTATCTATGTCACCTTGAGCAAGTACCTCATCTCTCCCCTCTTGGAGTCTTTTTAATAGATATAGATTTTAGATATGTATATTTAAGTATACATGTGTTAAGAAGTGTATATATATATATATATATATATATGAGATAGGAAGTTAAAATGCACAGTTGAATATAGTCAGGTCTGGTTAGATAGAAGAATACAAGTGGGAAAGCCAGTGTTAAATGTAGAGTTAGAGATGTTGAACTTAGTGGAAACAGCTGTGAGGGCACATTGGCAGATGATGACTATATTGGTCCATTCTCACACTGCTAATAAAGACATACCTGAGACTGGATAATTTATAAAGGAAAGAAGTTTAATTGACTCAGTTCAGCATGGCTGAGGAGGCCTCAGGAAACTTACAATCATAGCAGAAGGGGAAGTAAACACATCCTTCTTCACATGGTGGCAGGAAGGAGAAGTGCCGAGTGAAAGAAGAAAAGCCCCTTATAAAACCATCATATCTCCTGAGAACTCACTCACTATCACGAGAACAGCATGAGTGTAACTGTCCCCATGATTCAATTACCTCCCACCAGTTCCCTCCCATGACACATGGAGATTATGGGAACTATAATTTGAGATGAGATTTGGGTGGGGACACAGCCAAACCATATCAATGACCCTAACTGATTTCCATTCTGATCTAGATGTTTTAGATAAGAATTGCCAGCAGGAAGTCAAGCATATTGGAAAGTGGTCATCCTAAGCCAAGACCCTTTCAGAAGAACAGAAGGCCAAAGTCTTGAATGGACAGTGCAATTTTGACCTCCCAGATATTTTTAATAATGATTTGGTACACACTTGACTCTGAACATAATGACGAGAACACACTATCCAAGCTACTGGAGCAGGCTATGAGTTATCCTGAAGATGTAGTTTTGTTTTGGTTCTCTTTAGTACTCGATAGCCAACAAGCCCAAGACATGTCTCATCTTAGTGTTGTTGTTGACACTCATTCAGAGATCATGCTTGAAGGAAAGACCTCATCAGCCTTTTGTGGGAGAGACTTTGGGCTAATTATAGCATAATACTCTATTTTTAGAAAATCTCTCTTTGAAAGTTTCTGTCTGCAGTACCAGATTTTGCCATATTTGTGTACTTACTTTTACTCTTTTCAAATGTTCAAGTTACAAAATTCTACCTGGCATATAAAATATATGTAATTTACAAAATGGATGTAGTAGTTTATATTATCAAAAAATGATATGATTCTTAGCTCAAAAAATGTCTTCTGCACTTTTGCCTCTCTCTGCCTGTATCATTCTTCTCCAGATACTTTCATTACTGGTATTTTATCGGGCAATTTCTTGAAGATTCCCTTCTTCAAGGCCTCCATTGAACACCTATTTAAAATTGCAACATCCAGCCCCCCTGACACTCCCCAATTATGTGATTTATTGCCATTCTCGACTTATTTTATCTCTGTATAACTTATCACCATCAAATATAATATGTTTATTTGTTTTGTTGTCTATCCTTTACCTCACAGAAATGAAAGTTCCATGAGGCTGTTTTATGTGGTTCTTTGACTGTTGTAGACTCAGGACCTAGAATAGTGCCTAACGGGTAGCAGTCACTTAAAATAAATGTGGTAGGTGACCAAAATATGTGTGCAAACAACCTATATATGAGACCTTTCATAGACTCATAGAGCTACTTCCAATGTGGTCCAGGTGCCAGAAGCATCAGCATCACTTAGGAACTTTGCTTGTTTTCCTAATACAGCCTTGTTCAGATATATAATTGTTCATATACCAAACAATTCATTAAAGTGTATGATTAAATGATCCAGAGTTGTACAACTATCACCATCATTTTAGAATATGTTCATCACTCCCCAAATAACCCATACCCATTAAGTCACCTCTACTTTTCCTCAACTTTTTCAGTTCTAGGCAACCACCAATCTACTTTCTGTCTCTATGGATATTTCATATAAATGGAATCATACAACATGTGGTCCTTTCTTGTGGCTTCTTTCACCTAGCATAATGTTTTTGAGTTTTGTCCTTGTTATAGCATGGATTAGTAAATCATTCCTTTTCACTGTGAGATAATTGCCCATTGTATGGCTACACCACATTTTATTTATCCATTCATCAATTGATGAAAATATGAATTGTTTACACTTTTTGTCTATTATGAATAATGCTACATTCATGTATACATTTTTGTATGGACACCTACATATATTCACTATCTTTGAAAGCACTTAATTGCAAAATTTTTATTCAGTTTCTCAAGCATCATTTGACATATTACTATTTTTACTAGCTTTATTGAGGTATGATTGACAAAATTATATATATGTAAGGTGAATTATATGATGTTTTCATATGCATATACATTGTGAAGTGATGACCACAAGCTAACATCCATCACCTCAACTAGTTACCATTTGTGTGTGTTTGTGTGTGTGTTTAGTGAGAACATTTGAGATTTGCTCTCAGCAAATTTCAAGGCTACATTATTAGTAACTATCATCATCATGCTGTATATTGGATTTCCAGAATATATTCATCTTGCAATTAAAATTTTGTACCCTGTGACCAACATCCCTCCTTTTCCTCCACTTTTCAGCCCCTGGTAACTACCATTCTACTCTCTGTTACTGTGAACTCAACTTTTTTTTTCAGATTCCACATATAAGTGAGATTATGCAGTATTTGTCTTTTTCTGTTTGGCTTATGTTACTTGGCATAATGTCTGCTGGGTTTATTCATGTTATCACAAGTGGCAGAATTTCTTTATTTATCTCTCTGGGGACACTTAGATTAATTCCTTCTCTTGGCTACTGTGAATAGTGCTGCAATGAACATGAGAGTGTAGATACCCTTTTGAGATGCTGACTTCATTTCCTCTGGATATGTACCCAGAAGTGGGGTTAATAGTTCAAATGGCAGTTCTATCTGTAATTTTTTGAAGAACTTTCACACTGTTTTCCATAATAGCCATACCAATTTACATTTCCACTAACAGTAATGCAGACTTAACAGTCCAATCCAGGAGGTACTGAATCAGAGGCTGATTTTAACAAAACCCTAGGGTGAGTTGCTCATTAAAGTTTGGAAAGCAGGTATGGAGTAGGTACTCAATGAATGTTTCCCAAACCTAAATGCTATATACTAACAGCTGTGGGCTAGCAAAATGTACATAATTATGGTCTTTTATAATTAATGCAGTTTAGATTAATGAACAAAGAGAAGCAATAACAGAAGGGAGCACTGGGCTTTAAATGTTTAATGTTCTAGTGTGTATCATTTCTGATTCTCCTGAAATTCCGCATTCAGGTTGAATCCTTTGTTAGGCATAATCTTGTGATGGAAACACTAAAGGAGACATGAAGAGGAAAGGACATTTTAATAAAAAAATCAGATGTTATTTGCCATAATTAGTGGAGATAATCACCCATTAGTCAGTCAATAAACTTAACAGGAAGTATTTTTTAAATAATTACGATGATTAAATACAGGATTAAAAAGTTGTGAGAGTGAATGCCGTATGTTTTTATTGTTTCAACTCTTAGTGTTTTTTTAGTTATTTCTAAATCCTGTAAATGTAAAAGTACAACAATAGAGGCACTTTTAGAAAGTAAATTTTTTTTCTGTCTTACTTGGACTGGTACCTATTATTTTCTACTTTGGGCTGGTACCTTGAAACACTGAAGGCAGAGAAAAATGGGAATAATTATAGTACCAAAAATGTTTTGAATGAATAAACACATCATTATATCAATCAATCAATATGAGGCCTTAGATACTAAGGTGAGGGCATTGAATATTAGGATTAGCATTAAGTCTTTCTGGGAAATAAGACCATGGTGAGTTTTCAACCTAAATCGTCCTAGGAAATAAGGAGGAGTAGCTGCCCTGTAGGCTAGAGGGAGAAACTGCCAATGAGAAAGTGGGTACAACAGAGAAAACCTCTTTCCAGTTGTATACATGCTGGCCTCTCTCTCTACATCCAAGAATACTCTGAATATTGCTTAAAGGACCATAAATACTTTAAAAACTGAGCCATATATAAGCCTACTCCTATGTATTTTCATATTGAAAAATTTACGTGTGTACATTTTCATTTTTTTTTCCTCATAGTATTTTAAGAACATTTCATGAACTTGAAAAAACACAAATATAATTTTGTAAATGAACATCATGTTAATTTATGTTAAATTCAATGCTGATTTAATTTCAATTATAAAATGGGCTAGAATGAAAAAGAACAAATGAATTAGTAAAGTCTAGGGCGTCTTTTTACTTATGTCATTGGGGCTAATTTTCATGTTCTATCTTTGTGTTATTCTTAAGTTAAACAGGTCTTTCCCTTAAAAGATGTCTAGTTTGTATAAATGACACAGTTACACAAGTGATCCATGTATCTACCATAAAAGGGTAGGAATGTGCAAAAAATAAATTACACAGTGTGTACACAAATCTAGAATTTTCTGATCTTTCTGGTGAGAAAAGTGTTGATTAAATGACTTTTTACTAGTTAATAATAAATATAATTTTCCAAAATAAGAAATCTGAGCTAAATTTTTGCTGTGATAAAATTATGATCACTTATGAGAATAAATAATTACTCTTTTCACAAATATTTTATTCATTTGCAGTTGTCACCTTTTACATTAAATGATTTGTTGATGCCTTTTTTTCTCTATTACTCTGGGGCATATTTCTGGAAGAAGGATATTAAATATGGACATGGCCAAATTTTGCAGCTAAGACATTCTGCATTTTGTGATTTCCATATGCTGTATCCAAACAGTCCAGAGGTTTTCTTCCAGTAACATAGTTACTCTCATAGTAAATGTCATTGTGTCTTGTTTTTTTAAAAAATTTAAACAATAGAAGTAACATTACTTATGTTTTGGTAGAACTGAATTTTCAACATTTAAGTGTGTTTTCTCCATGACAAACTCTTACATTTCTTAATTAAATATTAAAAAGTAGTTGGAAATAATCAGCGAAGTTACTACTACGGAGATGACATTTCAGAAAACCTGTATATCCCACTCTGTTGCTGCTACCTTGCTCTCCCTTTACCCTTACCAGATAAACTCTAAAGTTGATAGTAAATGCTTTTATTTTTCTACCCACAATTACTTTCCCCACTTTTTCCTTACTAAATAAACCTCTGTTTCATTCAGGTATTGCCACTTTCTGTGTGACTATGTACAGGGTAGGTTTATCCCAACCACAGACTCAATATTTGAGTCCTAATTGTCCTCAGCCAATCATTAAAGATACCACCTTCATTGCCATTGATTGATTTGGGTATAGTTGAAATGCAGTTGTTGCCACTGAAATGTGATTATGTCTGCTGGGAGATTTCTGATAAAGATTTCCTCCCCTTTTAGAAAGATACAAAGGAAGAGACAATCTATTTCCCAAGAATAGGCATCCTATATCAATTCTCTCCCCCAACCCCCAGGATTATGGAATTATCCTTCCTTGGAAAACCAGAACAGAACATGAATCACCAAAGAATCTGTATTTTCTGTTGACTTCATAGGGCCACTTTTCAACTGCAGCACTGGGAGTAGCATGGAGCAGAGCTTCACACATTCCTTAGAGCTCAGTACTCTTCCCACTGAGATTTGAAAGTCTGATCCTCTTCCTAGTATTCTATCAGAACAGCTCATGCAAAGGAGCAGTCCGAAGACAGACATGGAAAGCTTTCTGTCAAGATAGTAAGTGGGTACTTATGTGATTCCTTGGAAGGAAAAAGAAAAAGAGAGACCTGAGTATATTTGCATCCCAAGTGTGCAGGGCAAGCCATCTTGTTACACCTATCATCTATTTCAAGTCAAACCTGATCCTCTTAATCTTGAGAATATTAACATCTTTTAAGCTGGAAGGCAGTGTGGGATAGTAGAAAGAGCATAGATTTCAAAGCAAGACAGATTTGGAACTGGCTCCCAACTCTCCCATTTAAAAGACCATTGACCTGGTGTATGCTTTATCTCTGAGCCTCAGTTTCTACATTTATGAAAAGAAAAGAACAATACTTAACATATCAGATTGTTAGAAGGACTAAGAGATAATTTATAAAGTGACTGGCACCTCAATTGGCATATAGGAAGCAGTTAACAAATGCTAGTTATTATAATATGTTAAACCTAGTGATGTCTCTGTAAAATCAGCTGTAAAGAGAGAGATTTCTATGCTGTTATTTACTGTCAAGGAGGATTTTTTAACCAAATTTTCTTAGTGACTGATGTGTTTCACCATCAAATTATTCACATAGTAAATATCCCATATTTAATAAATTTTAAAACAAATAGCAATAATAACTACCATGATAAAAACACATAATCCATTACTCATTTAGAGATCTAGAGAATCCAGAGAAGTGGGGAAGGAGACAGAGCACATTACTAAACCATGTGAACAATTTGGATGGAGAACTGAAAAAAAAGCCTCTCTCTTCCTTGCCTGAGTCTCTGGATGGTGTAGACATTTACTACAAGAGTCAATCTGAGGATTGCCCCATATTTGTGGGGGTTCTAATGCTCTTCGTTTTGTTCCACTCAGCTCTCTAATATGCTTTAAAGTGGAGATGAGCACCAACTTTCAGTGGCTGCTTTCATTTAAGGGAATTAGCACTGTATCTGCAGAAATTCTTCCGGGAGGATGGTTTTGTGTTTGGGCCCACTGTTGATGCAAACGTGTCTCTATTTACATGATATGCTGATCATTTCAGTTGGAAGTTGCTAGTTAGAGAAGATGTGCTATCACTTTCTTCCTGGAACAGCCTTTCCCCCACAGTTTACCTAATTAACTCACTTATCCTTCAGGCCTCAGTTCAAACCTCACTTTCTCTAGGAAGCCTTCCATGACCTCCAGATTAGATTAGGTCTCATACCACATTTCCATAGCTTTCTGAACCATACAGCATTTATCCCACTATGTAATTTCGTGTATGTGCCATTGTTTATTTAAGATATATGTTTCCTACTTGAGGGAAAGACGTGCGAGGGCCAAGGCAGGGTCTGTTTGTATATTATTGCAACTGGACGGACAAGTACCATGCCTAGAAGAGAGTGGGTACTGAATACATATTTTAAATTAATGAAGTAAAGAAGTAATGTTAAAAAAAAACCTGAATAAAGTGAATGAATCAATGAATATCATACTTCAATTCACAGAATAGCCAAATCCAGGAGCACTCCTTTATGTGAGCATAATGGTCAAAACCTGGAGCCTATGAGGTTAAATCCTGGCCCCATAACTTGCCAGCTGAGTGTCAAGAGGCAAACTATTCAATCTCTTAGTGTCTCATTTTCCTTATCTAAACAAAGGAGATAATGATATTGCTTCCACCCAGGGTTGGTATGAGAATTAAAAGAGTGTGTGGCACACAAAAAGCACTAAATACATGCACACCATACATACCACCCCTCTTTCTCTCTCTCATGTGGAATTCTCAGTGCCAGTTCATTCAATCATTGGTATTTAAATGCACTTATCCTTGGCTTGCATTAGTGTAAATACTTTATGTAATCTGTTACATATGAGCTCAAAGCTTAGAACTGCTACAGAACTCTTGCAAACATGAAGGAAATTGGCTAGAGCCAGAAGCACAGGTGAAAAGGCCCAGAAGCACAGGTGAAAAGGATGAAACGAACCTGGAACTTAAATGACAAAATTGGGTCAGTGACTCAACCAACACTGGATTTATTATCTTTTGCAACTTCTTGACATGTGATGTGATAAATGTCCCCACATACAAGCCACTTGGTATTAGAACTTCTGTAACATTAAGTGAGAAGCTTTCTATATGATATGATTAGACCAATCTAGTCAGCTACTTTCTGATAATATCCAAGTAGTTGAAATCTCGTGGAGATAATCTTAACATCTAAAGTGGTTATCACCTAATTTGTTGGATCTAATCCCTTTTGGACTCTGTGCTTCTTTGCAAGCTTTTTAGGTTTTCCTTGTTCTCCTTCTTCTAGCCTCCTATGTGGTTGTTGTAATTGTCTGTAATTATCTGCTTACTTATGATTCCTATGAGTCTCCTACATTAGAACATAGGCTACCTGAGAGCAGAGACCACACTGCTTTGTTTCCTACTTGATATGCAAGTAATAGCAACACACCAACAATACCAAAAGGCACACCATATGAATGAATAAGTTCAGTCTATAAATCAGAAATAATCCACAGCCTATATTTATGGATAATTAAACTCATTCAGTTAGGGTAAAATTATGGAGGATAAGTTTCTTATCAGGTCCTATCCAGACTCCATAACATGTAATTTATGGACTTAAAAAATGATTTTTTAAAGAATGGTTAAAACATACAGTAAAGCTTGAAGAAGTAAGTTATAATTTTGGGAGGAATAATTGCCTTATTCCTTATTCTCTAGATAATGAGAGGGCCCATCTCGTAATTATGGTGAGGATTAGGCAGAATTGTACAAGTAAAGCACTTACAGGTACAGTAAGCACTCAAGTTTGGTTAGCACTAATTATTACCATGTATAGTTAAATATATATTAGATTACTTAATTCAGTAATACCGCAAGGAAGTTAGCCTTATTTCTTTTTTCTTCTTCTTCGTCTCTTTTTTGTTTGTTTGTTATGTTTTTTGAGATGGAATTTTGCTCTTGTTGCCCAGGCTGGAGTGCAATGGCACGATCTCGGCTCACTGCAACCTCTGCCTCCTGGGTTCAATCGATTCTGCTGCCTCAGCCTCCCTAGTAGCTGGGATTACAGGCATGCACCACCACATCCGGATAATTTTGTATTTTTAGTAGAGATGGGGTTTCTCCATGTTGGTCAGGCTGGTCTCGTACTCCTGACCTCAGGTAATCCACTCGCCTTAGCCTCTTAAAGTGCTGGGATTACAGGTGTGAGCCACTATGCCCGGCCGCAATTAGCCTTATTTCTATGGTACTGGTGAGAAAATTGAGGCTCAGAAAAATCAGCAACTGGCTCAAGGACGCAATCAAAGTTACTAGTGCAATAAATATCATGCAACTCTAAAGTGGATTCTGTTTCTACCATGCCACTCTGGATAAACAAGCTATAGCCAATATGATACAGATAGTAGAAGTGCTACTTCATCTCTAATGAAGTAAATGTCTCCTGAAAATTGAAAATTGAATGAGTGAAACTATAGGTTACCCAGACAAACTGTATGTAACAAAGGTAAAGGTACACATTTTCAAGGAATTAAAACAATTCTGGAAGTTGGCAAAATGTTTTATTACTCTTTCCCTCTTATTGGATTATCTTGACTTAAGCTTACAGATATTTCTCAGAGACATACCACCAACTTAATAATTTACTGGGAGCTGTTGTAATTTACATGTCAGTGTCTCTAATTTAAACAGCAATGATATGTACCTTTTTATGCATGAAGATAAGCTCTTCGTTCTTAGCTGGGAGTTTGTGTCAGCAATCATTTAGATTGCTCAAATATAAGATTTGCTGATGTGAGAAAATTCCAAGCTGGTTAATTGCATCAAATGTTTAAGTGAAAAGTATCTTCTTTACAACCCTCAACTGTCATCAAGGAGGGGGCTAAGTACAATCTGAACTCTCTTTTTGCAATTCTATAGTGACAAAACTGCTGACCTGGTTGTTCTTTCATCAGCTCATGCTGAACCCAAAATGAAGAAAATAAAATACAAATTTTGAGTCTTTATGTAAACATCCAGATGACATATTCTGCAAGTAAGGCAGTTTTGAATAATAAAAACTTTTGTACAGAATTTTACATTTTGTCATGTACAAAAGCTTACTTCAAACATTATGCAAAAGGAGATTGAATGTTCTTTCTCAGATGTAGCACATTGTTTTGGATGACCCAGCCCTGAAATCTGCTATGATTAGTAAATAGAAAATCACTTTTTATTACTTTTCTAGTTTTTTCCCACAGGAACACAAGTCTACAAATGTATTTATTAATTATTATGCTCTCTTTATATTTTCTCTGACCACCCTAAAATAAGATACTGGAGTATTTTCCTCCATAAATGAGAAAAGGAAACTAATGAATCCATTTAAAGTAGTAGTCATAGGCTTTAGAAAACATCAGAACTTATACATTACATGAAATTCAATTATCCCTCCTTCAAACAGAAGATAAACACCATTGAATTTAAATTCCTTCTAGAGCCCTTCTTCTGTAACCCAAAACTTAATATTTCTCTCATTCTTGAAGTTAGTAATATTAAGACTATCTCTCTCACAAGGTAAATATGCTTTCTGTTTTTGGGTGTCACTCTCAATTTTTTTGAAACAATACATTTTTCCGTCTTACTTTAATTCATCCCTTGTCATCCATTTCTCATCCATTACATTCTAGCATTCATATCTATCCCTTCCCCACTGAAATCGATCTCACTAAGTCACTGATGTTCCCAAGTTTTTAACACAAGTTTCTGTCTTTGGTTTTCAGCCTAATTTTTTAGATATTACTACCAATAGAATGGTCTCCTGGATTTCCTCAATATCTTTGCTATTTCTTATCTTTCCATTCATTAAAAAACACATTGATTAAATGGCTACTCTGTTAGTCATTCATCTAGACACAAAAGACAAATAGACTAAAGAATGGCCCTAACAGTTTGGATATGTGTCCCTGCTCAAATCTCATGTTGAATTGTAATTCCCAATGTGGGAGGCATGGCCCCATGGGAGATGTTTGGATCATGGGGGCGGATCCCTCATGGCTTGGTGCTTTCTTCAGGATAGTGACTGAGTTCTGGAGAGATCTGGTTGTTTTAAAGGGTGTGGCATCTCCCCCGCCTCCCCTCTCTTTCTCACTTGTTCCTGCTTTTGCCATATGACATGCTTGCTCTCTCTTTGTATTCAGCCATGACTGTAAGCTTCCTGAGGCCTCCCTAGAAGCTGAGCAGATGCCAGCACCATTCTTCCTGTAAAGCCTGCAGAACCATAAGCCAATTAAACTTCTTTTCTTTAAATTACCCAGCCTCAGGTATTTCTTTATAGTAATGCAAGAACAGCCTAACATAGGCCCCAACTATTTTGGCATGCAAGCATAAATTTTACAATAAATACTTACAATATAATGTCATAGTGTTATAAAGGCAGTATGTACATGGGTCAATGGGGGTAAGAAAGAATCAGCCTCTGATTTTTTATTGGAAAAGTTTCTCCTCATGATTTATTCACTTGTACATCTTCAATATACACTCATATTAAAAAGCTTACTAATTTTTTTGTCTTCTGCTTGGAACACCCTCTTGACCAAAAAAATGCATATTTTTAACTAGTATTTAATACTATCATTTGAATATGTTGTAATCATCTTTAAATGAACATGGAATTCCTGAATTTTTTAAAAAAAATTTAAGAATGAAAAAGTCTTCTACTGTATAAAAATCAATTCTACAAGAAATGTTAAATTTAATGGAGAAACATTTCCATTAACATAAAGAACCAAAGATATGGCCAGGTGCAGTGGCTCACGCCTGTAATCCCAGCACTTTGGGAGGCTGAGGTGGGAAGATCACAAGGTCAGGAGATCAAGACCATCCAGGCCAACATGGTGAAACCCCATCACTACTAAAAATAGAAAAAAATTAGCCGGGTGTGGTGGCATGTGCCTGTAGTCCCAGCTGCTGGGGAGGCTGAGGCAGGAGGATGGCGTGAACCTGGGAGGCAGAGCTCGCAGTGAGACACAATCATGCCACTGCACTCCAGCCTGGGCTACAGAGCGAGACTGTGTCTCAAAAATAAATAAATAAATAAATAAAAATAAAAGAACTAAAGATATATACCATTATTTTTAATTTTAAATATTCCAAAAACAGATTCTAAACATCCCAAAAAAAAAAAAAGTTAAAATGCACAAGTTGAGTGGGAAGTGATACAATTCAAAAGAGTCCATTGAAAAGCTACAAAAAACAAGAGCAATTGGTCAATTACCAATTCAAGACCAACATATAAATATTTGAGCTCTCATATCCCAAAAATGATCTGAAAAATTGTAACAAAACAAAAAAACCCAACAAGATGTCAAAGAACAATCCTGAAAAAAAAGGAAAACTCATGCTAATATTATTTTTCAATTTTATTTAGCATGTAAAATAATACAAAAGTTGTTTTATAGAAATACACTGTATTCTTGGAATGTAATACTCAATATTGTGACAATGTCAGCTCTCTGTAAATTAAGCTATAAATTAAATGAAATGATAATTAACATCCTAATTGAGGCCTGGCACAATGGTTCATGCCTGTAATCCCAATACTTTAGGAGGCCAAGGCAGCAGGATCACTTGAGGCCAGGAGTTTGAGACCTGAGCAACATAGCAAGACCTTATCTCTGCAAAAAACAAAATAAAATAAAAAATTAGCTGGGCATGATGGTGCACACTTGTAGTGCTAACTACTCATGAGGCTAAGGTGGAAAAATTGAGTACAGTCAGCTAGGATTGAACTACTGCACTCCATCCTGGATGATAGAGTGAGACCTTGTCTCTAGAAAATTCATTAATTAATACTAATTGAATTTTACAAATTATGACAATAAAATGAATCTAAGGTTTTGTATTGGAAGACAAATACAACTGAATAGCCAATATTTAAAAAATTATAAATGGTATATTCATCCAAGTATGAAAATATATAATTATTTACCAATCTAAACATTGTGATATTGACATGACAATACAGATACAAGTAAATAAAAATGGAAGGTCCAGAAAAGGGTGGGTGTTAAGACAGAGGGAGAGAGAAAGCTCTTAGAATGGAATTTTGAATCAATGAATAAGTTATAAAATATTTAGTAAGTAATGTTTTAACAATTGTCTACTGATTTGAGAGAAAAAATAGATTAATTTGTATATCACACCACAAATAAAAACTTTAGATGGATATGAAGTAGAGTATCAAAAATAACAGCAAAATCAAATTTAGTAGAAGATTTTTCTTTTTAATATGATGTGAATGAGGAAAGATTTTTGGAAGATGGAATAAAATGCAAAATAATAAATGATAGTTTAAGAAAATTTAGGGCCGGGGGCGGTGGCTCACTCCTGTAATCCCAACATTTTGGGAGGCTGAGGTGAGTAGATCATCTGAGGTAAGGAGTTCGAGATCAGCCTGGCCAAGATGGTGAAACCCCATCTCTACTAAGTATACAAAAAATCAGCCAGGCGTGGTGGCGTGCACCTGTAATCCCAGCTGCTCAGGGGGCTGAGGCAGGAGAATTGCTTGAACCCGGGAGGCAGAGATTGCAGTGAGCCAAGATCACACCACTGCATTCCAGCCTGGGCGACAGAGAGAAACTCCATCTAAAAAAAAAAAAAAAAGAAAGAAAAGAAAAGAAAATTGAGAATTTGTATAGATTAAGATACCATAAACAAAGTTAACAAATAAGTGACAAATACCCATAAGGTACATATAAGCATGTGTTTAATAATACATGAAGACCTCCTCTAAGCCACCATGAAAATAGAAAACAAAACATGAAATCAGTGGCATAAAATAATAAGGATGTGAGTGGGTAATTCAGCTAAAAAGAAAACTAACAACACAACTCGTGGAAATGGTCAATGAATATTCAAAAAGATACCCAAACTCACTGGTAATTCAAGAAATTAAAACCATAAAAATTAGGCAAGAAAAAGAAATAAAAGGCATCCAGATAAGAAAGAAGTTAAATTGTTCTGTTTGCAGAAGACATGAATTTATATATATAGAAAACCCTGAAGACTCAACCAAAAACTATTAGAACTGATAAACAAGTTTAGTAAAGTTGCAGGATATAAATTCAGCATACAAAAACAAGTTGTATTTCTATATGCTAAAGATGAACTGTCAAAAAATAAATTAATAAAGCAATCTCACTTGTAGTAGCATCAAAAAGAACAAATTACTTGAAAATAAATTTAACCAAGGGGGTAAAAGATCTGTACACTAAACACTATAAAACATTGATGAAAGAAATTAAAGAAGGCTCAAATCAATGTAAAGATACCCTGTGTTCATGGATTGGGTAAAAGATCTGTACACTAAACACTATAAAACATTGATGAAAGAAATTAAAGAAGGCTCAAATCAATGTAAAGATACCCTGTGTTCATGGATTGGAAAAATTACTGTTGTTAAAATGGCCATATTACTCAAAGTGATCAACGAATTCAATGTACTCCCTATAAAAACTCCAATGGCATTTCTCACATAAATAGAAAAAACAATCCTAAAATTGGTATAAAACCATAAAATACTGCAACTAAATCAATCTTGAGAAAGAACAAAGCTGAAGGCATCACGCTTTCTGACTCCAAGCTATATTAAAAAGCCATAGTAATCAAAACACTGGTACTGGCACTAAAAAAAAAAAAAAAAAAAACAGGCACATACACCAATGGAACAAAATAGAGAGATCAGAAATAAATGCATACATATATGGTATACTATTGTGTGACAAGGGCATCAATAATATACAATGGGGAGAGTCGCTTCAATAAACAGTGTTCGGAAAAATGAATACCCACATGTAGAAGAATGAAATTGGATCCCCATTTTACACCATGCACAAAAATTAACTCAACAAGGATTAAAGACTTAAATGTAAGACCTGAAACTGTAAAACTCTTAAAGAAAAAATAGAAAAAAACTTCCTTGAAATTGGTCTTGGCAATGATTTTTTAAATATGACACCAAAAACACAGACAACAAAAGTAAAATTAAACAGTTAGGACTATATAAAACTAAAAAGCTTCTGTATGCAAAGGAAACAATATAAAAAAGCAACTTACTGAATGGGAGAAATGCAAACCATATATCTGATAAGAGATTACTGTCCTAAATATATAAGGAACTCATACAACTCAATAGCAAAAAATCAAAAACAAAAACAACCATGAATACTGCAATTAAAAATGGGCAAAGGATCTGAAAAAAAACATTTTCTAAAGTAGACATACAAATGGATATCAGGTACTTGAAAAGGTGCAAATACTACAAAATGCTAAAAAATGAACATACATATATAAACATATATATATATATCACATTGAATTTCAATGAAATAAAAAAAATCTAAAGGTTGATCCAAAAGAAAATGGCTACATAAATGATTCTGTCTAGCCAAGTATAAAAAACAAAACAAAGCAAAAGGGACCTTTTTACATAGAGATGTGCAATAATTTCCATACATTTAGTTGAACTGTCTAACTGTGATATTCATGGAAAGCAAACCCTGAAGCAAAAATTATATGCTACTGTGCTGTTAGAGAGTGCAATTCCAGCAAAGTCGGAAGGACCAACACCAGGATGCAGGGTGGCACTTGGTGTCCATCCCCAATAATTGCTTGATCTCCAAGGACGGTATTACCAGAGAAACAACAACTTGTCAGAACACGATGGCTCATTCTGGGAAAGAAGGCAGAAGATTTTAGTCATGAGCTCTCGTCTCCCATATCTCAAATATTTGCGTCACAAGTGTCAGTCCCACTGCACTTCTGTGATATGCGTGTGGACACCTAGAGAGATCTGCTTCAATGACAGCTTTAACAAGGATGCCAAGAGCCAAGGGGTGAGAGCTGTGGAGCAGGCAGGAGACAGCCGCTACTGGGTTGTACCTGCATGGAGTTGGTGGTCATCCACACATTGCTGGTTGCCTCAGTAAAGTCTCAGTCAGGAGATCACAAGCCAATGGCCTAGGGGAAAAAGACTGAGAGGACCATAGGGGGAAATAAGATTAATGTAACATGTATGTTGGGGGTCACTTAACTTTTAGATGCATGGTCACGTAACTTTTAACAGTGCTTACCTCTGAAGAGATTAGATTTAAAAGGAGAAAGTAAAATACATTTTGTTTTATATACTTGTCAAATGACTTTGGAAGATGTTTATGGACTATTTCAACACAGTTATATTTTTAAAAGAATAATGTATACAGTTTTGCATACTCAGATGCCTAACTGCAGGAACAATTAGGCCAGCTCTAATTATAAATTTGGTTTATCTAAAACTTAATTTGCCGTATCACCCACCACTGTTTTCTAGGTTACTAGCATCATCATAGATCCAACAACCAAAAATAAAAAGCTTAGTGAAATTCTCAGTTCTCTTCTCTCTCTCTCAATCCACATGTAGTCAATAACCACGAACGTTGAACTTCAACCAAACACATGATGGGTCAAAGCAGATATTTGCAAAGTCACGTAGATGAGCCAGACCAGTTCCCAGTTGCAGCAGGCTATCATTGAATCATATGTGTTTACATTTCTAAAGAAATAATGAGTCATGCAGAAAGCAGTGGCACAGGTCAAGAAACATTCACAGGTTTATTTACCTTTCTGCCTTACTTTCCCCATCTGTAAAATGAAGGTCAATGGTAGTATCTGCCCTATAGAAACCACAGTGACAGAGATTAATAGTGCCAGTGCATTGCCTACAGTGTTCCAGAGAAAATCTATCTCGACAAGCACTTAATATCAGATGTATTGAATTACAGCTGCAACAACTATTACCATTACAACCCTGATCATGGATTCTTACTAAGATCCAGGCATTTTTCCAATTGCTTTACACGTATGCATAAACACTCTTAAGCATCACAAGAATCCAGTATGTTAGTAATATTGTCATTTTACAGATGGGAGAAGTGATTCCCTGAGATACTAGTTATCTTGGTCAAGGACAAGCAGTGACTAAGTGGTGAAGCCAAAGTTCAATTCTCATTGAGTCAGGCTTCAAACTCTGCTCTTCAATGGTCATGGCTGCTCCAGTCTAATTATTGTAGTATGACTGAGTAGCAGTAATCTCTATGCCAAATTGCCTCGATATGGACTAACGATGTTGAATTCTCAAGCACAGAGAGCTAAAGAGCCAGAGCCAGATCCGCGAAACTGTTGATCCCTCAAAAGTGTTCGCACGACACGGGGATGTGGGGCATAGCAGGTGCTCTCATGTGTACAATAGCATCTTGTTTTTACCTCTTGCAAAAATGTTCACTTTAATGATACAAAACCAGTGGTTAAGAACATGGACTTTGGAGTCAGCTGCCTGTAATCAAATCCTGTCTTCATCATTTATACTATTTGTATGACCTTGGGGAAGTTCCTTTACTACTTTGTGCCTCAGTTTTCATAATTGTTAATAGAGCCCATTGTATGTATATACATAAACTAGATAATGAGCTCCTCGAAAGCAAGGACATAATGCTTATTGTGCTCTGTACTTCCAGAACTCAAGACAATTGCTAGACTATACTAGGTCCATCATAAATATCGGTGGGCTATTGAGTAAATGAAATGGAATAGGCTGTTTCTCTCATTCTATCCAAACTGCTTATCGTTTAGAATCAGCTCAAGTTTTCCTCCTGATTATTCCAACTTTCATCACTAGATTGCTTCGCCATCTGTTCTTCATTTATACACAGTCATGCAATTCTACATTTTCAAATGATTGGAGGTAGCTAATTTATAAAGCTTTCTTCAGAACTATGTGCAATCTATACTATAAAAATCAATCTTAATTTAGTGCTAGCTGATTTGGTCACCACTTTATCTGATCAGTTCCACTCCTTTCCACTCCAACTCAGGTTAAATGTTCATTTCTCAGGAAAGGTTTCAATACCCACAGACTAGTGTGCAGTCCATATGTTGCCTTCTCATAGCATGCTGTGCTTATTACAATTGTCATTAAATAACAATTTGTATAATTGTTTGTTTAACGTTCCTCTCATCTCTTGCATGGTGGGCTTCCTGAGAGCAGGGGAATTGTATGGCTTACTATTTTCTGTATCCCCAGAGTCAAGTACAGAACCTGTACTTGGGGATGCGCAATATATCATCCTTGAATATATTCTCCTAGGCAATGCTTTGGCAAATGACAACTTTCAAGTTTTGGGTTTTTTGTTTGTTTGTTTGTTTGTTTTTTCCTCAGAATCTTCAGTGTAGGAGATGTCTGGATTGGTTATAACCTTTAAGAACTCTGTGCTATCACTACACATTATTTTAAAACAAGTATTCCAATAAAGAAAAGCATACGCTGAAAAATACGGCTTCTCCCTTGGGAAAGTCTGGGTAGCCATTTAGACCGGCAATAAAATGATGCACATGGTAATCTAAAATCTAGATGTATTTCATAGAAAACTCAATATTTTTTCTAAACTGCTAGATAGAGCTTCAGTAATTAAAACATAAAGAATATTAAGTCATAATTTCTTTCATAATCACAAGAATAATGTTGTCTTCTTTATACACTATTTTTAAATTGAGCATTTAATCAGTTGCATAGGACAGTTTATGCGGGAACAATGCATGGGCAACTCTATTTGTCTATCCATCTATCTATGGAGCTGTTGAGCAATCTATCTAAATCCTATTACAAAGAATGGTTGGGGAAAAGATTCCTAAATAGACAAGATTAGTTTAATTCACTCAATTCATTCATCAATTTATAAATGGTCTGTTATTACATGGACAGTAATTCAGTTGCATTGGCAGTTTGGTTTAGCATTTGGAAACTGAATATTCCAACCAAAGTATATCTACAGTTTTCAAAATCAAGTATCAAAATGATTTTAAAAGATAACCGATATAATGAATAAATAAAGTTTAACTGGAGGAAAAGTTTCCCAGACATCCATTAATCTCAGAAAAATAACAGAAATGGCCCATTAAATGTACATAATCAAGTTCCACAAAGAGAAATGAAGAGAGGACTAAAATGTTCCTATTAAAGACTTTCTTTCAATGACTATTTTAGGCCAAATAACAAATTGTTATTCTGAGATATGGCTATCTTGATTTAGAAATAAAATCAATCATCTCTATCTATTGACAACAGCGTTGACATACTGAATTTTCTCATCGTGTTTGTCTTATTTTTACATATGGTAATTACAAGTTAATATTAATAAAATAATATGCATAATGTCCTGTCTAATCTTCTCTTTGTAAACTGAAACACTGCTTTTTCTCTCACTAAAATTTGAGTATGTCATTTCCTTTGAACACATGTGCCTCCTTTCTGCCTAGGCTTCACAGTAGTAAAAATATTCCAGGGCCCAGAATATTAAAGGAATTTAGTAGACCAGTGATCTGATTTTTTTTTTTTTTTTTGAGACAGGGTCTCACTCTGTCACCCAGGCTGAAGTGCAGTGGCAGGATCTTGGCAAACTACAGCCTTTGTATCCCAGGCTCAAGCAATTCTCCTGCCTCAGCCTCCTGAGTAGCTGGGATTACAGGCATCCGCCACCATGGCCAGCTAATTTTTGTATTTTTTACTAGAGACGGGATTTCACCATGTTGGCCAGGCTGATCTCGAACTCTTGACCTCAAGTGATCCACCTTCCTTCGTCTCCCAAAGTGCTGGGATTACAGGTTTGAGCCACCGCATTCGGCCTGATCTGATTTTTTAAAAAAATGAATTATTATGGGAAACGCTTCTAAGCGGAAAAAAATATAACAACTCAGACTGGAGGAAGAATAGACTAGTTAATTCTTAAAATGATTGTAGCGAACAAAAGAAAATAGGAGCCAGGTGTTTAGTTGATATGATACCAAGTAGATCTCTTTTGTGATCCTGGTTACTTCATCCAGCTCCATTGCATGATCTAGTTTCATAATTTCTGGAAAACTGTGCTGGAAGATAGGGATGGCTGGGGAGATCTGGGAGAGAAAGGGGTTAATGGAGGACACTCACACCATCCCTGGCCACTTAGTCATTGGTCAGCCAAACACATGAAACAGAACTTTTTTTAGTCATTAAAAGCTGAGATGAGCTATTGGCTATCAGGGCAATCTAGAACTGCCATTATTACTTGCTTATAGACTTCATAAGAAGTAGTAACACACTTAATCCAAGTGCTGGAGTGGTCAGGAGAAAACTGCATCACTGCACTTTATCTTTGGCTGTGTCCTCACCCAAATCTCATCTTGAATTGTAGCTCCCATAATTCCCATGTGTTGTGGGAGGGACCAGTGGCAGAGACCCCCACTTAACTATTCTCATGGTAGTGAATAAATCTCATGAGATCTGATGATTTTAAAGGGGTTTCCCCTTTCACTTGACTCTCATTCTCTCGTCTGCCGCCATGTGAGACATGCCTTTCTCCTTCCACCATGATTGTGAGGCCTCCCCAGCCACATGGAACTGTAAGTTCATTAAACCTCTTTTTCTTTATAAATTACCCAGTCTCAGGTATGTCTTTATCAGCAGCATGAAAATGAACTAATACACCCTCCCATTATTGCCTTGGCTGGAACTAAGGTAATTCCTTTGATTACTAAGGCTCAATACACGGTAGGCACACCGTTGCATCGGTTCAAAAGGCATATCCTGGACTTTTTATTAGTTGTATTAAATAAGTATGAGGAAAATTTTAGCAACTTTGTAATATATTATTCTCATGTGTTTACTGGCTATTTTCTCTATTTGCTTTGTGTGTTACCTATTTTCTTCCTACATCAGATATTCAATTTGATCATATATGTCTTAATTTTCATTTTTAATAACCTCTATCTTAATGTTAGCGGACTATGTTAAATTTACATTTTATCAATATTTCATTGTCTTTATGTATTCAGTAATGTGCATTAATAAGCAGTAGCATTCAAAGTTCACAGATTCTTTTTATTTAATGCAACAAAGACCACTTATTGACCATCACTTGTCATGAGTTTGGTTTTATAAGGAACACAGTAAACATAAATCTTATGATTTTCAGGAAATCTTTCACTCTGAGATTGAAACATGTTCCATGAAAACGAGAAACAGATGTGCAATTGAAATATAAAACTAAATAAATTTAGAACTGCAATTTAAATCCCTTTATAAACCCAGATCAATATATAGACTGTATATACTTTTAAATTTTACATTGGTTTTTCCTTTGCTCTTTTCTCTTGAATGCTGTTACATTTTTGCTCAATTAACTGAAATTATACATAATATTTTAAATTATTTAATTGCAATAAATCTCCTCCTACACAGTCTTAATTGGCACAGGCTAAATGGAGGAAGTAATATGCCTTTTTTTATTCATGCTCACCAAAACATTTCCTTAGTATTTGCAGCTTTGACCACAGGTGACTTTTTGATGCTGGGCTTTTTGTTTGATTATCAAGACGATAAGCCTCCTACACGGTGAAGGGTAGGACTATGAGGCATTGATGATTTGTTTCTGGACTTGTAAGGCCTCAACCTCAAAGACAGAACTCAGCAGTATTAGAGGGGAAGCAGTATAGGGCAGTGTTCATCCTGGATCAGCCCAAATTAGATGTCCACAAGGAAGCCATCTATGCAGAACCTAAAGCTGCAGGAAAGTGAGCCTGCTAAGTCAGTTCATATGAATGAAGAGAATGACCAGGATATGTTGACAAGCAAAGACAAAGGAACTAGATGGGTAGAAAGTTAAAGAGGAAGAATATAAGGAAAGTGGATGGATGATGAATATGATACTTGTGTTGCTAAAAATGATTTTTACAACCAAGAGAGTATTGAAAGATAAGCCAGGCAGAGTGTGTGCTTGCAAGAAGTTTGGGGAAGCAATAGCATGAACTGACATCAGTAACATTACAAGAATTTTCACAGGTAAAGATAAAAGGGTTTCTGACTGAGGGAACAGCAGGATCAAATTTGTGGATGCCTAGATGTGCCTAATCTCTTCATAAAATACAGAAAGTCTAAACTACGGAAGTCTAAAGGGGAAAGAGACTACCAAAAAGTCATGTTGAGAAGGATCCTGAATTCCATACTGCAGGCCAGTTTCTGTCTGCAACCTGGAATCATCTAAAATTTCTGGAAGAATCAAGTGGACATCACTGATACTTATTTTAGGAAATAAGCTTTGGAAACTGCACAAAGAGTAAATGGGGGAGGTGAGAGTCTGGGTGCAGAATCACAGTAAGACTATACTGCAGTAGACAAGGGAGAAGCTAAGTGCCAGTGGCAAACAAAATGGAAAAGGAACAGTAAATATGATGATGATAATAGTAATAAGTACTTATTCAGTTATTTAATAATGACTTAAATAGCATTTAATAATGTGCCAGCCTTTACCACAGAAACTTTAGACATATTAACTCTTTGAAAAATCATAATAGCTCTGTGTTTTAGGTACTATTATTATTCCCATTAACACATAAAAAATTGTGGGACAATGAAGGTAAGTAATTTGTCCAGTTTCACACAGCTATTTAGAAATGAGGAACAGAAGATACAGCAGGTACGATAAGTATAGGGAGAATATTCTTTACATGTTTCTTGTATTCCTACATGTTTTAGAACAGAGATACTTATTCCCTTTGTCCTCTTCTATCTCCTTACAGATAGAGACGGTGTCTCCCGTCAGGGCAAAGACTTGGTGCTTTTGGTTGCATATACCTTATAAAAGATTTGGGTTTCCAAAGATCAGAATTCTTTGACTGTGAAACAAACTCACTGTGTGTCCAGCATCCACCTGAGTTTTCTCTGCACCACTCCAATGTGACTGAGGAGTCAAAGGAAACTGGTGTGAACATGAAGCTCATGCTACCTGCTGTGCCATGAGTAGCAAAGTTCTTTGTGTCTGATCCTGGAGTCCTGTGTCTTCTGCAGAATCTGTGAAATTGTAGCCAGCTAACCTGTTAGCTTGTAAGATGATAAAATCTCAGATCCTTCACAATTCTCTATGATATGGTGATTTACTTCTTGACTACAGAGATGAAAAATATAAGAAATTGTGACTAACACTGATATTTTCTTCCAGGGTTCTTTAGAGGTATCCTCCAACAGCAATGGCAGTAAATATTCAAATGAGAACATATTTGTGGAGAAGACAAATATTTTTGTACATGTTTAATTTGGGGTGCTGTTGATGTATCTTTGAAAATAATGTCAATGAACTATATATGTTCTGAAAAATATGAGGGGGATCACATCTAGAAGTATGCATTTGGTAAAAAAATATGCATAGAAATAAAAGATAAAATCACAAAAATGTCTAAGGTTATTATTAAGTAGAACTTAGAGAGAAATGATGGCTAAGGACAGAATTTTTAAAAAGAGGGCATCAATTGAAGCATGAGCAGATGTGGACAATTTAAAGCGGAAAATATTAGGGAAACAGAGGCAGACCCCAGAGAGTACAGTGATCTAGAGGTCAAGAGAGAAGAGCATTTAACACGGAAAGATAAGATATTCAGGTCAAATAAGGTATAAAGACAGAGGAGGACTTGGATAGAAGAAAAAATTGGCAATGATGTTCTCTCTTTTATTGGGTGCTATCCATTCAGGGATTATGAGTGTTGCAGGCAGATTGTCTTCAAGGTGTATCTTGGTTGAAATAAACAGCACCAAGGATTAAAGCAACAGTATAGAACTTCCCAGTACAGATTAAGAGTATAGTTTTAGTGAATCCAGAAGGGTAATAGTCTGAATTCCAGACAGATTGCAGGCACCTGAAAAAAAAATATCTGCAGGTTAGAGCTCCAAACATATTGTATTCTTAGATGATACTACTATTTCCACGAAGCCTTGCAGAAAATAAGATTCAAGTAAAATATTTGATTATTTCTACATATACGGAACAAGCAACTATTATTTCTCAGACCATTACAGGTCCTTAGAATACAAAACTGAATAAGACGTCATTCCCTTAAGTTGATGTAAACCACCATTTATCATGCAATGGAAAGTGATGTATTACTGACCAAAACAGGATACTGTGAAATCATAGGGAAAAGGCTCTAACTTTTGGAAATCTGAATAGAATACTCCAAGTAGTCAATGCTTGCATTAGATCCTTATTTGTTTCCAGGATGAATATGGCAAGTAAAGCATTTCAAGCAACAGCTGCAACTCATGAAAGTGCCACAAGTTATGAGAGAACTAACATTCAGAAAATTAAATTAGTTCATCAAAGTTGGAACTTTCATTGAAAGTGTGAGAAATGACAAAGGTAAGACTTGATGGCTGGTTGCACCAAAACATGGCAGGTCTAGCATGTTGTGTTTGAAATCAGAAATTTATTCAATAGGTTCTGAGAAGCCATTGAATTTTTTAAAATAAGGAATAAAGTAAGATTTCCATTTTAGAAAGATTGTTCTGGCAGTATCTTGGGAAGGGAGTAAGAAAAAATGACAGAAAAGAATTAAGATGATTATCATCTAATTGAGTGATAATAAAAGGTAAAACTACTGTAATCCCAGCACGCTGGGAGACCGAGGCGGGTGGATCATGATGTCAGGAGTTTGAGTCCAGCCTGGGCAGCATGGTGAAACTCCGTCTCTACTGAAAATACAAAAATTAGCCAGTCTTGGTGGCATGTGCCTGTAATCCTAGCTACTCAGGAGGCTGAGGCAGGAGAATGGCTTGAACCAACCCGGGAGATGGAGGTTGCATTGAGGCGAGACTGCGCCACTGCACTCCAGCCTGGGCAACAGAGCAAGACTCCATTTCAAAAAAAAAAAAAAAGCAAAACTAAGCAAACTAAGCAGCAGCAGTGGAGATGGAGGGGTTTGGGAGGGTTTCAGTAGTTAGTCCCCACAGGATGTGCAACTGATGGAATATAGTCAAGAAGTTTTTTCTATGGAGGGAAAGATCTAACTGTTGGCTTGTCAAGTTAAAGAAATGTCTTTTTAGTTCTATTTAACCAACTTTTTTAAAAAAATAAGGAATGGATATTGAAATTTACAAAATCCATTTCCAATTTACAAGTGGTTTGATGGGTTTTCTTCTTGATTTTAGAGATGTGATTAATTGCATTAATAAAGGAACTAAACATGAATTATACCTAGCATTACTGGAATTGGCCTCACATACTCATGGCTAACTTTAATTTGTCACATACTCTTGTCAGAACCATCATTTAAGCTAAGCATCTTTAATGAGACCTGTAATGTAACGTTTCCCTCACACATTATAGAGATTTTTGTTCTTGAAAATTTGTCAATAATTTCATATAAAAATGTTATTTTTCCCATATGTTTAAAAATGTGGTTTAAGAATCTGCATTTTGTTACTATATTAAAGAATAATATAAAATAGAATGAAGACATTTATATATTCAAGTGTTACACACTGAATTAGCAAAACTAATTTCTAATTGACTGTAAAAGGATAGAATATTCAGTAATGTCTTTGTTATATTGTCCTTTATTATTTCTAAATATTTTGACTACTGTAGTTTTCCAGCTCTCAGAAAACATTATATATGTGCCTATACACACACACACACACACACACACACACAGAGTGACATATACATACACCAGTATGCATGTGTGTGTGCATGTGTGTGTTTATATAATATACAGAGTGACAGATATACATACACCTATATGTATGTGTCATGCATGTGTGTGTTTATATGCATAATATATACAAAGAGTGACATCTATGTGTGTGGGTATACATACATCTATGTGTTTGAATGTGTATATATATATATATATATATATATATAGTAGAAAGGTAGAGAATGCTGTCAGACTTCTTCCTTAAACAACATAAAGAGACAATGTGGATAGAGACAGGTTTGCCTATTTGCATTTGAAAAGCTAAGAAGTTTGAAAAGTTACAATACAAAGTAGCGAACTTTGTCCATTTCTGACTAGTTATAAAAATTTTCAAGGGCCTTTACTCTTTACAAATTTGTTGAATCTTCTTCACATGTAGAAATTTTGATTTGACATCAGGGGTTGAATACAAAACTATTGCTCTAAATAAATTGGAAAGAAAATCAGCTGTCTACAGGATCTGGGACACCATCACGATGCTCATTCCTAAAGTGGCCATTCACAAAATGACTTTGGCAGAAAACAGAATCTTTTAGAAAACAGCTTCAGGAAGTCATTTAATTTGAAGGAAAATAATCGCTTCTCAATCTGCGCCGTGCACCGTGCACCATGGGACAAGAAAGAATGCCGGTTAAGATAGCAGCACATCTCTGAAAAGCTAATGTTTTGTTTCAGCCTTTGAAAATGAAATTATGTGTCATGCTGAAGTTTTATATTCATCAATTACTTCACTAATTCCAAGCCTGTGGTCTGCTTCGGAATACACATAGAGCACAGCATAATCTCCACTGGGCAGTTTCACATGATGTTCTTGTGGCTTAAGTTACAAAAGATCATTCAGATGGAAAATCCCGAATGGATCGTCTTATCATTCAGAACACAGACTCCATTCAAGCCATGAAATAGGTTTCAAATTCATTTCTTAGCATTTCCAGGCGTACTTCCATTGCAATATTATACAATTTTTGTCTAGTTTTTCTGCCATCACCTCTCACACATAGCTTTATTGATTCTATGACAAATAAGTCACTCAGCTTGTAACTACCATGTTATTTGAAATTTCTATTCAAGGTTTTCTGGACCATTCTCCTTTACAAATAGAGTCACTTGCTTATTATTTATTCTACTGAATATAACAAAAGTGGATACAGAGGAAGTGATATTAGCTTTCCCAAGTGAGGAATAAAACTGACTTATGTTCTATTCCTGGTTCAGTTATGGAAGGAAGATTTTGCACATTCAAGATTTGTGCATCTTCCTGCCTTTTCCTATTTAAAATGTAAAATTACAGCATATCATAGTTATAAATATGGTAAATTATTAAGTTTTACTACTTTGAACAAGAAAGCAATATGGATCTCTGGATAGCTATCTAAGGGCAAATTTTATAAAAGCTTGGTCACAAAGTAATTTAAGATGTAATTTTCTAACACCATCCTGCAGTGATAAAATGTTGACTCATATTACTGATCATGTCTACAAACTGTCTAAACATCTGTTTATAAGCAATGAAAAGAATTGGTTGAAAGTAAGTGAATGGAATTAGAGGAGTATGTGGGTAAATTAAATAGAAAAGAGCCGTGAAAGAGGAATATCCAGGGAAACAAGATAAAGGAAAGATCAGAGCATTGAATGAGAGTTATCTATTTATCTGTGGAATATGTACTCTGCACCTTGATGGACCAGGAACTACAGAAGGCAGAAGGCTGACTAGGGGACTATTTCTGACCTCAAGGAACTTACAGAGAAGTGCCTGTGTGTGCACTCAAGAGTCGGGGGGTAGAACTGACTCTAGTAAAAATACGTTAGATGTAATATGATTTAAGCTGCCCAGATTTCAGAAGAGTGAATGGATCTATTAATGCTTATGGAATGCATACGTGCAGCAACAGAGACAGATCCCAGAAGTTATGGAACAGGTGCAGAAACCTTAGCTGTGGAGCCAGCAGAGAAGGGAGTATGGTCAGAATGGTAATGAAAAATATGCTTTTATTGAAAAGAGTACATACAAAGTTAGAGATTTAAATAGGGAAATGCTGTATTCCAGGACAAAGTCTTCTGTGACCCAGCTGGAGCCATGTTGGGCACAGTGGGCATGGCGAGGAGAGGATGAGAGCAGGAAACTGCTTCTGAGAAATATTTGCTTCCAGTTGGCTGGAACACTTTACCAATCAGCACAAAACGGCAGGCTGTGTCTATAGTCTAGACATCTCTGTTCTATTTCATAGCTGTAACCTCACATTGCTTGGCTTGGTTGCTGTCTTCAAAATTGATGACTCTGGTTGCAAGTATGTCTGAAAAAAGGCCAGCTTAATACATCGTTTTAATTCTATCATAAAAATAAATGTAAATAATTAGACATTCGTGTTCTCTACATAAGAAGGACAGACTATAAATACATATAGGTTCTCTCAACTAAAGAAGACCTTAAGAATTATGCAGCCCAACTCCTTTATTTTTCCAAATGGAAACGTGAATTAGTGAATAAGTATTCACAGTAGTGCATTGACTTGTCCACTTTCCCACAACATTTGTAGCAAAGTAATGAATTTACTCCCATAGTAACTTAAAAGTTTAAAAAAAAATTAGTCAATCAATCAATCTATCAAATTGGTCATTTGGTATATCTGATCCAATGTTCTTCAAGACTCCTTCACCCTTGGCCCCAACCAAAACAATTTTCAATTTTCTCCAGTTGGAGAAAAAATTAAAAACAGACTCATTTGGTTTAAAACAGTTTGGACACTGAAGCCTTTCCCAGTGTCTTTAAGAGAATTGTTTCAGTGTTTCAGATTTCTGCAAACTTCCTCCTCTTACCCATGGTAAGAATATCCTTTTGCCCATGGACTGAAATATTTCTGATATTAAGTGTGCTCTCACTTCTTTAGCCCTCACTCACTACTTTGACCTCTTGATCATCACTGACATGCTAGCAATGTGGCTTAATTTGGAGAAAGGTTTAATCCACTGGGTTGTCCTCTCTAACTTGGTCAGCATCTAGCAGTAATCAGTGGCTGAGTTGACCTCATTTTTTTTTTTTTTTTTTGAGACAGGGTTTTGCTCTGTCACTCAGGCTGGACTGCAGTGATGCAATCATGGCTCACTGCAGCCTTGGCCTCCCAGGCTCAAGCACTCCTCCCACTTCAGCCTCCCAAGTAGCTGGATCTACAGGTGCTCACCACCACACTCACATAATTTTTTTATTTTTTGTAGAGATGGTTTGGCTATGTTGCCCAGGCTGGTCTCAAACTCCTGAGCTCAAGCAATCCTCCCACCTCAGACTCCCAAAATTCTGGGATTACAGGCCCAAGTCACCATGCCAGGCTGAGAGTTGACCTCATTTTAACTCCTACTTGTACTGTAGACCTCTCTGCATTCCTGTAACATCCTCCCTCAGACTCCTGGTGCAGGTAGTTCATCTGCAGAATCACCAACAAAACTGGCCACATGGCAGACTATCCAACTCCATTTAGCCACCTCCAAAGTCCCTCCTTAGAACAAATAGCTCTATTCATGCCACACATGAAGAATGACTCAGATACTGAACATCAGCCCTCTGTCACCACACTGTGCCACTGTGTTTCCCCCGATGTGGCCATCTTGAAGCTGTGCAGGGCAGTCATCCAAGGCAAACCCCTTTCAGAGTCCCAAACATTATTCTAGTCAAAAGCCCACATCCTTAGCTTTTCCAGACTGCCTATCTGTTTGGAGAGAAAACATGAAAACTCATGTGTCATCTGCCTCTCTTATTTCCTTTCTCATATTTCTGAAAGTCTCCCAGCTCTGCAGCCCCATAAGAAGAGCTTCAGACTTTTTCTTTCTCTACTCTATCCTCATTTCTTAGAATAAATCTGTCCCAAGGCCTACCCTCATTGATGGGCAGTATAAAATCTGTATGTTAAAGAAGAAACACCTTCAGCTGAGACTTCTGGATTTGACTTGATATTCTTTAGATAATCTTTAACATCTTACTGACTGCAAAATTCTGCTTGGAATAGTAAATCTCTTTGCACTTCATTTATAACAGTCCTAATCTCCTGACCACACTCGTGGAAAGATGGATGTTTCGGGCCCACTAGGAGGAAAATCAGGGGCAGCATGATACAAAAAAGTGATGGCACAATCTCTGTGGGGTGCTAAGAAAATTAATTAATTAATTAGTTTAATTCAGAATTGGTACATTTCAGGGACTGCAATCCTACCCTGTATTCTAAAATGCCATGAAAAGTATAAAGAAGCAGTTATTTCATATGAGAAGAATCAATCTTTGTTAGAAACTTTGTGTCCTAAGACAAACTTATGCTTTTCACCATTCGATAATGTTCCATCTGAGCTTACCCGTTGTGTAGGAAAAACAAATAGGGGTATTATGACCTGAAAAAACAATTTATTTAGGGGAGTTGGAGAGGGTAGAGAGTGGAATAAAAGTTGAATGGTAAAATATGAAACCAAGAGAAAACTGGGTCAAGTTTAACAAGTGGAAATGAGTAGAAAAGCAAGAATGATTTTTTAAGGGGCTTGAGAAAATTGAACATTCTAAGACAGATATATAAAGAAATTGGAAAGACTCTTGGGAACAACAGGAAAACAGCTAGAAATTATTTTCCTATAAAGTAATAATACTTTCCACATAGGAAGCTGGATTTAAGAAACTCTATTTTTCATAGAGAGTCTATATACCTTTCTTAAGGGGAATCAATGGTAGTCCAGTTAGGGAATTACGTAAATCTATCAAAGAACTGGAACACTTTTATTACTATGTGATTTGAAACACAGCACATGCGGCTTATCTAACAAACTTAGTAGAGCATATTCTTTAGAGTGTAGTGTCATTGAAATGCAAATGGTATTTGCAATGCAGAGGAGAAAGGTTTGACGTTATTGTTTTGCCCTTTGAGATACAGTGTGTTCCTAGCAGGCTGTTCTTTACCTTGTTTGGAAACCAGTTAGCACAGCTTCTGACTACCTAAATGCTCTGTATCATTTATTTTTGGTCTGTACGAGATTTTAATTTTATTACTTCTTTCATTTTTCCTGGTTTTCTTTTTCTGATAAATATTCGCTGGAGTTTTCTTGAAGTCTAATGAAAGAGGATATGTTAGCCTTGCATGTTTTACTAGATACATAACCACATAAAATATTTTGTGCTCATACATTTACTCAAAAATATTCATATAGTACCCAGTCCTTGCCAAGACCTATCCTAATCTATGATTTATGTAATTGGAATAGAATGAATGGCCCCTGACATCATGTGGTGTAAAGTCCACATGGGAGACAGCTATTACTCAAATGTCATGTGACTTTGTGCCAGAAGTACACCAATGTGAGAGACCCGAGTAAGCATAGTGGCATGGAACATTATTGTCTAGCATTTTAATTCTGCCTGAGCTAACAGATGAGAGATACATATCATGGAGCAAATATCATAAATATGTTTCCTTTTGAACGATCAATTTAAAAACTGTGTCTTTTCTCTGTATAGTCCTGAGCCAGAGCACATTGTTTAGTCAGAAGCTTTTGTACAGGACTCAATTATCTGGTGGTCCTGGGCATAGACTCATCTGGAAAAGAAAACAATTACAATAAATGATTCTCTAAGATATGTACATATTGGAAATAACAGTTTGCGTAGCAAAATCTTAAGATTTCAGTGGTAATTAAATATACCACAAATATATTTAAAGACTAGTGTTATTAATAAAAACCACAGTCTACTGCCACCAAGTGGACATTAATTTAGAGACCCCATTACTTTATACTTAGCCACACCGTTGGTCTTGGAATATCTCTATGGTTCCTGTGGAAATCAAAGTGATAGCCATCAAACAACATTCGCATCAAGTAGGCAGCCCTCACAAGCAAAGTTCTCTCTGGACATAAATTGTACTATTTCTGCAGACTCTGTTCCTAATGGAGTGTCTTTCTCTTCTTCATAAATGTTCTCTTTGTTACCCCAAATAGCAAAAATGAAAAACAAAAACAAACAACTTTTCACTTGCACTATAAAATTTAAAATAGAAATAATCTAATGTTCTGCCTGTACCTGACACTCAATGTGTTTTGTAGATTTCATTACCGTATCGCTGCTTCATCTGGTATTTTGCTCCTCCATTATGGTTCAACAGCTTTTCCCTTCTGATTTCCTATACTATTGTCTAAAAATCCTCATTGCTAGGTCCTATTAACCTCTAATTTCCTTTTCCTCTGAATGATTTTCTAAATGAAACAACAAGACATTTTCTACCCGTGTCTCTGAGATATCATTCTCATGACCCCAGAAAGTATGCATTGATAGTATCTAAACAACCTCATTGCTTCTGTTAGATCTCACCATCTCTCAGAATTGCTGCGTGATCAAGCTCTTCAATTCAGAAATTCTTCTTTCTGACCACAGCCTTCTATGATTTGATTTCTTAAGCTCCCATTTTACTTAGTGATGCTCTTTTTACAAAGAACACACTCTTGGGTGACTGGCGAGGTGGGGAGTGACTCATGATTTTTGGGTGGCTAATTTTGTTTAGATGAGTATAGGACTTAAAACTGGGACCTGAAAGATGTCATTAACCAAGTCAGAATACCTGATTTCAAGTGTAGCTTACAGAATTGAGGCTACACAGTCAGAGCTTCTTGGATAGGAATGAAGACCCCCTCTCCATTTGTTTCGCATTTTGACTTTTGTTTCTCTTTCCGTGGGACAGATCTCTTTCTCTCCTACTGCACACAGGCTACCTCCAGTGACTAGGGAAGATTACTATTACTACCAGCATCTCAGTCTAGCAATCCTCAGGGGTAAAAGTATTTCCTCCTATCAATGACCAAATAACAACCCCAGGGGACAAAATGTGATTGGTCCTGCTTGGGTCACATGCTTATGCCTTGGACCAATCATTGTTGCCGGGCAAATGAAGTAATATATTTGGTGAGGCTTGGGTCATATGTTTAGTTTTTGTGGCAAGGGCTCAGAAGGGAGGGAACCGAAGAGTTTACCAAAATGATTAGATAACCCACTTCACCAAGATCACTAATTTCTTTTTGTAAAACAACTTCAGGGGCTGCTTGATCTGTCACTCATGGAATTTCTGCCCTATCCTCTTCCCTTTTCCAGAAGGAATCCTTTGTTTAGCCATAATTTATGCTGTTTTATACTTTATCTCTCTTTCAAATTTTCCTTTAGTTTCTAATCATAGAAAACTCAGCAACGTGACTTCCCAATCCTAAATTATCAAGAAAATATTTGAATTGCCAGCTCTTCTTTTGAAGCAACTTGAGAGCCACCTTTCCCCTATCCCACCCTAGTCAAAGGAGAAAGAATTACTTGATAAAGCACACATTTATTGAGGGTGGCAGAGATTTCAGGTGAAGTAGCCGTCATTGGCTTAATCATTATCTTCAGGATTCTCTCTCATTCTACTCAACTGTGCTTTCTTCCCCAACTTTGATCTGATAGGCATTTCTTTGAGGCTATTGTGATAATTTGCAATTTCATAATCATTTAGGGGCTCTTTAATTGTCTCCCAATGATGAGCTTTTGAGAAATTGAAATTGAAATGGTTTGAATCAACCTAAAATTGCAGAAAACTTTAGTTTTATTAGCCTCCTCTGCGCCATACTTATGCAAAAAAAAAAAGTCTCTACAATACATCTATTAGAGAACAATTAGATGACCAGCAAGTTCACATCAATTTATTAAAATTAAATCACTAGGACATATTAGGAAACAATATTGTCAACCTCCAGTATTCTCCTCTCTGGGTCCTAAATTTATCACCTTTTAGGGCAAATTGGCTGCTCCATTTTGGATTCTGCCCAAGGCTCTCTTGATATGTAGACATTTCATTTGCATACAAAAAGGCACACTGCATGGCTTGATAAACCAACCATCTGGCCTAAGCAATTTATCTGGATTATTACTGAACTGTACAAAACTATGTAAATATATATTCCTAAAATTCCAGTTGCTCTCTTATCCATCTGCCTTACTGCCTTTCCCTTCAGCAACCCTGATTGTAGAAAGGATCATTTGCTCCCTCAACCCCTGACACACAGACACATGGATACATATGCACATATCTTCCTGCTCTATTGACTGTTGCTAGTGAAAGTCGAGTCATAAAGCCAGGCCAGTTGGTCCACTGCCAATGTATGCTGGTCAGACTCAGTCAGACTTCGTAGCTGATTAACATGCCTTATACTAATCTCTAGTTAAATCCCCATCACATTGTCTCATTTTTCTAAATGCTCATTCCAAAATGTTTGCATTCTCTTCCAGTCCTGGATTTCTTATTCTCGAAGGTAATCTATTTTATAAACTCAGTGCTAGGTTTGAATAAATAGTTTAATGCCCCTGTGTGTTATTTTTGACATTATAGATAACTTGATATAGGAACTCATTATATGATGTGAGTTTAGTTTTTTATAATTAAACTGTGATTGTGTGTCTAAAGTTCTTTTTTTTTTTTTTTTTTTGAGATGGAGTCTCGCCCTGTCGCCCAGGCTGGAGTGCAGTGGCACAATCTAGGCTCACTGCAACCTCTGCCTCCTGGGTTCAAGCAATTCTCCTGCCTCAGCCTCCTGAGTAGAGTAGCTGGGATTACAGGCGTGCTCCACTACACCCAGTTAATTTTTGCGTTTTTAGTAGAGATGAGGTTTCACCATGTTAGCCAGGCTAGTCTTGAACTCCTGACCTGAAGTGATCCTCCCACCGTGGCCTCCCAAAGTACTGGGATTACAGGCATGAGACACTGCACCTGGCCTAAAGTTCTTAATTAAAGGATCTCTTTAATTATTATTAAGCAAAACTGGATTTAGGAGATTCCAAGTGATGCCTTTAATTCACTACTCTATGTCCTTATTAATAAATACATATTTAAAAAAACCTATACAATATAGTGTATTTACAGCATGGAAGAGCAGAGACTCTGAAGCCAGACTGCCTGAGTTCAAATCCTGACACTTCTACTCAAATATGTGTGAGTGACTTTGGGCAATTTACTTACTCTTTCTGTGTTTCTATTTACTCGTCTACAACAATAATTTCTACCTCATCAAATTAAATTAAAAAAAAACGCTTAAATAGTTAACATTTGTAAATAGCTTAGAAAACACTACATTTAAAAAATAAACATTCCTAACCCACCTTCCACAAAAAGAAAGCCCACCTGCTTGGTCTTAATCTGTTGATATATAACTTTATTCCACACTTGGACTTAATGTGTTGATATATGACTTTATTCCACACTTATTCTTTCATCACAGGTGCAACTCCTGAAGTTAATACCCACTTTCTCACCACAATTCACTGACCCAACTCTTTTTACAGGCAGGTCTGCGTTTGAGGAGTTGCATCATCAATTTGGTTTATTTCAGTAGATGAATACATTGGAGTTTGGGGTAAAAGTTTTAGCCAATAATAATGCGTAACCATTTGGCTGCTTTTTAATATATCTCACTACAACATTGGCCATGGCCAGTGGCAAGCTGAGGATCCAGGACATCCAGCGTCCAGGCTACGTGCTCTCAGGGACACAACTATCAATACTGCATCTCCATGTCTTCAACTCCCAATTCTATCCACTACACTACCCACAGAAATTTGTATTCTACCCATAGTATTCCACCGAAACTGTTTTTCCAAAGTTATTGATGGATAATCTAATAGTTAAAGCTATCTTTCTTATTTTTACCACATCATTAGAACTTTGTTAGTTCCTTGTTCCTTAGATTTTATAACACTCTCTTAATTGTTGGAGTGTTTTTCTCATCATTTTTTTTTTGTCATCTTTATGGGCTCTTCTTTCTGTGCCCTCTACTTAAACCCTTACTTCACTATATGTTGAAATCCCCCTATTTATTCTGCCTTTAATCTCTATTCTTTTGAAACTGCAAATTTAGGCTCAATTTTCTTATTCACTCCCAAATTACGGCCATAGCCCAGTGGTAATTATGCCTGTATCATTTTTTCCCCAGATTACATCATCACGATACTAAATAGTTTCTCTGCACCTCTAGTCTCATCCCTTTCAAAGCCCTAAAGTAATCTACCTAAACAAATAGTGCTCTCATGGGTCTATATAATCTATAGAATAAATTCTAAATTATATAATAGAGTCCACATGACCCTCCACATTCTAGAATCTTTCTACCCCCGAACTTGCTCTGCAACATTTCTTGCCTTGCACATTGCTCTCCAACATCACCAAACATGTGGTACGGCTCACAAATAACACATATTGTTTTGTTTTGCTTTGTTTTTAAACCTCTTGCATTTGTATGTCATCTTCTCTGCCTGGATAACTTTTCAGTGACTTTATCTGCATCCTTTAATAAGATACAGTTTTCACATGTCAATTCCTCCAGCAGCTTCTGATCAGCCTGTCTCCCAAGCCTGGGCTAAATGCCTTCTTTTATTGCTCCCATGGTATCCATTTTATGTATTTCATGGGATATTAATTGAATCTTACTTAAACTATACTCTTTAATACTTTAGGTGTTCTTTGGTGGCAGAAACAATCTATATATACATATCCCCAGTTCTTCCGAAGCACTTGTCCTTTAAAAGGCACTCCATGATATTCATTGAATGGATGAATAAATGATTAAATGAATGAATAGTTGCATAGGGGCAGCAAAACTCTCAAGAAATTGACCCTTGAAATATACTCAGTGATCTCCTTCATGAAATTCTAAAACCTTATTCAGTCCAAAGACACAACGCTAGTTATGCTGCCCTCGTGTTTCTTTCATACAGAGACAATGAGTCATGCCAAATTACAGCTCTTAAGACCTTACAGCAAATGTGCAATGCCCTGTAGGACATTCATCTTTCATACTGCATTGTATTTTTAAATGATAATTGTTGTCATAAATGTTCTTACTCACATTTCAGCTAGTTAAAAAATTTGCCTGCCTCAATAAAATGAAAGATGCCAGATTGTTTACAGATGAATTAATCATGACATTATCTCTGAAACTTTTAAATTACATCAATTACATTGCATTTAGCATCACAAATAACCTGCATATTAAACAAATGGAATCTTTTCTCCTATTAATAAAGATTAAATCATTAACTACCACTACTTGAATAGCAATGTGACTGCAGTCGTTGGCTCCCAAGACAGAGAAGAAATCTTACTCTGTCACAAAGTATATGCCATCCTTTCAGAGACATCATCGATCTTTGTGGAATTTGGGAACATTCGTTTTCTTTAGGAGTGTTCATCTATGGATTGATTATACCATTTCGACGTGGTAGGCTGCCTAATGTTGAGAGCTCAGGAGTACTATGTAGAATAATTCCACATTCAAAAATCCAGTGCTTAGGCATCTTTGTGAAGCATAAGACAAGCATGTCTTTTCAGTTTCCAATTTAACTTTTTAGATACTTAAAATATTTGAATTTAATTGATCCAGGTCTTTCAAGCAGTGGTTTTCAGATGTCTAAATCAGGTCAGGTAGAGCCTTCAAATATTATGTTCTGTCATAATGTTATCAAGTTATGTCATATGTTATCAAGTTAATTTTTGTTACTCTTGTGAACCCGAATATCTGAGACAGGTCTCAGTTAATTTAGAAAGTTGATTTTGCCAAGGTTGAGGACATGTGCCCATGACACAGCCTTAGGAGGTCCTGACGACATATGCCCAACGTGGTTGGGCATGGCTTGGTTTTATACATTTTAGGCAGACATGAGACATCAATCAATATATATAGGATGTACATTGGTTCCGTCCAGAAAGGTGGGGCTACTCAAAGCACAGGTGAAGGAGAGAGTAACCATTTCGTGCCTTTTAAAAGGGGAGAGAAAACTGAAAATGGCGAGATGCAATACAAGTTAAACTTTGGGTTAAAAAAATTAAAATATCTTATAATTTATTAAGTCAATCAACCATTTAAGAAAATTTCATTGTTCTAACCAATTCTTAGGAAAACAAAACAAAAAAAACATGAAAGCCTTTTAAATAAACACATGCGCCCGCACGCGTGCACACACACACACACACACACACACACACACACACACATCTTGTATGTTGGCTTTTAATTAAGCTGACTTTTAACCATTGAGGTCCTTTAAAAAAAACTTTTTAAATCTCATTACCATATTTCAGCTGGGACAAATTACTGCTATTTCAGAAGTACCAAGTATCAAACCAGAAAGGGCTTGATTTAGGAACCAAACCCAGACTGTTGTGGTGAAAAAAAGAAAGCAGAACCTTAGCTATGGAACTGCAGCATGGGGCGACAGCCGTTGCTCTTTCAGTTTGGCCTGGCTACCAAATAGGTGGCCTTGTTATGTAAATAAAGCCCCTTAAGTAGTCAAAATCAAAAATCTTTCCTTTTTTTTTTTTCCTTTTGCTGGCTGTTTTTCTCCCCCCCACCACCCTACCTTTTCTTTTGTGTGTGTGGGAATTTAGCCACTTCAGAGGACTTGTTCCCCATAATTGGAAGCTTTCCTTCGGATTTGTTCAAGTCGAATATAGAGTTGGTCAAACCCAATGGAAAAAAAAACTGAAACAATAACAAAAACAGAAACAAACCAAAGTTAAGCAAAGCAATTGCACAACTCACACAATTATGGAGTGCTCTAATGGTAAGGAGAAATTAAGACCAGCTGGTTGTTAAACTTAACTTTAGCAAGACAAACCCCAATTCAGTTACTTACCTAGGGATGGGTATCAGGTTGAAGACTGCTCTCTACCATACTAGAAGCAGGAAAAAACTCAAGCTCATTTTCCCTGCTGAACGCTAGCTCAAACTCCTTAAAGGAGTTACCTGCCTTCCAGCATCATGGAAGCAGGAAAAACTTGCCTTCTTTGTCTTGGAAGCAACTAAAACTCCTTAAAAAAGGAGTTGTACAGCAAAATAAACTTTAGATCACAATCACATTTTGGGAGATCATGAATTGTCCTATTGGTTTGAGCCATAAAGATAGCTCAGGCTGGTACCAAACACTGATAGGAGATTTGCCAAAGGTCAGGGGAACCTCCACTCAGAATACCTTCATGGGTACCAAAATGTGAACTTCGAATATCCAAAACAGCTCTCAGTTAATTTAGAATGTCTATTTTGCCAAGGTCGCTGACACGTGCCCATGACACAGCCTCGGGAGGTCCTGAGGACATGTTTCCAAGGTGGTCAGACCATAGCTTGGTTTTATACTTTTTAGGAAGATGTGAGACATCAAGCAAAATATGTAAGACGTACATTGGTTCTCTCCAGAAAGGCAGGACAACTTGAAGCAGGGAGGGGGCTTCCAGGTGAGAGACAAATGGTTGCATTCTTTTGAGTTTCTGTTTAGCTTTTCCAAAGGAGGCAATCAGATATGCATTTATCTCAGTGATCAGAGGGATGACTTTAGAATGGGAGGCAGGAGGCCAGGTGGGGAGGCTCACAACTGTAATCCCAGCACTCTGGGAGGCCGAGGTGGGCAGATCACGAGGTCAGGAGTTCAAGACCATCCTGGCCAACATGGTGAAACCCCGTCTCTACTAAAAATACAAAAAATTAGCTGGGCATGGTGGTTGGCACCTGTAATCCTGGCTATTCGGGAGGTTGAGGCAGGAGAATTGCCTGAACCCAGGAAGCAGAGGTTGCAGTGAGTCGAGATCATGCCACTGCACTCCAGCCTGAGTGACAGAGCAAGACTCCATCTCAAAAAAAGAAAAAAAAGAAAAAGAAAAAAATGGGAGGCAGGTTTGCCCTAAGCACTTCCCAGCTTGATTTCTTCCTTTAGCTTAGTGATTTGGGGAACCAAAAATTTTTCTTTCCACACCCTTAATATATCATAAAATGTTAATAAAATCAAAGGCCCTCCAAAATCAAATTCCTCCTATGATCCCTAAATATAAAATTAAATCAGAAAAAAGACAATTACAACATATAGCTAAAGCTATAAAGGAAAGGTCTGGCACCACACCTTCCCTTAAGTGTAGAATTTCTTTGACAGAACATGAAAGAAGCTTCAATCTTAGGCCCTTGGAAGCTGCTCCTTTGGCTATTCTTTGCAGCCTCCAGTTTCACCTTACACAAATTTAATGGGCTTCTTAGTAGACAAGACAAAGGAGATTTAGAACAATTGGCAACCCCAAACACCATAGAACTATAATTAAGACTCTGGCAAAAGTGAAAACAAACACTAATTCCCAACCACTCAGCGTGTACCATAGGTGTTCAGGTTTTGTATCAATTAAAATATGGCTTGGATGGATTTAGCCTTAATAGTATCCTATTTTCTCCCCATTCACTCAGATGAACTTCTTCTGAAGTCTTTAAGAAAGCAGGCTGTAAGAAATCAAGGAAATAAAATCTAATGAATCTAATGTTGGTGCACAGAAAGCCCCTGCTACAATTAAGTTGACCATAGGTGCCAGCTTGCTCAGTTGATACCTGTTTGCCCAGTATGAACATTGATAACATCGACTTTGGCTCAAAGGTGTGTCATTTCAAATGATGTTCCATGGTCACTTAAGATATAGTCCTTGCTAGTGTAACTGCCTTTGCAAAAATTACAATAATGGCAAAATAATGGCAGTGAAGATCTGATCTGGCTAAACCCCATCTTTCCTTTGGCCTTCAAGCTGCCTTTAATTATTCCTGGGCTTAGGCCAAGATAACTTTGGGAGCCATTTAGTTTATAGTTTAAATGATAATAGCCCTTCCCCAAAACTCAACCACCTTTGTAAAGTTAATGAGACACCACCAGGCTAGGTGGATGGAGAAGCCTGAATTCTGCTAAGTGTAGACATAAACAGTTGCCAGCCATTATATACAAGTGTTCACAAGATATGCAACTTCCCCAATTATTCCTGCAGATAACATCACCATTGTGGAACCTAAAATTAGCCTTTTGAGATATCTTTTCATGTTTTTTTGTATGTTGGACACCAATGGCTCCGCCCGGACCCACCAACTCCTCCTGTGGCCCCACAGAGACGTGACTCAGCATGCAAGAGGACCATTTCCCACATGGTTATGCCTCCAACAAATCAGCAGCAAGCACACATTGCCTAACCGCCCAAACCCCTCCCCACAAACCACCTTGGAAAAATCCCGGCCCTCAAATTCTCTGGGAGACTAATCTGACTGACAATAAAACTCTGGTCTCCTGTTCAGCTGCCTTTGTGCAAATTAAAGAGTTTATTGCAATTCCCCTGCCTTGATAAATTGACTGTATCTGGAGAGCAGACAAGAAGAACCCACTGGGCAGTTACACTACAGCAGCAACACCACCCACTAGAATACCCATGGTAACAGGCATGATGCTGACGTAACAGCTAAAACGAAGGTCTCCTCAAGGTTACCCTTTAGCAACGTTAGCTATAGCAACAAGAGCAATAGTAGAGCATTAAAGTATAGAGTTGAGATCAACACTAGTGGCTCCTGAAGGCAATCTTTCCAGTGCCCTGATTTAGGAAAGCCTGGATCATGCCACAGGAGGAGGAATAAGGGTGAGAGATGTTGCCAGCTCACTTGTGCACTGGTGAGGGCTGAAGACTAGAGACTAATTTAAACAGCATGTAGGTCACGGCTGGTATCCGAGAGGGAGAGAGTCTTTCCAGGGTTTATCCTTATGAATCTTTTAGATTTTGAGCATGTGAATCTAGATGTATTCAGGAATGAGAATGACATTCAAATGATATTAAAAAGAGCATGCAGAAAACCTAGATGGAAAGAAGAAAAAATAGTTAAATATTTTATAGTATATTTCATTCCAAATATTATACAAAGTAAAATTATTTTGTAAACATTGTGACATCAAGTTCTAGTTCAAGAAGGCTGACTAGAGACCAGACACCAGTTGTCATAAGAGGAACCAAGATTACTTACTTGTAATCATAACTCAAATAGAATATCAAGGGGAAAGTGTTGGAACCTAGTGGAGAACTCACAGGAAGAAGCTGGGGCACAGAAAAAGAGAAAAGCAAGAGGCTGGCAGAAATCAGCTGGGAACCCCAAGAGACTGGTATTTCATCAGAAAGATAGGTGGGAGTGTTTTGGCTCCCCTAATCCCTGTGGCTGACTTCTGATATCTTAACTGTCAGACAGCTCCTCTACCTTTGTGAGCCCAAACACTGGTATAGGCTGGTATAGACAGCAAATTGGTGACTTTTTGAGGGTATTATCAGACTACCAACTCCCTGCAGGTTATTCACCCTCTCTCTAACTTGAGGAGTGGTGACCAGGCACCATACTTGTGGTGAAGCTATCAGATAACTGTGTCTTACCCAGGGAATCTCAGCCCTTGTGTCTCCATATCATGGGAACCCCTGCAGACATTCCCTAGTGCCTGCTCAGATTATGTCAGCAGCAAAGGACTGGCTGGACCTAAGGAAGCTGCAGAATTTCCAGGGGTCTATCCCCTGGGGAGGGAGTCTGTCCCTGGGGAGGGAGTGCTGCTCCTAAAAAAAGGGAGAGTGCAGTTCATGAAGGGAGCACCTCTTGGGACAAAGAAAACCAGATCATGTATTTTTCAGTGCCCAGGTGTTCCCCGTTTGTGAGCTGTAAATGATGGTCCTGCTTCCAGCAGAGATACAGGTGCTGTGGTTGGCTCTGCAAGGGAGGACTGTAGTTCCATTCCAATGGCCAAGCAGCCTCTGTGCTCAGGCCCAGGCATAGAGAGGCGTACTTCTACTCTCCCTCTGCTCACTGCTACAAACACAGCTGTGGCCACTCCCATAGGAAGTTGGCATAAGCATGCTGGAGGACAGCCTTTCTGAGGTGACTAGGGGTAGCTGCATCCCCACTGGCAGTGTTCACACTAGGCCCAGAGTTATGTGAAAGGTGGGGCCCTGTCGCCTCTCTACACAAAGCACCAGTATTCCTGTAGTGGAGAGCTAGAGGGTTTTGTGTCTGGAGCTGAGGGGGGAGGTTCTGTACCACAGCCATTTTGACAATGAGCTTACAAGGCAGGTGTCTTTTATGGCCCTTGGCAGCATTGCAGCCCGGATATAGACAGGAGTGTCTGACAGAACTGTGTGTCCTGAGTACCAGGATAAGGGTGTGACAGAGAAATGGGTCATGTTCCTGCCTACCCAGGAAATAGAGCTGGGGCAACCCCACCCCCATACCCTGAGGATATCCCAACACATTTCACCATGAGCTTCCCAAGCACCTCTGTCAGGGCTGGTGCTTGTGCTTGCCAGTGGAGGATCCAAGGGTGAGCTTGTGCAGTCCAGCTCCAACTAGCCTCATACCCTTCTGTGGAGCTGAGTGGGAGCCCAGGCCACTGAGCATTCTGCAGACCAACCCATTGCCTGAGCCAACAAAGAGCTTCTCCGTGTAAACAAAGAACAAGCATCAATCCTTCCACTACCACCACATTTGGTTCTTACATGAAAGAACCACCTACTGGCTTGGAGGTTAAACTATACAACCCAATACTAAATCTGCTGCCACAAGTGTACAATGCATGGGAACAAGATAAGAAGCTTCTGGAGACCTCCACCATTCTGACCCTGCAGGAGGCCATGAGCCTGCTCACATGCCCCAGTACATTGCTACTACAACCAGCATTTGAGAAAGTAACCACATTAAGGATATCTACAACCAAGGCTCTACATACGGAGTCTTTACCACAGAAAGCACTCAGAACCAAAGCCAAGTGACCTTATGGAACATACATTATAGTCACATCCTCAAGGGAAGAAAAAAGTTCCATCCAAATAAAAAACTCAAAAATAAGAAGGGGAAATAATTTCTCCCTATGAGAAGGAACCAGTGAAACAATTCTGGAAGTATGAAAAAACAGAGTGTTGTGACACCCCTGAAGGATCACACTAACTCTTTAGCAAAAAATCCTAATGAAAATCAAATCTTTGAAATATCAGATAAATAATTCAAACTATTGATTTTAAAGAAGCTCAATGAGATCCAAGAGTAATAAAAAAAATACAAAGATATCAGAAAATCAAATCAGGAAAATGATCAAAAACTTGCCAAAGCAATAGATATTTTTTAAAAAGACAACTTCTAGAAATAAAAAGTTCATTGAGGGAATTAAAAAATACAGTAAAAAGCTTTAACAATTCACTAGGCCAAACAGAAGTAAGAATCTCAGAGCCACCATGGAATACGACTCAGCCATAAAAAATGTGAAATGATGCTACAATTATGTCTTTTGCAGGAACATGGATGGAACTAGAGGCCATTATCTTAAGCAAAATAACTGAGAAACAGAAAATCAAATACCAAGTTCTCACTTATAAGTGGGAGCTAAATAGCATACACATGGACAGAGAGAGTGGAATAGGCATTGAATACTTGGGAAGGTGGGAGGGTTAGAGGAGGGTAAGAAATGAGAAATTACCTAATGGGTACAATGTACACTATCAGGGTGATGGTTACATTAAAAGCACAGACTTCACCACGATGCAAAATATCCATGTCACAAAACTACGCTTGTGCTCTCTAAATCAATTTTTTAAAAATATTGTAAAATTATATAGAAAAGTAGTTATAATGTTAAGTGAATAAAATATTTTACATATGCATATGAATAATATCATTATGGCTATATTAAAAGGTATTCATGGAAAAACTGGAAGAACATTAACGAAAATGTAACTAATGATTATCTTTTAGTAGTAAAAGTATGGGTGGAATTTCCCTAAATTTTACTTTTTTGCATTTTCTTAATTTTCTTGAATAATCTATACAGTTTCCATAATGTAAGCTTCCAAAATGAATCTTCTACTTTGGTTGTTGTGCATCTATTGAACAAAACTCAAAGAAACAATAAGCAGATTTCTGTCCAGGTTCTGTCTTCTTAAAGCTCTAAAAGGATTTTTTTTTTAAATAAAGGACATTTCTCTATTCCATTAATTTTTTTCCACTATCTTCCTTCACAGAAAAAAACTCTCCAATGAATCGTCTACACCTACACCATGTCTGTATTTTATCATCTGCTTCCAGCTTCCTGACCTGCTTAAATCTGACTTCTCACTTCTTCTGCCCTTGTATGGTCACGAGTTACTTCAGTGTCACTAAATCCAATGAACACTTTTTCAGTACTATCACTTGATCTCTCCTCCTTGAAACACGGATTTCATTAAGTTTCCATGACACCACACTTATGATTTTTCTCATACTTTGGTGTTTGGCACTTTTTAGTCTTATGTGTCAGCTTAATCTTTTTTGTCCAAACTTCAAATGGGCAAAAATTAAATGGTCAGTCATAGACTCTTCTCTCACTCTATAGTGTTGCAGAGATTACAGTATCTATCTCCATCACTTTAATTATCATAATTAGGTTGGAAATTCACATATTTGTATTCCTGACATAGTTCTCTAGCCTCATTTGCAAATACCCAACTGTCTACTCAACATGTACACTAAGATGCTATCTATGTACTGCACCACAATCTGCAAACTGAAATAATGTCATTGGCCCCCTTCTAATAAGCTCCCTCCCTGATGTCCTTTATATTGCCGAATGATGTAGTCATCCACCCAGTTGCTTAATAAAAAAATCAGCAGGTTATATTTGTTGTCTCCACCTCCTCTTCAAATTTATTCTAGCACCAAGTCCTGTTGATGCTATGTCACAAATAAATCTTCAATTTGGCCACCTGTCTGCATCTGCCTTGTTGAAACCAAACATAGTTTTTATGCTCACAACCAAAACCATCTCCTAATCCTCATGATGTGTCACAACATCAGTTTCATGGATCAGCATTTCAAAATTAAAATAAAGTAGAATGGAATACTATAGAAGAGAAGAATGGCAAAGAGGAGAGAATATTGTATAAATTGTTAAGCATTTTTATAAAAATTTTGTTTTAGCTGCAAGTGTGCTATGTGCTACATGTGGTTTGTTGTAAAAACTATTGTTATTTTTGTGGGTAGCATTAACAACAGACCAGAAAAACACTGTCCTAACTACTATGCTTCTGCTTTGCACTTTCTAATCTGTTCTCTAAATTTCCAAAAATGCTACAAGAATAATCTTTAACAATTGCAGATTTGATTATGCCATTCCCCCATATAAACAGTCCTTGTGCTTTCCTAGTGCCTTTTGAATAAAATTGAATTTAAATGTCAATTTAAATTCTGCACTATCAGGCATCTTCCTCTCTCTGAAACTTGCAGGACACTGTTCCTCACTTTCAATAATCGAGGAACATTGATCATCTTTGTGTTCAAAAACATTCTGCATTCTCTGGCCTCTGGTCTTATGTTCTGTACTCTCCTTGAGATCTGTACCCATTTATCCTTCAACTCTCAAGATCTTCCAGTTATGCAGATCTCAGCTTCCACATCACTTTCTCCTGAAAGTTTTACCGAATTTATCCAGATTCTTTTTCCTGTTTTGTGTTCTAGTAGCCTGTTGCTCTTAATGTTGTTAAACTTAATATGTAATCAGCCTGCACCCTGTACACAGCAGCTGACTTCCTTGAGGACTATGAGTTTTCCCTGGAGAGTGGTTACTGTCTTGTTTGCTAGACCAAGTGCTCAGCATAGTCTCTGCCTTGTAGTGAGCACTCAGTAAGTGTACACTGAATAAATAAATGAACTTCATGAAAAATATGGAAGCCACCAAAAGAAACTCTTTGTATTTCCCATCATAAAATCTACAAAAAATACACTTATCCACACCCATTTTTTTTTTCCTCTCTGAGTATGTGTATTTGTGTATCCCTTTTCTCATCGAAGGTAATCATGCAATGTAGTGAATCCCATCACTATCTACCTCTGAGATAACTCACTCTATTGATTATACCCTTTATCTCATTTGTATTCATTCTTTCCATTACTCCTGGATCTTTCTGGTTAGATTTTATACATGTTTATAATACTTACATCTTAAAACAAATAAATGAACAAGACTCTCGAAACTCTAAATCTCCCTTCAACTACCAATCAATACTAATTTTAAGAGTTCTGCTGAAAGGAGAGACTTGCACAATTACAGAAAGCTTATTTGGGAGGTGATTTCAGAAAGCTGCAATGAATGAACAGAAAAGGAAAAAAGGTCAACATAGGAGCACTGTATCCTGGTCATCACGATGCGACCTTCTAAGAGAAAAGAGAATACCTTTCAGAACTGTGTGCCTGAAGGATGGTATGCAAGAGCATTTGTCCACTAGCTCCTCTAACCCAGAGATTAAGAGTCCCTTAATCTCTGGGTTAACACCACTGAACTGCAGAGCCATGCCCATTCACTCAGCAGCAGAGTAGGCTCTCAGACAAAAGCAGAACAACTCGCAGCATGCCATTTGGGACTCTCCAATGTGTTTCAATCTGAACTCATGACGTATCACTCTACTGGCATTGCTCTCAACACTGGCAACTTGTAGGAGACAAACAGAATGATATCAATGCACCAGCACCAAACATCACAGTTCAATCAGTGGCAGCACATGGTGCAGAAAAGCAGTAGTTTAGGAGATGATATGGTGGTCCAGTCTTGATTTTCTCTGACCTTCAGCAGTATTTGCAGTATTTGGCTCAGTTGCCTACGTACTTCTTCTCAAAACACCGTCTTCCTTTTTTTTTTTTATTTCCATGACATGATTTTCCTTGTTTTCCTGAAATTCCCTTGTGGCTTTCTCAGTCTCCTATGCAGATTTCTGTTACTTTAAACATTGAGGTTTCCTAGGATTAGGACCTAGACTCTGCTCTTCACATTTCATTCTTTCATTTTTAGTGCTGCCTAATTGTTCTATAGCTCTATTATCTTTTTTACAATTACTTGTTTAATGTTTGCCTATTTCACAAGATTGTTATTTCCAAAGCACCATATTTTTCTCAACCCCATCGTAAAGCACAAAGGAGAAATACATTACATCTACTTAATCAGGAGTCCATGGTTTTCGGCCCTACTACCCTCTGGACCTGCCCAATTGCTCTCCCATTCGCAGTTGCCTGTCCTTGTAGAAACTAACCACAGGGAAAATAGGGCAAGCCTATGATTATTCGGCAATATATATTACTATTCTCAGCAGAGTGCCAAAAGCCATTTAAAGCCCAGCTTCAGAATCATTTTCAAACACTATTTGGCTCTTCACAGTGATATTTACTCATAAAATAACCCCATCTTCAATCATCTGCAAGTAGTGAAGTGTGATTAAAGCATCATTAGCTGGATTTTTGGTTATGGAAAAGATGGAACAACTCCACTTTTTAAAAAAGTGCAAACAATATAATAAAAGTATTAGATGATTTCTGAGGGAAAAAGAAAAGTTTTTTTCCTGTTCAGTTTTTATACATTATAAACAGGTAAGGAAAGCCCATCTAGGACTTGGAAATGCTGACGAAGCAAAAATTGCTGGTCAATTAGGAGACAAAGAGTTCCTTCAAAAGAAAAACACCTCTTGTGACCCTTCTTTTGTTGTGATAAAAGGTTTGCGGTGGTTATAGGGGAAGTGATGCTTACTAGGTAAAAAATTAATTATATTCAAATGTGCATGTGTCATGGGTGAGTGGACTGAAGATTTTCCTGAACCAATGTAATATTTTGATGAGCATACAGGAAGACATATGTACGTATACATTTTGAATATTTACTGAGGCAGTTTATTATCTCTAACTAACTTAGAATATTACATTTCATTATCTAGGTAAAGCAATGAACTCAAAGCCACCAATAGATTATTGGTGTATATAAATGCAGAGTCTAAAAATAGCTAAGCCATCATAAATATTGTTGTCATGATTTATTAATTTAAAGTACTAATGAGTCATTAAAACTCTTCTAACTAGCCTCTGTCATCAATCAACAAATATTCACTGAACAGTTATTAGGTATCTTCATGCTCCCACTTTGCTATAGAATAGCACAGGAAGGAAAAGACAACAAGAACCAATTAATTCTAGATAGGAGACTAATCTAAAATTTTGAATTATTTGCCTTGGGTATGGACATTGATCTTAGGAAGGAAAATTTAAAAGACCAAATTGCTTTACAATTTACTGCAGATATTCACAAACAAACAAAGCTGCTAATTAATGCAGTAGCCATGCAACAAATAAAAGGGATTGGGCATGGTGTGAAAAACAGAATAAACAAGTATTCTGTGCTTCTGAAGAAAAATCTGTTTCTAGAGGAATCTACCATTGTTTTGGTGCTACCTTTGCTCTGACAAAAATGATGAGACTTTTCTCTGCTAATTTACACTTCTTTTTCATTCTTTTCTTTCTTTTTTTTTCTTTTTTTGTGTGTGAGACAAGTTCTCTCTCTGTCACCCAGGCTGGCATGCAGTGGCATGATCATGGCTCGCCATAGCCTCAACTTCCTGGGTTCAAGCCACCCTCCCATCTCAGCCTCCCAAGTAGCTGGAGCTACAAGTATGTGCTACCACACCCAACTATTTGTTTTTACTTTTCATAGAGACAGGGTCTCGCTATGTTGCCCAGGCTGGTCTCAAACTTCTAGTCTCAAGTGATCCCCCTGCCTCAACCTCCCAAAGTGCTAGAATTGCAGATAGAAGCCATTGTGCCCAGCCAAGTTTCATTTTTTAACTAGGCTAATTCAAACTGACTTTTGTTTTCAGTGACATGAGGATAAGCATTTTAATATATGGTGATCGCAAGCATGTGATTAAAGTGTCAGTGTCCCACTACAAAATTTTTATACTCCATTTTTCCCAAAAAATACCTTTTCATCAAAACATTTATTTCCTTTATAGATAGACTATTTCCTTATATTCAAAAGTAAAGGATATTATGATTTGACAGAATATTTGGTGAAAACAATAGTTAATTAACTTCTACCCTATCCATGTAAAAGTGTTATAATAAATATAAATATCCTCTGAAAAAGCACACATTTTATAATTTAAAAATGTTTTATAAATAAATAGTTCATCTCTGTGTTAGTTCATTTTCATACTGCTATAAAAAACTGTCTGAGATTGGGTGATATATAAAGGATAGAGGTTAAATTGATTCACAGTTCAGCATGGCTGGAGAGGCCACAGGAGACTTACAATCATAGCGGAAGGCAAAGGGGAAGCAAGACATCTTCTTCCCAAGGCGGCAGGAAGAAGTGCTTAGTGAAGGGAAAGAGGCCCTTATAAAACCTTCAGATCTCATGAGAATTCACTCACTATCAAGAGGACAGGATGGGGAAAACTGCCCCCATGGTTAAATTACCTCCACCTTGTCTCTCCCTTGACACGTGGGGATTATGGGGGTTACAATTCAAGATGAGATTTCAGGTGGAGACACATCCAAGCTATATCAATCTCCTTAATAATTGCTACATAGATTATAAAACATCCCAATCCCCAAACTGTATTTCAATCAACACAATTACCAAATTACCAATAAAATCGAAAAGTAAAATTTCCTATATGAATCTTTATGTACCAGTGCCAGAAGTTTTAGCATTCTTCTTTTGATTGTGAATAAGTGGAATTGGTGGAATTGTAATTAGGGTTGCATGGTAAGACAATGCTCATGGTAAGACAACTAACATGGGAAAAAACATAAGGCATGAGGTTTTTCTCAGTCTCTTGATAGATCATTTGCCTTTCAGTGCCCCAAGTGAGAAAGGAAAAGCTATAATGGTGTATCATGTTGTGATGTGATGGTCTTTGGATGTGTAAATATAGCTAAGCTATAGACTGCAGTAATCAATCAAATACATACAAATCCAGCTGTTGCAGTAAGGTTTTTTTTTTTTGTAGCTGTGATTAAAGTTCGTAATCAACTGACTTTAACTAAGGGAGACCATTCTTGATAATGTGAATGGGCCTTACTCAATCAGGTGCAAGGCCTTAAAAGCACCGCTAAGGTTTTCCCAAAGAAGAAGAAATGTGAGCAGGACTTTCCCCACCCATACCACCATGGCCAAGTGTTCTAGCCTGCCCTATGAATTTCAAACTTGCATCTCCAACTCCCACAAATGTTTAAGCCAATTCTTTGCAAAAATATTTTAATGCATATCTCCGACTGATTCTGCTTCTCTGGTTGAACCCCTGACAACTCCCCATCATCTTGGTTGTAGAGGAGGAGGCCAGACACTTCAATGTAAAGAAGCCACAGTCAGGTGGTTTCTATGGGCCTTGACATAATTAATAAGCCATGTTCTACCTCCTCAAATGGTGCTTCAAGCTTAGCTTTAATCTTTGAAACTATTCAAAGAGAAAGAACACTAGAAAAAAGCTGAAAAAATAGCCTAGGTAATGTATAATAATTTTTTAATGTTATCTTGAGTAGAAAACTACAGAACTTTTTTGAAAAATCTTTCTGACTGATGTCTCTATAGAGTTCTGTACATTTTACTCACCCATTGATAAAAAATAACCTATTGGGCACTGGGAAGGAGAAAGATAATTCTCCTGAACCTAGGTCAATAAATTCCTAAACCCCTTTTCATTTTATAAAGCATAGGTGAACTCCCATATTAAAAGGGATTATTTGTGTTCAATAATCAAATTCTTTTAAATAAACTATTTTTCTATTACCGTCTTAATTTACACTTAAATTGATTTTTTACATGCACATATATATCTATATGAATATACATATGGTACAAGGGACATGGCTGTGCTTTGGTCAAGGATAGGCTGAGGTAGGATATTTACATCAGCGACTTTAGAGCATAGGCATATAACTCCACTTGTTATTACAGCCATGTAGCCATAACATGGGAAGGCCATCACTTGGCTCTACACCAGTATTATCTGTAAAATGTATAATTGCCCTGTTAACACTGTGTAGGTGCGTTGGTTCCCACAGAAAGAGAGTCAGAGGTGTCTGTCTTTGCAGACAGACAGAAGGGAGCCAGGACACAGCTTGGCTCACTCATGCCCAGAGAGAGAAAGAGCTAAGCTGCTGACCCTGAAGGCAAGGGAGAGCTGGACACGCAGCTGTGTATGGGGGCCGCCGGACTAAACAGTCAAGACAGGGTGAACAATGTGAGGAAAAGCTGTTATGAGAGCTGCTGCTGAATAAAATCATCTTTCACTGCCTACGGCCCCTAGAGTGTTCTTTCTGCTCATTCACCCACTCCCTTCAGACCTCAGGATGGGCTGGAACCCAACCTCAAGCATAACAATTGGCATAGTCGTGAACCTGACATATGTTTATGCAATTTGGCAAATATATGGATTTGAGAAATCATGCTAGGGTTAAGGATTGTGTGCTCCATCATGATTATGTGTTGCATCATAAAACCCATGACCAAAAAATAGATAATAAACTGATTTATACGTATGAAAATATTTGAAGTCTCATTGCACCTGTCTTATAATATCCCTTTCTCAGGACTAATGATATGAAAATTCAGGATTAAAGATCAAAACCCATAAATCATAAAGAAAATGACACCTGTTTTTCTTCTTATAAATCATTTTCCAGTATAACAGTGCACTGGATCAATCCATCATGACTGAAGCTAAATACAACATTAGTTTCCAAAGATATGCACAGTTTTAGTACTCCACAAAAGCTCATTAATTTTCTTCACAGGTATTTGAGAATACAACCATCAATGGTGTAATGAGTGAAAGGAATTTACTAGAACATCTTGATTTTTATTTTAATGAGGAGAAAGGGTAAAGCATATAGGTATTCCACCGATCTGATTCACAAACACCTCCAAATTAGGAATGTTGTTGTATTTGTTATAAAAAGACAAGTTTTGTAACTAAGCAACATTTTCTAAAGAAACTATTATGATTAGGGTCTGAAGTCCCTGAACTATCTAAGTGTAACATATTTGAAGTATAGAATACATAATTTTAGCCTGAGTTTGTAGCCTGGGAAATAAGGATCTCAATTTTCAAACAGGGGAAACAGGAGGAGGAGAAAAAGAAAAGTTGAGAGGGAAAAGAAAGGAGATAAAGAATGGGGTGGAGAAGAAATGCATTGCTTATTTCTAAATGTCATATTTACCCTCTTTTCTAACCCCTCAGTCCATTTTCTCAAATATCTAAGTAACTCACCTGCTCTAAGCAGCACTATCCAAGGCCCACTCCAAGTTTTCCTCCTAAATCTTAAGGTCATGCAGCTTTAAAAGATAAGGCCTACTAATTCTTAAAATCAGTGACTTTAAAACGATTGCAGTGACTTTAAAATGATTGGAAGTTTAAGAAAATACAATAAAACAGTTTTTTTGGACAGAAGAAAATATCCAGATATTAAGTTGGTGCAGCCTATAAGGCATTTATTTATTCATTCACTTCATTTATTCAATAAACATCTAAGTGCTTCTTGCCTTGAAAGACATTACTTAATGTTAGTTTCGTCTAACATATGCCTTCTCTTTTCAGTGTCTTGCCTTCTCTTACTGTGAACTTCACAGACTCTCTTAAAATGTCTCAGTTTTAATGTTTAGTTTTTTGCTTGTTTCCATCACGGCCCATATGTCAGTAAAAGCAGAGGCTCCTTCTGGTAGAAGTAGATGAGGTGCAGCGATTTGTACAGAGGGTCAGGAAGAACCTCATCTGTTACCCTCCGTTAATGTATACTCCTGACAAATTGACTAGGTCAGAAGACTTACATAAAAATTTAATTTACTGGTTAATCAAGTGGACAAAAGAGCATGCTGGATATTTAAAACCCTGAAAAAAAAGCACACTAATTACATCAGAGAACTCTCTATCAAAGAACTAATCATTCCTAAACCATATTGAGTTCATTGTGCCCCAATATTTTTGTCACCCAAGAGACAGAGACCTCTGCTTCTCATGAGTCCTGTATTTGAAAGAGAAATTTTCTGTGAAATAAATGACATTTATTAACTAATGATGACTTTATCACTTATTAATCAAAGACATCTACAACTGCTAATCAGAATTTCTGATAGGGTATTTGCAATCAGATTCTGCATAGCCAAAATTACAAGAAATTACACTAGTCCCTGATACAGGTTTTTCTTACAAGAAACAATTGTATTGATTGTAATAGTCTAATATTAGAGGTGTATTTATTCAAAAAATTCAAATTACACTCAATTTCAAAAAATTAGAGAGATAAAGTCATACTTTATATTAAATGTTTATATTATTTCAAGCATTAAATTCACAAAATCACCATGAAAATATATTTTTCCAGTTATGTGGAGTAAGAATGAACAAAAATCATTTAAAAAACAGATATGGCTTAGCAAATGTTCTTCCAGGCTTTCTAATTATGTGTTATTCTTTCTTTATAGTAGTGCAGAAAATTCAAGTATGGTAAAAAATACCTCATCAGTTGCTTGATTGGAAGAACTAATTTAGACTGAACAGGAATGTGCTTGCAGAAAAGGAGAAATGACCTTGTATAGCATGATACGTACCTACTTATTTACTTTGAAGAGTTTCTAAGTAATTTTCAATTATAATATGATCAATCCTACATAAATTTCTGTTTCTGTTTTATCCGATCATATTCATTCACAGAACCTATATTATTGAGGATGATGAAATTTTACAAACTTTCAAAATGTAATAATGTATTACACAATGTTTAATAACATGAAAATGAGCAACTTCATGCATTAACATATATTCATTCCACGAATAACTTTAAGTGTCTACCAGGTGTCAGACACTGAGAAAATTATACCAACTAAAACAGACACATCTCCATCCTACTAGAGCTTAGAGAATTGGCTTCATTACAAAAGCTGGCATTGACATTTTAAGTGTTGTGTTTCAGACACTGTCTACACAATTAAATGTACTAACTATAATTAATTTACTTTTTCAGTAAATTACTCAATAACACTGGCTGACTCTACCTTAAAATTATTTAGATCCTATCGTCTGTGGCAACATGGGTGAATTTGAAAGACACTATGTTACAGGAAGTAAACCAGGCACAGAAATACAAACATTGCATGATCTCATTTATATGTGGAATCTAAAAGAGTGAGTTCATAGAAATAGAGAGAACAGTGTTTATTGGAGACTCAGGAGGATAGGGATGATGGAAGATTGGGAGATGTTGGTCAATGGGTACAAATTTAGACAGACAGGAAGAATAGGTTCTGCTGTTCTATAACACAGGAGGGTGACTATGCAAATACCAATGTAGTGTATATTTCAAGATAGCTAGAAGAGGTTTTGAATGTTGTCACCACAAAGAAATAATAAGTGTTTAAAGTGATGGATGTGGTGATTACCCCGATTTGATTATTATGCAATGTATACATCCATTGAAACATCATACTGTATATAAATATGAGCAATTATTATGTGCCAATTATAAATGTAAACAATTATTAATAAAAAGCATTTAAGAAGATGCCGTAATTTAACAAAAAATATTTTTTTAAAAAAGAGCAGTAAATATTTTTAATTTAGAGATATAATACTTATACATAAATAGCAGCAACTGAACCAAATTTCTACAATCAGGACTTAAAATTAAGTTGTTGAATTTTTTAATAAAGAGTTAATGATCAAATAGAATGACATTAAGAAAGTTTCATAAGAACTTCAAGGCCAAAAATGTATTGCTTTTTCTGCTTACCTGTCAATCAGCTTGGAATTCATAGAGTCCTATCATTCACTACCTCTTGCTGGAACTGTTTACATAAACCAGTCTATTTATTTAAATATTTTTCTTCTGAATTGCAATATTTTTATCTTTAATTTTATCTTGAGCTACTAGCATTTTATCTTCCTTTAAAAATTAAATTCTGTTTCCTGCTAAGATATATTTGTAAAATTTTTTAAATCTTTAAGAGTAATGACAAAAATTCTTATCCTAAAATGTAAGATTGCTAACAGTCTGACCACAACCTAACTTTCTCTTGATCTCAGAATTTCCCCTCCTCAGAGATCATGTAGAAGACTAGAACAGCCTCGTCTCAAAGACAGAGGATCTTTGTTCTATTTCTGATTGTGCCACTGAATTTTTGAATGAACTTTGTCCTCCTCCTCCTCCCACTCCTGTCCTTTCTTTCTTCTTCATCCTTTTATCACCATTACCATTTCAAATGAAATCTATTATTTAACTCTTCACAGTGAAGAGGTATTAACTGAGTGTTTTGGGATGTTTGCTAAGAAATTAGAGTGTAGAGACCTGCTTACTTTTCTGTCCACTTCCTTCCTGGTCCTCTCTGACATATCTCCAGGAAAATCTTAGGGCCTGCTGAAGAAAACTCTAGGACTAGACGAATCTCTTCTATCCCATCTAGCAGAATTTCTCCACTTCTTTTCTAAAACAAGTTTATTAATGATTCTGCTAGTTTCCTACTTCCTTTATTAAATCTATCTCAGAAGCTGTAATCCAAAGATATTTTTCTTTATTAAATCAACACACTCTCTGTTATATTTACTATGCAGCATTTTTCAAAGTGTCTTTAGGAAGCTGTTAGATATTGATAGTTGTTAGGAAAAAATTAAATGAGAGAGAAATAAAGAGAGACAGAGAAAGTGTGACCAATCTATGTCAAATTAGTATGGGAACAACTGGTATGAACAAGATTTACCTGGGATCTTTACTTCAGAAACTCTCAAATATTTTATATTGTGTTTAAGATTCTATATGATGAAGATTTATATGGACTTCTTTATGTACCCCATCATGTCTCATTGTTCATTTGGCTGCTTTTCATGATCTGAATGCCCTGGACACAGTCTTCTTGATAGGATGCCATTCTTTTTTCAGTAACAAAGTGGTGAATGTGAGACAAGCTATGCTTCCTTTAAATACTTTCACCCTTAATTATCCACAAATTTTATATATGTGTGTGTGGCAACCTAAGGAAAATTCTGGGAGTTAGAGGTAACTTAGCACATCACAGCAAGGTTAGCAATCTAAAATATAGTATTAGAAATCCCTGTTCTTACAGCTTGTCAATGCTGCTCATCTCTGGGAATTATTTAAATGGCTTCTATAAGAGATTAAAGCACATTTTCAAAAATTCCTTCCACTAAAAGGTGGAGTCTTATTTACCTCTCCTGGAATCTGGGTTGGCCTTATTTGCCTACAGCTTGCTTTATCTACAGCAAAATGAAACTATTCTAGTTATGGGCTAGCCTTTTATAAGAGGCCTGGATCCTTCCACCTTTTATCTTTGAGTCCTAGGACCCCATGTAAGAACTCCAACTACTGTGATGCGAGGATTCCCTCATCACACAGAGTGAGATAACACAGAGGTGCTCAATTGGCAACTCCGGCTAAGCAATGGGCCAACAGGGAGTGTCCATGGTCAGCCCAGCCCATCCTTCAGATGACTTCAGTCCCAGCTGCTATCTGTCTACAAACACTTGAGCGATCCCGGATGAAACTACCTAGCTAAAAGCAGGCATACCACAAAACCATAAGAGATAATGAGTTGTGGTTTCAAGCCACTCAGTTATGGGATGGCTTGTTTAACACCAATAATATATAAATGGAATCGATAAATGGATAAATGGAATAGCTACTAATACTTCTCTCCACTCTAATAGCACCTCACTATTATATAATTATACATTAACATTAACCAATGCCTTTTATAACTCCTGCATTTTTATTCCCATTTTTACAGTAGGTATATTTTTGTACAATCACGTAGCTCAGAGGAAGGAATAGCCATCATGTATGGGGTAGTTCTTTCAAATAAGGAATTCAAGAAATCCAAACATGTAGGAGGCAAAGTAGAGCAATCACAGACTCTATAAATTAAAGTAAGAGCTACAAAGCTCATACACATGGATGTTCTCACAAGGGCTGCTATTGCATTTGTAGTCTCACATGCATAGATTACAGTTGCCCTCAATCATGTCCATTTTAAAAACAAAGGATCTTAACAATACTTCCAGAATGTGAAAAACATTAAAAGTGAAATATAAAAATGGTTCTCTTGGTACAAAGTATTAAGTGCATTTCAGAAGTCAGCATTATTTCTAACACAAAATTTTTACCAGAGTTTTTATAAGCCGATAAATGAATAATAGTATAAAATATACAAAACTATAGAATACTACACATGGATTAAAGTTGTAGATCCTTAACACTTTAGGAGAATGAGAGGTATTATATATAAACTAAATCATAAAAGAATAATTGATTTCAGGTAGAAATCTTCTAGTCTATTATCAGCATTAGATGAAATAGTAAATTTATTTTTTCTTACGTTGTATAAAGTATAGGGGTTTTTAACACATGTTTTATGAATCATTATGAAGTCTTTGGATAGGCATTATACATAAATATCTAAAATTCTGTGCTTATTTGTATGTGTGCATTATCTGTGTAGATGACCCATGTCTTTCATCAGATTTTCAGAGAAAAGAAGCCTAGATGGTTTCAAATTATAACTAGAATTTAATTAAAAAGAATTCACCACAGAGTAAAAGCTACCTGAAAGAACACCAGAATAAAATAGACACGATATTAGAATAGATTATGGAACACTTTTGTTTCTATGTAAACCTTATCTCTCAATGTTATAGAAGCCTCTCCTCTGGGACTGACCATACCACCCTGGTTTATTGCACTACTATAATTTTAGTTCCCAGCCTTCTGGCAGCATATAGTATTTATTGCCTATCTAGCTCGGGTTTGTGTAATAGATGAGACTCAGGAGGGAAAGTTTCATCTTTTCTATTATCTTTTGTAAACTGCAATGTTGATCACTTGTAAGACAGTAATAATTCAGTTAAAGTGTCATAAATATATATGTGACATAGAATGGTCTACATGGTGCATTCAGACAGAAATAGCTTAGATGTACGATGCTTATGTTGACAGTTTGAAGTTAGAGACTTTGGATCTAGAGATCCTAATAAGCAAGGAATGAATAACCACTAACTATTACTATTTTCACTCTACACACCCTGACGGATCCTTCGGTGACACAGAATAACAACTTCCACCAAAGTTAGAGAAAATATTGACAAATGAAGGTAAGGGCAATTAAATCCAGGTGTATTTGGGCGCTCTGCCATGTTGATAGGAAAAATACCTGAGACACTAATTGGGTATACACTGTAACTAACCCAGAGGAGGAAGTTGACTTTGTTCATCAGCACATGCACATCATTCTAGAGAATATGCTAATACATTGAGGGGAAGAAGAAAATAATTGATAACACTGGCCCTCTAGTCTCTTATGAATGTATATTTAGGAAGTGGAAAAGGGATTTTTGTCTTTTACTTATTTATTCAATTTATTTGCTCTGACACCAAGGATATCAATATGGGGGGACCTGAAGGCATTGTTCACGGAAGACAACATAAAGGATACTCTGTTATTCTGGAAGAAAAAATGGATTAAAATTATCATAAAAATTTAACTGTAAAGAACTTTCTGACTAAAATAATTTTTTTACTAAAACTGTGGCTAAGTGATTATAAACGTTGTTACTGAAAGTGTATTCCTGAAATGAAGACTGATATCCATTTGTTGGGAATTATATAGACATTATTATATACACATTCAGCAATCAACAGACATTTCCTTGGACTCTCTATTAATCCTGGGAGTGTGTGTGTTATGTGTGTGTCCTCAGATATATACTCAACTATATTTAACTTCTCCATAAAGAACATGAACACATTAAGTAATTAATGCTTGTCAGTTACTTTGAGTGAATGCCATTTGAAGCAAGTGCTATATCTGTGTTAAGTAACAATAATAATCAAGATAATGGGCTGTCCAATTATGTAGGTTATTTGCTAGCAGTTTTAAAACACACTGTATGTTTGCTAGGATGTAGATATTTATTTATTTTTTCTTAAGAAGGAAGACAAGCATTCATCAATGTAAAAGAAAATTTTTTTTAATATGAGAGGCATGCTGATTTATGTAATGATTCTAAAATTGTCTAATACCTACAGCACAGTCAATCAAGCTGTAGTCAATACGCTAAAGAGTAAGAGAAGGGCCAGTTCCTTGGCATTCCTTCTATTGGTTATTTCAGGATTGGAAAAACTTGCAAACCATTCTCATGCAGGAAAGCCGTCTTATTTCCCAGGTCACTTGGTCTTTCACAGACTTTTTACATAATTATTATCAGATTGCTGTAACTATAAAATTCATTTTAGTCCATTTATTCAACATACTTCTGAAATACTATTGAAATAAAGGAGGCTGGGTGCAGTGGCTCATGTCTAAAATCCCAGCAATTTGTGAGGCTGAGGTGGGCAGATCACCTGAGGTTAGCAGTTCCAGACCAGCCTGCCAACATGGTGAAACCCCGTCACTACTAAAAATAAAAAAATTAGCTGGGTATGGTGATGGGCGCCTGTAATCCCAGTTACCCAGCTACTCGCGAGGCTGAGGCAGGAGCATCGCTTGAACTGAGGAGACGGAGATTTCAGTGAGCTGAGATTGTGCCACTGCACTCCAGCGTGGGTGACAGAATGAAACTCCATCTCAAAAAAAAAAGAAAAGAAAAAAAAAAGTAAGGAGTCAAAGCAACAGGCGGCCAGAAATCCCTTTGCTCCCCTGTGGAAGACGTCAGTGAAACTGGGAAGAGGGAAGGCAGGTGACAGTAATTTCCTTTTCAAATGGACTTTCTCAAATAAGTAAACTAATGACATTTGGTAAGCATATTCCTTATCTCTAAAAGGCCCGTAGGAAGATTTCTGTGGCTAAGAATTACCTAGAATGAATAAAACCCGGGGTCAATTACATAAGGCTCTCTGAAGAGTGTCACCTGAACTATACAACTCTGGTCTATAAAGTACCTCTTTAAGATTCCTCATAGTATAAGAAATCCCATAAACCTCACCTGCAGACCTCATCTACTCTTGGCCAAAAGTGCATGTCCAATGTGGGAAGCAAGACCTAGTCAGCTGTCCTTGACATCCCAGATCTCTGCTTCATGTGCACTTTTCGATGGCTTATAATTTTGACATTATTTAATAAAGCCTGATATTGGGTAAGATCCTTGACTTAACAATTCCATGTAATTGTTATATTTTTCTTTCCAATTTTCTACTGCAAGAGCCTCTGTCAAACTATTTGTATATAAGTTGTCTTTTATCTCCCATTTTAATAAGCATATGTAACTGTTATGTTCATACTTTTTGCTTTCTACTGTCTTTTAAATAAATTAAATGAAATTTAAAAAAAAAGAAAAAAACCTCTGGGAGATAAATAATTTGAGACCAACATATTTTTCTCTAAAAACTCCTTTGTAAAAACTTCTTTGTTCTAGACAAGAGCCAAGGCCTAAAACCCTGAGCAAGATGCATGTCAGATAAACACTACTGGTGGTATTCACAACGCTAGCAAAACAAGGTGGATGTTTCCACACTGTTCCCCATAACCCAGGCCTTTAACAATACTTATCAGCTCAGACTCTCCTGTTTTCATTTTATATTCCTCACTCTATGAATCATAGCTCTGATTATACAACTTGCATCTTAAAATCTTTAGTGGTGGCTGGGCGTGGTGGCTCACGCCTGTAATCCCAGCACTTTGGGAGGCCGAGGTGGGTGGATCACCTGAGGTCAGGAGTTCGAGACCAGCCTGGCCAGCACCCCGTCTCTACTAAAAATATAAAAACTAGCTGGGTGTGGTGGTGAGCACCTGTAATCCCAGCTACTCAGGAGGCTGAGGCAGGAGAATTGCTTGAAACTAGGAGACAGAGGTTGCAGTGAGCTGACACGGTGCCACTGCACTCCAGCCTCAGTGACAGAGTGAGACTCTGTCTCTTTAGTGGCCCAACACTGCTTACAGTGTAAAGTCTAACCTTCTGATTACAGCCACAAGATGTTCAACACCATGATCTCAGTTATCTGGAAAAGAGGATGTTACAAGCTTTTCTATATAATTTACCTCTGTTGCACCAAACTATTTAGTGTTCTCAGAACACTATGCTTCAATCCAGGGCAGTTTCTCAATTTTGGTGTTCCTGTGGCTCCTTAATGCTATATATCACAACCACTGTCATAGTGTTTAGTTATAAAGACTGTGCACTGCACAAGGACACCATATTACCTTATAAACATCATAGTAAATGTCTTGTTCTAACAAAATGATCAGAATAGACCATATCCCTTTGTCTCTATTTAGAAATGTCAAACCATCTTGATTAACAAGCTTATCGAAATCATATGAAGCAGAAGAGACACTTTTTCTGAAAATAAATGGTGGAGGGCAGAGTGAAAAAAAATTGTAGATGCTTTTGGGCTGGGTGCAGTGGCTCATGCCTATAATCCTAGCATTTTGGGAGGCCAAACTGAGCACATCTCTTGAGGCCAGGAGTTCAAGGCCAGCCTGGCCAACATGGCGAAAACCGTCTCTATTAAAAATACAAAAATTATCCGGGCGTGGTGATGAGTGCCTGTAGTCCCAGCTACTCGGGAGGCTGAGGCAGGAGAATTGCTTGAACCCAGGAGGCAGAGGTTGGAGTGAGCTGAGATTGTACCACTGCACTCCAGCCTGGGCAACACAGAGAGACTCTGTCTTAAAAAAAAAAAAAAAAAAAAAGCAGATGCTTTCAGTAATTCTATCCTTTCGCTTCCTGGTAGTCATAAATGCACTTTCTGCAATTCATAAAATTTCAAAAATTTCAGCCCAGCAATATGCAAGTGTCCCATTCATAAGCAAAATCTCACTTATCCTTTCCTCCAGAGGGTGACTAGCTGAATCTTAGTTAATACATTCTTCTCTAAGTCAAGGTTTTCTGGGCAGTCTGCAGACTGGTCTGTTTAGATATGACTTCAAGGTGCAAAAGGCCATAGCTAAATAACATATTTAACCACCTCCGCACACTGAATATACATTAATGAAGTTGGAACAGGAAAATTATCACTAAAACTCCGATTTAGAAAGGGGAAGAAGGAGAAACAATGTATAAGGCATCTATCATACTTCCGAGACACGGTTTGCAAGGATTCCCTGCCAAGGAAGTGAAATGTTTCTTGGTCAACCAAAGTGAATTCTACTGATTCTCTTCACTGGAAAATTCATCCTTCCATTGCTCTTCCTACTGTTACGTGGAAGAGAAATTGAGCAGCTACGTTGCTTTACCAGCTCACTTCCTGTGTGGGTAGTTTGAAGTTTCAAATCTTAGGAGTAAAGAATCATATGAATCCTTTCTTACTTACCTAGCTTGGGATTTTTCCAGTAATAAAGTACTTCTTAAAACCACAGTAGGATGCTGGCAAATTTGCAGTCTCTCAACTCTCCAACCAAGTAACTAAAGATAGCAATCTTGTTATGTTAGAGCTGATTAATCTGGATCCTGCATCCTTGTGTTTTAGCTACAGACTTTGGTGTTCTTCCCCACTTTGGTCTTTAATAGCCTCCTTCTAGGCCTCTGCTTCCAAATTAATGGGCTTAGATAATGACGTAAGTATATTTTGCATTTTGCTACAAGACTAAATCATAGTGGGTGACTAAAGAGTGAGTGGCAATTCATTTGGTCAGGAAGATAACATAGTATAGGAAGCTTTCACACAGAGCTAGGGAAACAAGCTTCCTCTGTACCCAATGGAATCTATGATTGTGGTTCTTGCTGCTCACCCTGCCAGAGGCAAAACATCTAGCTAGTGTAGCCATAGAGAAGAATGAAATCATGTCCTCTGAAGCATCATAGCCGGAACTGAGGGCCATTATCCTAAGTCAAATGACTCAGAAACAGAAAATCAAAACAGCACATTCTCACCTACAATTGGGAGCTATACAATGGGTACACATGAATATAAAAATAGAAATAATAGACATTTGGGACTTCAAAATGGGGGAAGTTGGAGGGGGTGAGGGCTGAAAAATTACCTATTACGTACAATGTTCACTATTTGAGTGACTGGGTCACTAGAAGCCTAACTCTCGCCATTACAAAATCTATTCATGTAACAAACATGCACAAGTATCCTCTGAATATAAAATAAAACAACAAAGAAAAAGAGAGAGAGAGAAGAGAGAAAGAAAGAGGGAAATAAAGAAGAAAGAAGGAAAGAAAGATGGAAAGAGAGAGAAAGAAAGAGGGAAAGAAGAAAGAGAGAAAGAAAGAAAGAAAGAAAAAGAAATGGAGGAAGGGAAAGAATAACTTAAAAAATTCACCTAGTACGACCACCCACTATGCACGATTATCTAATTCTCATCATGGATTGCTGGCCATAGCAAACTGTACCGTTCTCTTTCCTGTCTTCTTTTAGTTAGGATGGTTGAAACCAAAGGTTAGATCTTCTTTCCTCTAATACCATATTATAAGATTTAAGCATTAGAAAACACATCCTGCTTCCAACTACTACTCAATCAAGTATCTGTTTTTTAAACACAATAGTCATTGGTCTAATCAACACTTTGCTCCTTACAAAAAGATTGTCAAGAATTCCCAATTTGAGGGAATTCTTTCCCTCTCACCCACCCTATCTTGAATCAATTGATTCCATGTTTTGGGTCTTCCAATTCCAAACAATCCCTCTTACTACCAATTATTCTGTTTTCCAGCATACTTTATTCTCAGATGTTAAATAGCCAACTCAAGCCAATTTTAGCAAATATAGCAAATTCATTAACTCATATAACTAAAAAGATAAAGAAAGGAATCTGGCTTCAGGCCCACTAGTCACACTGACCCAGAGGCTGCCTGTGTCCCTCTGGCTCAGCTCTGCTTTCACATTCATTCTCTCTCCACAACTTGGCTTTGCCCTCCTTTGTGCAGGCTTTATTTTCAGGCGGTCGCTCTTATTGCAGGATAATGAAAATTCTGCATTGTATTTAGGTTTACACATTGCCAGAAGCATGTTTTTAACAAACTATTATAGTAGGGGAGAGACAGTTGAACCCGATTATCAAAAACAGTTTTTTGTTTTTTTTTTTTTGTTTTGTTTTTACAGGGCTGGTAACAATGAACCTACAGTGAGGCAGAGAAGAAGAAAAGGAAAATAACCTGTGGGTTCTTTTACATCTTAACCCAGTAACAACCCAAGCTTTTTCAGGATTGTCAATAATTCTCACAACATTCATTTTATGACATGATTTTGAATATGTTGAAACTTACTCTAACATAATTTCAGGATGTACCTGTTTAAAAATAAAAGGAAAGTCTCCAGGGCACATCTGAGTGTTCTTTCTTCTCCACATTTCATGATGTTTGGGCAGAAACGTCAGCAACAAGCAGCACTAAAAGGAAACGAATAAGAAAAAGTGAGATTATGTAATAAAATGCCATATGTCAAAAATTCACAAGGCAAAAAAAGAGACACAAATTTAGCACATTAGAGTGGTTGTCTTTTTAGAGGGAAGTGGAAGGACTAAGAGAAGATAAAAGGGGATCTAGCCATTCACGAAGGGGTTGACTTTACAAAGAGGAAAATAACCCCCTACTCTGAGAAAGGAGAAAAAGGGCAAGTGTGAAAACTTTTGAAGAAATGAAAGTCATCTAAGGTGTGTATTTCAGTACCTGGGTATTTGGGGAAAATGAAACATGTTTCAAATGATTTCTCTAGCAAACTAACACTGGAGATGAATAATGTAAATACTGAGTACTACTGAGGAAATCAGCCACAATAGGAAAGAATACAGTTGAAATGCAGTAGGCAAATAATAATGACCCAGTATAGACATCTTTTAGAGAATAAAACATTATCACAGAAACAAAACCCAAAAACATAGTTAATGATTCAGTAGATTAATTAGTTCTTTTTTTCTAACAGATTTTTTTTCCAGGCTAAAAACAAGAACATAAAATGTCAACGGTGGGATTTACCCAGAATTGAAGATTGGCAACCTTTCAAAAAGAGAAGAGTAAAATTATTTGTGAGAATTTGAGACCATGAATTACGTTAGGAAGAAATGTTTCTTTCCCAATCCTAATGTCTCCTTCCATACAGGGAGAGTTTTCTTAGCAAATGTTTCTTGGCTTCCTTTGCTCAATTGTTCCTCTTCAGAGAGAGAGGACTAAATTCATATGATTCTCATCTAGCCCCATTCTCTCTTTTTCAGTGAGACACGTGACTACCTGCCTATAGGGATTGCATGCTTTCTGTTTGCTCTTTCATGCTGTGAAACTTACGAAGACATTATTTCCCCCTTTGGAAAAGTGAAGAGAGGAGGAAAGAGGTTCTAAAGTTTGTGAGAGTAGTAGTTTACATTTTAAAAAGTGTTCAGATTTGGTGCACTGAAAATGGAAATTGTAAGATGGATATTTGGGGAGTGATACAATGAGAAGAAGAGATCTGGCAGAGCCTTGATCAAAAGGCTTTAAATGCTGGAGATACTTTATCAATGCAGGCTACGTGGGAAGTTTGCATATGCCTGTAATTCTATGATGTGACTGTATTTTTATAGTTGTGAGCTTAACAGCTGGCTCTTCATTGAATTTTCAGGCCACATGGAACATCACTGTATTAGTCTGTTCTTGTGCTACTATAAAGAAATATCTGAAGCTGGGTGATTTACCCAGAAAAGAGGCTTCATTGGCTTATGGTTCTGTAAACTACACAGGAAGCATGATTCTGGCATCTTGGCTTTTAGGGAGGCCTCAGGAAGTTTACAATTGTGGCAGAAGGGGAGGGGGGGAGTTGGCAAGTGTTGTATGGTAGGAGCAGGAACAAGAGAGTTAGAGAGGAGGTGCCACACACTTTTAAACAACGAGATCTTGTGGGAACTCACTCACTATACAGGACTGAGGGTGGGTGGTGCTAAAACATTCATGAGAACTTCACCCCCATGATCCAATCACCTCCCACCAGGCCACACCTTCAACACTGGTGATTAGAATTCGACATGAGATTTGGGTGGGGACACAGATCCAAACCATATCAGTCACCTTGACTTAAGGTAATTGTCCTTTGGTATATTTAGCCAATTCTTGAGCTAATGAGTATGCATTTCAGAAAACGCTACCCCTTCTCTGTAAAGGCCGAGATCTTCCAAGTTGAACACAGGCTTCAGGAAACACACAGGCCTTACATCTAAGGGCTGATACAGTTTGACCTTGATCTTCATGAGGCAGTGTAGCCTGGCATTATAAATGAGTTTACATGAGAATGGATCTTCATATGCTTTGGTAGGAAGAATATAATTTGCTACTCTTCAACCCAAGACAGCTGAGTTATAAGTATACTAGAATATCCCAGTAAGTCTGGAAATAAATTGTTAGTATCAGGCCTAAGTAAATAGTAATGGGTCAGCTGCTCCAAATTTTGTTTTGCAAATCAAGGAGAAAACAATTTTGTGGATTGGCCCCATGCCCAAGAGTCATAACGTATTAAAATAATCACTGGATGAGTTTCAAGGTGATACAATTTTTATAGATGAGCCTTCAGGTGTCCTGTGTGTTGATATTAGAAGACTGCAAATACTGTATACTTAGGACTCCAGGGTAAAACATAACTAACAGTAGAAATATTAAAAGGGGAGCCAGCAGAACAGTAATAGACTGAATACAAACAGGCCTTATTGGATATTGGCCTGAGAAAAGAATATCTCCTGCATGAAGATGAATAAGAATTATTTGAACAATGAATGGATGCTATTGGCAGATACAGACATAATGATTTTATTATTATCCTACAGGAGAGCCTCATAAGACAAAATCTAAATGAGGATTTAGTAAGACAAGCAAAAATACAGATTGCCAAAATCAGGAAGAAAAGAGAAGTCTTCACAATAATCCCTACAGAAGTTAAAAGTAGTATAAGTGAACATTCTGAAAAACTTTATGCTGAGAATTTGAATAGTTAGATAAAAAAGACAAACTTCAGGAATGAAAAAAATAACAAAATTGACTCAAGCAACAAAAAACGAGATAAATCTATACCAAACAAAGTAATTAATCCTTAAAAATCTTTCTGCAAAGGAAGTTCAGACTCAGATGGCTTCACTAGTAAATTCTAGAAAACATTTAAGAAAAAAAAACAATTTTACACAAACATTTTCAAAAACAATAGAGAAGGAAAAAATAACTTTTACGAGTTCAACTCATTTTGTGAGGTCACTTTGTTAACCTGACACCAAAGCAAGACAAAGATATCACAAGAAAACTACAGTCGAATATATTTCATGAACATAAATACAAAAACCCTTAACAAATATTAGAAAATTGAAACCAGCAAGTTGTGAAAAGGATTATACCACATGGTCAAGTGAGTTTTGCTTCAGGAATGCAATGTCCGTTTAATCTGAAATCCGATTAATGTTATATGTCATATTAATAGAATAAAGAATAAAGACATAATCATCTCAATAATCTCAATAGATGCCAAAAAATTAAAAAAATAAAAACACACATCTATTCATGACAAAAACTCAACAAATCCAAGAAACTAGAAATAGAAGGGAACTTACCCAAGCTTATAAAAGATATCTTGAAAAAACCTAAACTATAGCACATATCATACAAATGATAAAAGACTAAATGCTTTCCCCATAAGAGCAGGGATAAGTCAATACTATCTCTTTCAACTTCTATTCAGCACTGGTACTGCAGTTTCTAGCCAATTGAAACTCTAGGTAATTAAAGCCATTCAGATTTTTAAAAAAGGAAATAATAGTGCATTTATTCACAGTAAATGTGCTCTTACATCTAGAAAATCCCAAAGAATTTACCCCCAACACTTCCATAAACAAAAAATACTAGAGCAAAGAAGTGAGTAGCAAGGTTGTGGGTAGCAAGATAAGCATACAAAAATCAAAAGTTAAAAATCAAAATAAAATTTTACAAAATTATGTTTGTATGTATTAGTAATGAAAAATCCAAATCTATAAAAAACTAATTTTATTTAAGAAAACATTTTCATTCACAATAATATACAGAAAATAAAATATAAAATGAGTTTTTGTCATGAATAGATGTGTTTTAGTTTTTTAAATTTTTTTGGCTTCTGTTGAGATTGAGATGATCATATTTTTTATTCTTTATTCTATTAATATGATGTGACGTTCATTGGTTTTCAGATATTAAAACCTTCATAGCCATAAATAAACTACTTAGGAATAAATTTTAATTAAAAAGTGAATGACCTTTTTATTGAAAACTACAAAGCATTGACAAGAAAAGTTAAAGACCTAAATAAACAAAAAGGTATGTTGAATTAGAATACTAAATATCACTAAAAGGGTAATTATTTCCAAATATATCTTTTTTAAATAGAAATTGACCAGCTAGAAATACAAAGAACCTAGAATAGCCAAACAATTTTGAAGAAAGAAGAATAAATTTAGAAGACATATGACCTGGTTCAACAGCTTCCCTGGAAGCTGTAATCAAGAGTGTGGTACTGGCATAAAGGTAGACACATAGATCAATGGAACAGAACAGAAATAAACACATATATATAAGATTAATCGATCTGCAACACAATTGCCAACATAATTAAATGGGGGAAAAGATAGTATATAAAAAAATGGTTCTAGAGTAATTGAAGATTCACGTTGTAGGGAAAAGGCAAGAATAAGCATGGACCCTTACCTCACACCACAAAGAAAAATGACTTGTAATAGGATATAGCCCTAAATTTAAGTGTAAAACCATACAACTTCTTAGATAAAGCATAGAAGATAATCCTTGTGACTTTGGATTAAGAAAAAAATTCTTGGATATAAGGCAAAAAGCATAATACCTAAAACAAATAAAAATAATAAACCAGACTTCATAAGAATTTAAATCTCTTGTTTTTCAAAAGACACTATTGAGAAAATGAAAAGATAAGCCACAGAGAAGCAAAAAGTACCTGCAAAACATATTTCTGATAAAAGACTTTTATCCAAAATATATAATACATTCTTACAACTCAACCATAACAGGACAATCTAATTAGAAAATGGACAAAAATATTTGAATGAACACTTAACCAAATAAGATATACAAATGGCAAATATGCACATGAAGAGGCCCTAAACATCATTAGTCATTACAGAAACAACTGTTGCAACTACAGCATGATACTACTATGTGCCTACTGCAGTGCTCAAATAGAAAATACTTTGAAATAGATGCTGATGAAAATGTAGAAAAAGTAGAAGAAGCTTTATACACTACAAGGATGTAACATGGTATAGACACTTTGGAAAAGCAGTTTTTCAATTTTTTTTAAAGTCATAAGATCCAGTAGTTTTACTTTTTGGTGGGTTAAGAAAACACGTCCACACAAAGATTTGTACTTGAATATTCAGCGCAGTGTTATTAATAATAGTCCAAAATTGAAAGCAATCCAAATGTTTATCAACTGGTAAATGGACAAACAAAATTTGGTATATCCATATGATGGAATAGTTTTCAACAATAAAAAGGAACGAAGTAATGGTATATGCACCTGCATGAATAAACCTCAAAAACATTATGCCGACCAAAGAAGCATAACTAAAAGAAACCTGTGAAATTCCATCCTAGCAGGCACTGGCTGTACCAATGTGCTACACTACAGAAAAATACTGAGTCCTAAAATATTATTTTGTGAAGGCTATGTCACTTGATAGATTCCATGTCCCAGTCCTGTAGTTCAAGTGTCACAGAAGTCTATGGAGAAATATAAATTACAAGATTTTAAATAGTGGGGTGGTCAAGAAACATGCCTGTTGACAATAGCAGTGAGCACACTGAATATCTGGGCTTTCCAAGAAGACAACAGTATTTTAGTGCTACTATCTGACAGAATGATGAGCTATGTTGTTTGCTGCCCCCACCCATGTATAATTAATTTTCCCCAGGCAGTGTCAAATTTAACTGTTTATGGAGATTTCTACTAATTGATTTCAGATTTACATGTTGCGATCTCTCTATATCTGACTATCATCTGATACCAGGGGCATCTCAGTCCTCTTTCTCTCTCAACTATCATTGCATTTCTGCCATGATCATTGGTGAAACTACGTAGGAGGCTTTTGAATATAATTTTCATTGGGAATTTTCTCCAGGAACTAAGAATCAGTCCCCAAAAAGTTTGTTGCCTAAATTTGTTGAGTGGTCAGGCTTGTGACTATTTTGATAATCCTGTATGTCCTTCTAATTCTTTGGCTGTTCTTGGAAATGAAACACATCAAAGATTCCACATTGATCTATACCTTCTGAGGTCTTGAAGGAATTGTGGTTATTTCCATGAAAGACAGCCCAGGTACAAAGTTACTAAAGGAACCCTTATCTCTATGTAAATATTCAGAACTTCTTTAGCTATGATTGCAAATAATAAGACAAGATAATGTTTAGTTTCATCAGGCTCTAAAAGATAAAAATTATTTAATTTTGTATTTTTATTACTTTTTATTTTGAAGCCTATAAACTTCTATAAATTGACAAGAAATATAATTTTTAGGTTTATATTTTTTCCTGGTTCTTTCATAACAGAAAATTTATATTCAAATTTCAGAAATGTCTATGTTGGCCTCTACTACTGAATTTCAATGTTGTCGTTTGATTTCTTTGCAGAATCTTTGATTGGCTGTATTGGGTGACGTGTTTGGATATAATGGATGATAAGAAACAGAACAGTTAGTAAACGTTTGGATTTGGGTACAAAGTAGCCTTCAATTATTATACTGTTTTTAACCATTTCAAATCTTTGGGGCAATATTTAAATGAGAACTACTGGCCACAGGAGAATTATCAAAAGAATAGTGGTTGGTTTTAGGGAAGTGACCTCATTAAGATTACAACAGTAATTTGCCAAGAGGTGGATTAAATAAACAAAAAATCTAAAAATGTTAAAGACAAAATGGTGGCAAAAACATGAAAAGAAGAGAAGCATGCCTTAGGTTTTTTGTTTGTTTTTTGGTTTGGTGTTTTGCTTGTGGCAGAGCAGGTGGAAGTTTGAAAAGGCATTTAAATTTAGGGGAGTATTAACAGGTTACAAGGTGGAAAGAGAGACAAGAGATAAGGCTTGTTAATGTTGTCCTTACAGACTAGGGGAGCATTTCCAAACTGTTTCACTTGAGACACAAGAGGTCAGCAAGGTGTCACTAGGAAAAAAAAAATTTTTTAAGGCATTTCATATACTTCTAAAACATGCCGGATTACACAACATTTATTTTTATTTTTGTAATTCAAATTGAGACCGATTTTTTTTAATTTGAATCTCAAAATTTGAGACAGAATTTTCTCAAATTGAGACAGAATTTCTCAATCTCAAATTGAGACAGAATTTTCAATTTGAATCTCAAAAGGAGGCATATAATATTGCATATTTTTCTTAATATCAATTAAGATTACCCAGAATATATGAGTGTTTTGTGGCACATGGTTTAGGAAATGTTCCTGAGCTAAGAAAGGAAGAGGCAGGGCCTAAATATTGTATCACACACAGAGAGATCTCAATGTATGTGACAGAAAACAAAAAGAGTATTAGAATCAGACATTGTGTCAGAAGGGGGATTTCAGAGTTTGTTTTATGCAACTACAGTTAGACAAGCTAAATGTTTCCTAATACAAATTCCAAATGTCTCTGTTTCAGCAGCCTCTGACTTCACAAGCACAACCTTTAATATGGGCACCAAAATTATATTACCTCTAACCTGCACATGCTCATACAGAATTTCCTTTTGCCTTATGGATCATTCTCCCCAAATACCTCCCTTTAAAATGACCTTTTCCAAGAAATGTTTCATAGCTCGCAACATAGCAGCCCAGTTAATTGCTTGCTATGGCTAGTAAACATGAACCTTCCAGATGCTGGCTCTGCAATGGAGACGAGCAACTCTACTTGGGTCTATGAGCAGCAATTCAGAAGAGACAGAACTCTTCTCAGATGGCAATATATGAATACACCTATAAGAAAAGAGTTGTGTGTTTGAAATTGTCAAAAGCTGACTCCCCAAATATCACCAACAACTTATTGAAAAGGCAAAGCTGAATTTATTGCTTATTGCAGAAAGAAAAGCAAAGCATTGCCAGTGTATCAGAAAAGAGACAGCAAGGTCACAAATTTGAAAATTGGAAATTTGATTTAAGGCAGGTCTTTCCAAAATGGGGCTTGATTAGGATTAGGTAAGAATCAAGATACAATCATTCAGAAATTGGTGGAGGCATTCAAATAATTTTAGGGCTCAAACTGAAATGGTAATTTTAAATTAACTTGTCTTTTTTTTTTAGGGACAATGTAACAAAAGTAATTTTACAGAAAACTGACCTTTGATGCTTTGATGTCTGGTGATACTTTCTATTGAGGGGTAGATGGGTCTTTGAGAAGTTTCTGTAATGAACAAATCATTTGTCTGGGCAGGAGGGTCCCTCAAAAGTAAAATGATGCTAATGAAGACGGTAAAATGGCAAAGTCCTGCTATCACGCACAGAAAGGTACGGTTTCCATCCTCGGGGTTCAGGTAGACAATCTTGGATCTAAAATTAGTAAACTGCTTCACCGAACAATACACCATAGTGCAGACAAAGTAATTCTGCTGCTGGCTGGAGGGATTTCATGCATCCTTACTAGCTTCAGAAGAAATGCTACGTGACAGGCTGAGAATCTTGCCCAGGCAGTAGCGAAGCCAGCACACAGGCATCCCTGGCTACCCAGGACAGTAGGAGCGACCTGGGAGAAAATGTCTCTGAAGGGCATGAGGCCAAGAGCACACGTATGGAGTCTGACAGATCTAATTATAAGTCTTTCCAAGAATTCTATTTACTATTTTTGTGATTTGAGTAAATTAAACTTCCCTGAACTTCTGTTTCTATTCTGATAACTGAGACAACATATATATAAGGCATCAGTATATAATACAACCCACAAATATTCTCCTCTCCATGAAAATCTATTATTAGTATGGAGAAAATGATCTAATATGAGATATAGAAAAATGTATTTAAAGGCAAATTATTTAGTAAAATAAAATGTGAACTTTTACTGAGTAATCAACAAGAATATTGTTTCCATTGTAAATATAATTGTCTGCCTAACAAAAAATAATATGTTTCATGAAATAAATATACATAATAAAAATAGAAATTAAAATAGTCTTACTGAATTTGTAATTTGCCATTAAAATCAGTTATTTATAATTACAGCTATTTCAAAAGTATCACATTTTAATTTCAGATAAACAAGCTCCTATTGCATACTTACTTAAAATAAAAGACAGCCTTAAAGACATTTAACTTAATTTCACTTGTTCAAAATTTTAACTTAAAAAAATCTCCTTGTTATTTCTAAACCAGATATATTTGGTGCAAAGATGTAATTGCAATTTTAAATTAACCCGTATTTTACCTTCTTGGACAACATAATGAAAGTAATTTGGCAGAAAACTGACCTTTTCTCTATAATCTCCAGCAAGATTGCCCCACTATAAATGAATCGATACCCTAGAATCTATTTTCAGAGAGAAAAAAAGATACATTTTATATTCATAAAAATTTCTTAGCATTTTTCTTGAGTCTATATCTAATCTTAATTCAAATATGTTTCATTTATTTTTATCAAAAGAATAAATTAAGAACCAAAAATGTTAACAATGCTATTTCATAAATAGAGCATTAATCTTTTGAAAAGGCTTGAGTGAAAGTATAATCCTGTGACCCTTATTAATAGTGAAAATAGGTTCTGTTGCTTTAGGTGTTATTTATGGAAGACCTCTTTTGATTTTATCATTTTGTTTTCCTGAGTTTAATGTTATGAATGATTACAATTTAGTAGGATGATAATGTTACAGGTAAAGATAAGGTATTTGGGTTGTCAGAGTAAATAGACATCTGAACAGGGCAGGTGCCCTCCTCAACCCTTTTTTCCCATTAGAGTGGCCTTGTCTGCTTCACCCCCTTCTAATTTCTGATTAATCATCCTACAGGATGTTTCAGTCAACACTCTAGTCCTGAGGAGCAGAAAATTTAATTGGTCATTGATATTATGCTCAGCTTTTTGTATGTCCTTTTTTTTAGCTTTGTAAGTGTATACTACAGTCACAGGCCTAAAATTGCCTGTAATATTATCTTTGTTCAGATTCTCTGTCACTGTGCTCCATTAACTAGGGAGGCCCTCTCAGTACTGATACATACCTAAGTCATGTCTAAGCTCAATAATATTTGTATTGGACATTAGACTTCTTGGCTGCATTTGGTGAGATCAAGCCTTGCAACACTGTTGTTTGATCCCAGCTCCTGCTGCTTGGCCCAGGGTGGTTACCATTTGGCCCAGTTTTCTTCTTGTTCCACAGCTGATTCAATGGTACCAATACCCCAACATACTCCAGTGAAGTCACCGTACACAAGAGCCCACCACAGAGTTTGTTAAGTTAGACTGAAAACTGAGTAAAGGAGTCAAACCTGTCTGCATTATGACAGTTTTTCCAATTTATTTTTACCCATTTAAAATTTTTCTCACAGGGTAAAGAAGCTATGGACAGTGAGTCATCTAACCTAGATAATGTCCATCCTAAAGTTCTGAAAGAGTTTTAGAAACGTACAAATGTCGATGTGACTCTCATCCAACATTGGCACTCCAGATAACAAATGCATTTCACTTCATGGGAAATTTATATAAACTTTGGTATGGTTTAAGATTACTTAACATTTCAGCAAACATAACCTTCCTCAGAGAGCAATATGTAGTCTGTAGCAGGAAGTAGCATCTGCAGAATAAAAAATACTAGAGGTCTATAAAAATAGGTATTGAGGCCAGGCGCAGTGGCTCATGTCTGTAATCCCAACACTTTGGTAGGCCGAGACGGGCAGATCACGAGGTCAGGAGATCGAGACCATCCTGGCTAACACGATGAAACCCCGTCTCTACTAAAAATACAAAAAAATTAGCTGGGCGTGGTGGCAGGTGCCTGTAGTCCCAGCTACTTGGGAGGCTGAGGCAGGAAAATGGCGTGAACCCAGGAGGCGGAGCTTGCAGTGAGTTGAGATTGTGCCACTACACTCCAGCCTGGGCTACAGAGCGAGACTCCATCTCCAAAAAAAATAAAAAATAAAAAAAATATATATATATATGCGTGTATATATATATACACGTATATATATATACACGTATATATATATAGAATAAGAGGAGAATGGTGATTCTCTATATTTTCACAAAATTTCACATAAATTCTATTTACTATTTATTATGGAAATTGTCAAACAATCATTAGAAAATATCCAAAACATTTCAAAAATTGTTAGCTTTTTGTCATTGTTTTTCATATGAAAAAATTTACATAAATTATTTTTAACTTTGGTTTATCATAGGGATTAAAAGCATAGACTCTGAAACCAGAGTACTGGGATTCAAATGCAAGCTCCATCAATCAGAAACTGAACACATTTTTCTATTTTCTGTATATCAGACTCACCTACGAAATGGGGATAATAATAGTAATGACCTTAAAGGACTTATGAAAGTTGAATTAACATATGTAAAGTGCTTAGAACAGTTCCTCAACCATAAAAAGTGCCATGTAAGTGTGAACTACGATTATTATTATTGAAGATACTAGTGATATTATTATTTTTATAGCAATAGCACCTTGAAATGAAAAAAGCAAAAATAAAAATATAGCATCATTTTCCTGGTTGGATAGAAAGTAATGACAATAAAATAAGACAATTTTTTAAAAAAGGTAGATTAATGTAAAGAACAACCTTTTGACTTCTCAGCCTTTAGCCATTATTTAATATATTAAGCAGAATTTACAATTTGTAAACACTACATTTGAGTGACCTTGTTAACAAAGAAAAAAAAATTGACAAGGCAGTGCAATATGTTTTGCATTTGGCAACAGAGCATCACGTCAGGAATCTAAATAAAGAAGCAGTGGATTTTGGAAGCAAGCTGGCTCCTTTTGTGCATCACCTAAAGTGTTGCAGCACATAACAGTAATAAATCCTTACTCATATGGCATTGCATCAATATAACATGTCACCAAAATTAAAAACATGCATCATTTTCTGGATAAAATACACACATTCTGGAAAAATCTAAAGGAAAAATTAAGCTAATATCTCAGCAAAATGTAAAATGTGCTATCTGTATTAAATGTACATCTCTGCTCACTACAAAAATTGCCATAAGTTTATTTAGGTTTTTTTTAGCATAATCCTCTACGTGATGTAAAAGCTACCTTGTTGCTCATAATATAATAATTACAGATGAGAGTAATTTAACACACGGAACAGTCTTGTCAATACAGCATTTAGTTTGTGAAGGGATTGGAAACATTTCCCCTTAGATCTTGTGTGTGTGTGTATGTGTGTGTGTGTGTAGTGTGTGTGTGTGCGTGTGTCAATTTCATAACTCATGATACTTTTAGGTTAATTTTGTTTTTATAGTAGAGTTTTTACTGCTCTGATAAGAACAATTTACAGCAGACTTGTAGAAATCAGACACACATTTTTGACATGCATTGATTCTTATTATTTGCATATTTTACTAGTAGATCAAATATTTGAACTACATTCAAAATATAAGTTCTGGTATTTTTATTTATCTGCATAGATAGTCATTTCAGAACTAACAACAGAGATAATTTTTTAAAAAGAATTACCTGGAAAGCATAAACCAAAAGTCTAACATTCATTTTGGAAGAAAGGGTATCCCTATATTGACAAGTCCAAGGTTACAGGCTTGAATTTGATGATACCAGCCACACAAAAATGAATGTGTTATTCTGTGCAATAAAATGGATTTCAGACAATATTCTCACCTTTTTCCTGTTATACCTTTGAAATAAAATGAAACCATTTTAGAAACTTAGGTGGATTAGTGTCAAGTAGGCAAGAAAAGGATTCCTAGGCATTTAGGAAACACTGTCTGTATCTGGGAGAGGCTTGAGGTGCTTCTCAGCCTTCATTTCTGATCCAAGTGGAACTGACAGTGGCTAAGGATGCCATGAGAATGTTTCTTTAAAGAATGTTAGACACTGCTATGTGCCTACACTGCTCCTTCCTGTATTGTTGTGGAGTGGAAAGTCCTGGATACTGGCAGCATCAATTTTTGTCTTTCTAAATAGTTTATTTCTACTAACTACCAATGAAATAATAGAGGCAATTATAGAAAGAAAAAATAAAAAAGAGGAAGAAATGAAAAATTGGTACGGAATTTACTAGGTAGCCTTTATTTGTCCATCTCATGTTGAGGTAAACAAGCCTCAAGTATTAACCAATAATGCTTAAGGTAAAGGTTGGAATCAGCAGTCTGAGATGATGGATGGAAGAGTTTTATAACTGCTGGGAAAATCTAAAAGATGTGTGACTCTGTCACTGATAATATAATATTCTTCATTTAATGAAAAGAACAATGACATAGATACTACTGAAAAAAGAGAGGTGTTTATATCTCCCTAAGTTTTGAAGGACTGATGAAATATACAAAAACACCTTTTTACTTAGAATATCACAAGCTTTCTGCAACACACATCAGTATAGCACAACTTGATTAAATGAATCTCTTTTGACAATAAGAGAACTCATCCAAACTAGGAGAGAAATCAGAAAGGCAGTCTTTTTTTTTTTAATAAAACAATACTTTTGTATTCATTTTCCATTGCTGCTGTAACAAATCACCACACCTTTAATGGTCTAAACACAAATGTATTATCTTACAGTTAATGATCTAAACAAAATGTATCATTTACAGTTCTGTAGGTTGGAAGTCATATGTGGGTCTCCTAGGGCTAAAATCAGGGTGTCAGCAGGGCTCTAAACAAGAATCGGTTTCCTTGCTTCTACCAGCTTTTAGAGGCCACCCACATTCCTTGGCTTGTGGTCCTTTTCTTTCACCTTCAAAAGCAGCAATGCTGCATCTCTCTAATTCTTCTTTCATCTTCACATCTTTCTATCTGACCCAAACTGGAAAGGTTCTCTACTTTTAAGGATTCACATGATTAGATTGGATCCACCAGTATAATCCAGAGTAATCTTCCTATTTGAAGGTCCATACTCAATCATGTAACTCAACACAGGTCTGGCTACTTGCTGCTTGCAAAGCCCAATAACAAGAGTGAGGTGTGGTAGAAATAAAGTGACATTATTTACCAAAACTAGTAATGAAGAAGTGGCCAAATTCACATCCAAAGTAACCACTTGAAGCCTTACGCTGGAGAGAGGGACTTTAAAAGGATAACCTGGAATGGAAGACATTAGGGAGGGCTGGGGAGTACAAGGTCTGTGTGGCTTGTTCCAGTGGCTATATCAAGCCATGGTCCACTGAGAGCATGGTCTGGTATCACCTCAGTAATAGCTGGGTTGTTGATGAGCTGCCTTAAGGTAATCTCTGGGATTTTGGAGTTGGGTCTCTATGCTTGGTCTGTCTCAAGATTAGCCTCTGGAACTTCTAAATAAGAACAAAATTAGATACAAGCATATGGTTAGAAAAATGTGCATGGTATAAGGGGGGGTGAGAAAGGGAGGGATGTGGTGTTTCAAGGAAAGTACATTTCAAGGCTATATTTTAAGACTAAGAAGAAGGAAATAATGTTTCTGCAGTAAGTTCCAAGGTTATATCTTGAGACTATGGAAAAAAGAGAAAAAGGAAAAAAAAAACAGTTGTAAAATGCATTTCCAGGCTAGATTGTTCAGCTACAATTACATCTGTAAAGTTCCTTTTGCCATGAAGGTCATATATTCACAGATGTGGACATTTGGGAGGGAGCCGTTATTTCACCTACCACACTTTATTTCAAAGAAGTCAATATGTTTTCTCTAGTGTGTTTAATTATCTTCAGAAGAATAAAAAACACCCTTCTCAGTCGCTGTCTACCACATACATGCATATATACATGGCCTTGCTTTACTCACACTTAAAAATAAGCTGAATAATAAAATATAGGTTCTTTTGTATTGCAAGTTGTGATATAAGAAATATGTATTTGGTCTTTATTCTTGTTTCCTGGCTCAGAGTTCCTAAAACTCTTATAATTTCCTATGTGATAGGCATGCTCGGAGCATCCTTTTTTTTTTTTTTAATATTTTGTCTTTGGATCCTGGCACAAAAATTCTAAGTATTTTGTAATTTTCTAGGTGATAGGAGTGCCTTTTCTAGTGAGGTGACTATTGATGAACTTCTGGATAGCTTCGGATGGGGTCTGGTCACCTGAAAGACCACAGCATCATTAGAAGCTTGGAAATTTCAGTGCTACTCTCCATCCTTCATGAAAGGAAGAAGAATTGAAGATTGAGTTGATAATATACTATTCCTAAGTGATGAAGCCTCCATAAAAATCCTCAAAGTATGGATTTTCAAGAAACTTTGGGTTGGCAAGCACATCCATGTGCTGGGAGGGTGGTGCACCCTGTATTAGTCCATTCTCACACTGCTATTAAGGACATACCCAAGACTGAGTAATTTTTAAAGGAAAGAGGTTTAATGGGCTCACAGTTTCACATGGCTGTGAAGGCCTCACAATCATGGTGGAAAGTGAAGGAGGAGCAAAGGCACATCTTACGTGGTGGCAGGCAACAGAGTGTGTGCAGAAGAAGTGCCCTTTATAAAACCATCAGATCTGGTGAGACTTATTCACTATCACAAGAGCAGCATGGGAAAAACCTACCGCCATGATTCAATTACCTCTACCAGGTCCCTCCCACAACATGTAGGGATTATGGGAGCTACAATTTAAGATGAGATTTGGATGGGGACACAGCTAAATCATATCACACCTCAACTCCATAGGGACAGAAGCTCCTGTGCTTGGGACCCTTCCAGACCTTGCTTATGTACCTCTTCATTTGGCTGTTCATCTGTATCCATATCATTTGTAATAAAGCAGCCAAATTTAAATTTTTCCCTGTGTTCTGTGAGCTATCAGAGCAAATTATTGAACCTGAAGAAGGAGTCATAGGAATCCCTTGTTTGTTGCCAACTCAGGCAGAAGTATGGAAACTCACTATTTGCAATTGGTGTCTGAAGTAGGTGGCAGTCTTGTGGGGCTGAGACTTTAACCTGTGGTGTCTGTACTAACACCAGGTAGTTTGTGCCAGAATTGGACTGGTAAAACATCCTGTGAGTGTCTGAAAGGTTGAGGAGCTGGTTGGTGTAGAAAAAACCCAAATACTTGGTGTCAGAAGTGTTCTTTGAATTAAGGAATAAAAAACAGAGTTTTTCCCTTTATTTTTGAATTAATAATAACTATATTATATCCAATTTTTAATTTCTAATCATGACTAGTTTTATAAAAATCAATTACGGATAATCAGTTTATATCTGAAAAACTAATAAGCCAGATTTTCTATGGGAAAGCAAATTGGAAATTACTAAATAGGGGATCAAATTCAATGACAATTACTATTTTTTCTATCGACTTTAATGTGAAATTCTCTTATGAAATAAAGCAAAAGCATAAAACTAACATAATTGGCTAATGGCAAAAAAACCCAGAAAGGCATCTCGATGTAGCTAGTCCAATATTTTCAATAAAAAAGACACTTACATATAGTTAATTCCTAGAAGAAGTATCCTGAAATCATGGGCATAGAGTCCTGCCATTACCATTGTTCTAATGCAATGTCTTTGGGGCACACTGTATCATTTCAGTAGAGAATCACTTCTGAGTTCTAGAAAATAAGGAAGAATGCTTTCTTAAAACAGTACCAAGTCATTGCCTGGGGTTAGTTCTTATATTTTTTCTGTGTTTACATAGACTCTGAGTAGAAAGCAAAGATTTAACTTATTCCATTCATGGCCCCGCAGGAACCTCCTCTATCTGAGTTAGAATCACATATATAATCTTAATCCACTCTAAAATGACCTTCAAACCTAATAAATTCCTAGTTACTATGACATTCAGGATTAATCTGTATTAAAAGGTCCAGATTGATGATGATATTGTTTATAATTTTAATAGTTAATAAATAACGTAAGCAAAATCTTGTAGGAAAAATTTAAACTCACTACACATTATGTTGCTTGGGAGGGACAATTTAACTTTCAGAAATTGGGGAAAATTAAAAACTATTCTAGTCTTCAAAGTGGTTACTGTGTAATTAAAACTTGGGCTTGACAATGCAGACACTTTCTATAAGTCAACACTATTCCCAGACTACCTAATCAATAAAAACATTTTCAACAGAAATACAGTGTAGTTTTCACTTTGGCTTTTTAAACTGTGGTCAGACAGTACACTGATGTGGAAGGAATGCTCGTTCTGAAAAGCAAATGAAGAAAAGCAGATGGCATTTCAAGTGGAATAAATGGAAATGAATGAATCTTATCTTCAGTATTGTCTCCTGCAATGGCTAATCTTAAGTACGTATCTTTGGAGATAGAGTTGTTGACACTTCATATTATTTAATTCATTTTATCCCCTAAAGTTAGGCAGTTAGAATTCTTACAACTCTTCATCTTATTATTGCAAAGTAAATAATTCAAACCTATAAGGAAAGGTCTGGAGGTTTGGGGTAAGATTTCTTAGGAATAGAGTCCAGGGACTCCTAGTACTTTATTTATTTTCATAGAAATTAGCCTTAATTTTCTGATGGCTATCATCTAAACCACATACCTAAACATCTGCTATTTTATGTAAAATGGATTGATCCTCAGAATAAATAATATTATATTGTTCTCCATGGCCAAATTAACCTTGAATAAACCATCAAAAATCAACAGTGGAAAACTAAACCTGAAGTTAGAAAATATTACACCTAACTATGATCATATCTATCTGTGTACTAAATTATATCACAGAAATTATTGGCTACTTCTAAGAGTGAATCTCCCAAAACAGAACTTCCTTGTAAGAATGGGCACTAAACTTAGCGCAGTGGCTCACGCCTATAATCCCAGCACTTTGGGAGGCCAAGGAGGGCTAATCACTTGAGGTCAGGAGTTCAAGGCCAGCCTGGCCAACATGGTGAAACCCTGTTTATACTAAAAATACAAGAATTAGCCAGGCTTGGTGGTACACGCCTGTAATTCTAGCTACTTGGGAGGCTGAGGCATGAGAATCCCTTGAACCTAGGACGGGGAAGTTGCAGTGACATGAGATCGTGACACTATACTCCAACCTGGGCAATAGAGTGAGACACGGTCGCAAAAAAAAAAAAGGGGGCATTAAAGTGAGTTTGATAGTCACTACACTCCTCTATGTATCCTTTTCAGTTTGGTTTTAAAGATAATTCCCAGTTCTATGTCTGCCTTCAAAACATATTTTATGAAACATACATACATATCTGGATTGGTATATATAGATAGCTATAATTCCTTTTATCCAAGCCTTATGAACTCTATTTAACAAGAATTTTATTACAGACTTGAAAAACTCCACAAAAAAATTTCATTCATAAAGAAAAATAGATATGAAAATATAGAGAATGATCCAATAATAGAAAAGGAGCCTTTAACATGTTAAAACACTGAACTAATACCACCTATAAACATGTTGTATGCTCATGTGTGTATATGTACTTTTCAGTAGTTAACTGATCAGTTATATTTGTCAGTACTGAGATATAAAAGTAGAAACACTTTTCAGTAAAAATTTTTGTAGTGGGTTATTAGTTTCAGCTAGTTTTTAACCAGTGACGTATAGAACAATCTCTATATATTTTACTTTGATTTTGAAATGAAAAAAAATGAGTTTTTACTCTTTTGAATGGTAGGCACAATTACCCTTCCCTATACACACACACACACACACACACACACACACACACACACGTATAGTATGCAGAGCTTCATAACACATTGTATTTATGCTGCCAACACTGTGTCCTCATGATTTCTAGCATGTATGGTCAGAGTCACATTGCTGTTGCTAACATACTCCTTCGTAGAAAGAATTTTCTTCACCTTGATGTTCTTAAATTATGACTTTCATTTTCTTACAGTCTTTTAGAAACATAATTTGACTTAAACTTTCTCTTCAGTATCATGTCTTTAATTTCTACCTCTCTAAAATGTGATTTTTTAAGAAAAGAATTGCTTTTGTTCATTTCTTATGTCTAATGAGACTAAAAGTAACCCATCCATTTACTGAAAACTAGTCATCAATTGATTTAAAAATTTTTGGGATGTATTTTTTCACACTTGCCACATCTGACACTATTTTATTTATACTTTCCTTATGTAAAATATTAGTTACACATGAAGAAATATAAATATTAGTTTGGTGCAAAAGTGACTGCGGTTTTTGCCATGACTTTTGCACCATTTTAATATATGGTGATAACGTGTCACGTCAACACGTTATGGTTAAAATTGCCATTGACACAAAAGTTCTATTGTGCATACTCTGAAAATCAGTAATGTTCATGTTTATATTCCAGTTAGATTGATAGCTTTGTTAAAAGCACTGTGTCTAGATACAGTCATCCAAGATAGTAGTCAAAAGATTTCAGCCACAAAAGGAATATGAGTGATTTAAAGTTGAAATAATCTATTGTACATACTCTACCTAAACTCATATTGCCTTTATTTCAATTGATCCCCATAAATCAAGTTAGAATCAGTAATTTTAAAAAATACTTTTAAAAGTTTTAAAAATACTTTTGGTTCATTGATTGGTTGGTTGGTTGTTCAGTTAATAGATTTTCCTATTCTGAGAAGCTAGGTATGACCATGCATCCATTTTCAGATTGCTTGCATATTAATCAAATAATATTGAGAGAAGCTTATATTATATCATTTGCAAATTTCATATAAGGTATGCTAATTAATATAATCCCATTCCCTCACTGAATAAATTAAAGGAGGAATGTGTTGAATTAAAAAGAAAAACTAATTAATTAAAACAAAAATTTCTACATTTTGAATGTAAATAACTTCTTTCTTCAGAATCAATGCTACTGAAATACATGAATGCTACTGAGATGTATGATCCCCTGGGCCTTTAACCAATCTAGTCACTAAATTTCTGTTTTATTGTCCTCTTAAAAAAAGCACTTTTCTGTAAGAGAAACATGTTTTAATGAAAACATAAAGATACTGGCTAAAACTTGGCCCTGGTGCCTGAAGACTTGTGGAAGTCAATACATTACTTGTGTCTTAACACACTACACTAGACGTAAACAACTAAATTTGCGTGGCAAGACATCTTCATTTTGCTTTGTTTTCTAATGCATATCTACAGTATTAACAGTGCAATATTTTACTCTGAAAAGTGTCTTAATGATGTATTAATCAGTTAAACATTTAGATACAGTTTTTCCACAGACGGATCATTTCCCATTTTACAAACTTGATTTTAAAAGGCTTAGAAAATCTGTAACTTTTTAAAGCAACTAAATATAACTGAAAAAGACAAAGATAATAAAATAAAGAGTATGGATTTCCCAACCCTATACCACCCAACTGCCACCTAAACATCATCATGGAAATTAATTAGAACAGTAATGGGAATGGAGTATTTACTACAATAATAGCTCATCAACTCATGAGTGTTTAAGTGCTGAGTGATACTATTGGAACAACCTTTTTGACCCATGAGAATTCCCAAACAACTCACCAAATTGTTTGAGAATACAGTAAAGCCTAATGTAAATCCTGTAACTGTTTGCATATCAGAGAATATGCAACAAATAATAGAGAAAGAAGGAATGGTGAATATTAATATCAATCAATCTGATTGCAACTATAAAAATAATAGAAATTGAATTCCTAAATATTTTAACCCATGCCTGGGTTGCAATGAGATGTCAAGAAGATTAACTAGAGAATTAAAATAAATAACAAAACTGCTAATTTGGAATGATGGATAAGCATAATCTTCACCCTCATAAAGCACACAGTTTTTGTGTAGACAAAGAAGTAATCAATGGACCATAGTAGGAGACAGAATAAAAATAATTATGTAAATTTCTTATGTTTCTTCTAATATATCTTTTTCATAAGCCTAAATGAATTAAAAAGAAATTCTTTTCTTGCACATCATAAATATTATTAATATTTTATTATCAAACTTGAATATAAGGAAAATTATATAATATTTTAATATCACATAAGAAACAAAAATACATAATTGATTCTAATTTTTTTCTTAGGTAATCAATATCAGACTTCAACTGAAATTTATACTTTAAAGTGTATTTAAAGTATATGATATGAATAAAATTGTATCATAGCTCTCCCTGACCACAAATCAAAGGTTTTGACTTGGAATAGACCTTGCTAATCAGGCCCACAGAACCCAATTGAATACAATATTTCTGAAATTTTAAGACAGTTTTTGTCTTGGAAGATGTTATGCAAATGCTTGTAGAATAAAATATCAATCCTAGGCCCCTACCTAGATTAAATTTTCAAAACATTGGAACAAACTAGAAAATAATTTTTCACAAGGCTTTTAGGTTTCCTTAATTCACTTTTAAATTTAAATGTTTGTTTACAAATCATTAACCACTTAATAAAGAGGCTGAAGGACTGCAGGACTTAACACTGAATATACATTACTTCTGAAGAAAAATCAGAAATGAATACAAAATAGCTCTAGTATACTCATGAAAAATAAAATTTAGAGCACAAAACTTCAATTTGTGCAGAATTTGTTGAGAAGTGATATGGTTTGGCTGTGTCCCCACCCAAATCTCATCTTGAATTGTAATCCATAATACCCATGTGTCATGGGAGAGACCTGGTGGGAAGTAATTGAATCATGGATATGGTTTCCTTCATGCTGTTCTCATGATAGAAAGTCACTCCATATTCATATGTGTGACTTCTTATGAGATCTGGTGATTTTATAAGCGTTGGGCATTTCCCCTGCTAGCACTCATTCTCTCTCCTGCTGCCCTGTGAAAAAGTGCCTTCCAGCAGATTGTAAGTTTCCTGAGGCCACCCCACCAGCCATGAGGAACTGTGAGTCAATTAAACCCCTTTTCTTCATAAATTACCTAGTCTCGGGTATTTCTTCACAGCAGCGTGAGAACAGACTAATACAAGAAGCAAACACAAAGTAAATTATACCAATATTAAAGAAAAAATATTAAATCTGATTTTTGTTTATTTAAAAATATCTCTCTTCTCCCAATCAGGAAATGAAGTACATATAGTGTTTTAATTAAACTGTTATAATATCTATTAAGCAAGCAAAATGCTAACAGACTTGTAATTGTTTGTAGTGTGTGTGTGTGTGTGTTTTTCTGTGTAGGTTGCTATAACAAAATACCAAAGACTGGGTAACTTATAAGCAACAGAAATTTATTTCTCACTGTTCTAGAGGTGAAGAAGTATACAATCTAGAGGCTGGCACATTGGGTGTCTGGTGAGCACTCTCTTCCTCATAGATAGCCTTCTAATTGAAACCTCACATGGTAAAAGGGATGAGAAGTCTATCTTTCTCTGGCTTCTTTTCTAAGAACATTAATACTATTTAAGAGGGCTCTGCCCCCACCCAATTCACCTTCCAAAGGCTCCACCTCCTAATATTATCGCCTTGGGAAAGGGAAGTTCAATATGTACATTTGGGGAGTGGGCATGGACACAAATATTCAGATCTCAGCAGGACTTCTATTTTGTTTGTGTTTGTTCTTGTTTTTCTCCTCCATATGATTTCTTGTCTTAAAAAAAGTGCAGAATAGGCTGGGTGTGGTGGCTCACATCTGTAATCCCAGCACTTTGGGAGGCCAAGGCAGATGGATCACAAGGTCAGGAGTTTGAGATCAGCCTTGCCAACATGGTGAAACCCTATCGCTACTAAAGATACAAAAAATTAGCCGGGCATGGTGGCACATGCCTGTAATCCTAGCTACTCAGGAGGCTGAGGCAGGAGAATTGCTTGAACCTGGAAGGCAGAGGTTGCAGTGAGCTGAGATTGTGCCATTACATTTCAGCCTGGGTGACGGGGCGAGATTCGGTCTCAAAAAATAAAGAAGTGCAGAATAACTGTTGGTCTAACAAAGTCCCAAATGATTAAATAATTCCATCATGATGCAACTATGTAATAATTCTTCAGATAATAACACGTGTAACATACTCATGGACATGCTTTTTATTTTTCAAGGAAATATTTTAACATTGTTTCTTCCAAGAATTTATGAATCCAGGTGATAAGAAAATAAGCATATTATTATTTACAATAAAATTCTGACTTTATGAATCTTTAAAAACCTTTGTCTATTCCAACCTTGTATCTTTGGTTCCCATTTCAAAGATCAAAACATTTCTCTCTCTCTCTCTTTTTTTTTTTTTTTTTTTGAGAAAGAGTCTCACCCTGTCACCCAGACTGCAGTGCAGTGGCGCGATCTCAGTACACTGCAACCTCCACCTCCTGGTTTCAATAGATTCTCCTGCCTCAGCCTCCCAAGCAGCTGGGACTACACACATGCACCACCATGCCCAGCTAATTTTTGTATTTTTAGTAAAGATGGAGTTTTGCCATATTGGCTGGGCTGGTCTCGAACCTCTATCTTGACAAAAAGAAAGTGAAGGAAGAAAAAAAGGAAGAAAGAGAGAGGAGGGAGAAAAACAAACAAATAAAAAAGATAAATCTGATAACATTAGCTTACTACTAGGGAAAGAAAGTCTTATTCAAAAGCATATTCTTTAATCCTTAGCCAAAAGAAAACCATGCTACATTTATATTATGTAAACTATTTGATCTAAATGAAGTAATACCCCATTGTTATTTTGTAATTGTTCTTAATGCATTCATTAATGTACAATTACTGTGTTGTAATTCTATTAAAAGTTTGGATGAAATTTACCCTGCTGACCATGTCCTTTACCTAAAAATGCTAATGCAAACCTCAAGTTGAGGATTTTAATATATTGATCTATCAGCTGGCAAATTACAGGTTAACAAAATTGCACATCAAATAATTCACTGTATTACAAAGGCATATTCATTTGTACACAACTACTCTAAACATAAAGTGTCATCCTGTGGCTTCATTCATTCCATAAATATTTATTGAGTATTCTCTGTGTTGCAGGGATTGCTCTGAATGCTGGGGACATGGTAGTAAACAAGGCACAGCTTTTGTAGGTAGAACATCCTACCTTTCTTCATTCAAAGAAAATGGTTTGCTTTCTGAAGTAAGAGTGATTCCTTAATGGCACAAATAAATTCATGTTAGGGTTAACAATCAAACGTTTTTCTAATAGTTTCTCATAGCATTTTGTTCCTCGTAATTAAGGCTTACAATAAATAATATCCTTGACTGATTTATTATCTAATCCCTCTGCCTATAATTACTGATGGTTAGTTTGGAACACGTTAAAGGAAAAAATAAATATTAAAGTCTCCTAACACTCTATTAAGAACTTTAAAAATACAATATATAATATATAGTTTAGTAAGGAATAAAGAGAAATTACACTACCTAATTTAATCCTTTTTCTGAACTCTTATAAACTTGAATCCTCATTGAATTTACCATTTCCTAATATAATAAAACCCTGTGTCTATAACATTCCCTGACTCAGTAAATGGCAGCTCAATTTTTTCAGTAGCTCAGAGCAAAAACCTTGAAGTTATCCTTAATTTTTCTTTTTCTCTTATACCTGATCTCTGACTACTCAGGAGAATCTGTTGACTTCGCTTTAAGAATAATTAATGTTTATTGTGTGCCAGCAATTGTTAGGAAACCTGTACGTTCATACTAACTATTTTAATTCCTGCATAATCCTATGGATTGGGCACTTCATCATCCCCATTTTACAGATGAGAAAATTAAGATACAAAGATGTTAAGTAACTGCTCCAAGGTCACAAGTTATCAAATAGAGGTGCCAGAATTCAATCTGGGCAGTTTTAGGACAAGTCCATGCTCTCACTGTGACGGTGGCCAAGATGAACAAAACATTGCCTTCAGCTTGACTAAACCTCAAGGAGGTTTTTGCTTGATTATAGCCCCCGGTCTTCTTTTTCTTAGAATATTCACTTTATAAAACTTGTAATTGCTAATTTTTTCTCTGCCCCTTTGAAATGTTAATAAATCTTCTCCCAGACAATTGCTAATTTTACAACCCAGGAATATCTTTCTCAGGGAATTGGGAGCCATCCTTTTGAAATGTAACCATCAAAGGAGATAGTGCCCCTGTTCCCCAGACTGTAGTGGAGGGCAGGAGCTGAATTAGCAAATACAGATGATCTAGCCACATTGACCAACCTCTCCCCATAACACCCTCCAGCACTTTTCCACTAGCTAATTCCAGGGCTTAAAAATTATTTCACCTTTTGTTTCAGTGGAATTAAGTTCAATCTTTTTTCCCTATTGCAACAGTTTTGAATAAAGTCTTCCTTGTCTGTTTAATTTATTTGGCGAAATTTTTTCTTTGATAACCGGTATGCTGTAATTTCAAAATATAATCTGAATGTAAATATTCCTTGCCATTTTAGGAACCAAGGCCCTTGGGACCCCAAAGTTTCACTTAAGTATTAACTTGTAAAAGGCCGATTAACTGGAGAAAAGTCTACAAATATATGTAACATGTATACATGGAAAACTCCAGAATGAAGACACAACTCCCCAATGAGGTATACAAGTTTATATGCCATCCTGAGTTTGGAGAAAGAATGGGGGCTTGTATCCTGACAAAACAGGTTGTGGGAGGTGGGGAGAAGAGAAATTCTGTTAATGAGCAATAAATGATTACTAGGGAGAATGAATGAATGGAGAACATAGCTTAACTGGTAAATAGTTCTCTCTGGAATTTGAATGAGTCTGAGAGACAGACATTATCTTGTAAAAGGGTCTTTTCAGGTATGGTTATGTTCTTGGTCTTTTCTGCAATGGATCAGAAGATAAGATTGAGGGAAATAAAAAGAATTGTTCTCCTTGGTGGTCCAGACTTCAGGCAGAAAAAGGAACTTCAGAGAACAACTTCGTCCTAGGCTTTGGGAGAGATGGTGGGAGGTGGGGAAGGGCAGAGGGTCCATGAGGCTTCCTCAGCTCAGGATGTCAAAATGTCATATTTTGGGATATCAGTTCCTGAGCCCCAAACACCATCTGCACTGCTACCAACCTGATCTGAGCCACCATCATCAATCTTGGATACATATTCCTCCAAATCTTCTTTCTTCTCTTCAGTCTGTTTTCAATAGCTGCCAGAATTATCCTGATAAAATGAAAGTTGGTCATGTAATTCCTCTGCTCGAATATCTGTGATAGATTGAATTACAGTCTACAATAGTCAAGTCAGTCTCAGTATCCATACTCTTTGATGTATAACTTCATACCTTTCCCACTAGAAGTACACTGTGTGTTCCTGGTCCTTGACTTTGAACCAGGCCATGTGACTTGCATTAGCCAATGAGATGTTAGTGGATGCAACACTAGTTAGAAGCTTTAACTACCTTTGTAAATTTGCACTTGCTGCTATCTACATCTAGCATTGCTGTGAAAAGAACATAGTCAGAGTAGCCCATGGGTCCAGGAAGTAGAAGAGATACATAGAATAAATCGGGACCCAATCTTTATCTTGAAAGAAGCTCATCTGGGCCCAGCTTAATTCCGCTGACAACCAGCCACACAAAGATGCATGAGTAAGAACCAACAATTGTTGCTTTAAGCAATCAGTTTTAGGGATGATTTATTACACTGAATTATTATGACAGTAGGTGACTGATAAACTCAACAATGCCCCATTCCTGTTTTTCCCAGAGTAAGATGGTCTCTAATGTTTTACATCTTGTCCTGCTACCTCTCTAACCTTATCTCCTATTTGTGTCTCTTTTACTTGCTTCATCTATCAACACTGATAACTATGCTTCTACTCAAACAGCTGCTTCTGTCTTGGGGCTTTGCATTTGTTATTCTCTGTGCTTGGAATTCTCTTCTTCCAAGTATCTGCACAACTCTCTCCCTCAAATTCTTTTCATTTTTATTCTAGTATTAATTATCACTGCATCCTCTCCTCTCCAGACTATATAAGAATTTACATCTCCACGAAACATTTGTTTCCCCTTTCTTACTTCTTTCATTCTTCATTATTTATTACTATCTAGCACACTTGCTGCTTTGATTCTTGACTTTCCCTCCTGCCCCATTAGAAGGTAAGGTCTGTGACTGAAGGTCTATTTGTCCATTATTATATCTCCAGTACCTAGAGCAGTAGGTGGTCAATAAGTATTAGTTATATGTGGGAATGTTTTTCCTTTCTGAATGGACCCAAGACTAAACACAAAATTTATTTATATTTCATATAGTCCTTATATAAATAGTCTGAAGGTAATCTTATACAATATTTTAAACAATTTTGTGCATGAAAGAAAGTTTTGACTGTGTTTTAACTGCAACCTGTCACATGAGTCCAGGTGTAGATTTTTCCACTCATGGTATCATGTCAATGTTACTTGATACTTGTGATATCACGTCAATATTATACTTTTTGATTCTGGAGCATTTCAGATTTTCAGATAAGGAATGCTCAATCTGTATAAGTGAATTTACGTACATTTCTTATTAATCTTCTTAATGACACAATGAAAGGTAGCTGTATTTTTATTTTATTGATGAGATAGACTCGGAGAGATTAAGAAAAAGCACAAAGATTGCAGGACTAAGATGTTGAGCCGATATTTGAACCTGAAACGGCCTCATTGTCTGGAATGACACCCAAGGTTTGTAGTCCCATGACCACAGAGAACAAGGACATATACACACAAAGAGTGAGGTTGAGAGCAGAAGTTTAATAAGCTAAAGAAAGAGAATAGCTCTCTGCTGCAGAGAGAGGTCCTGGAAAAATAGGTTGCTGGATCTGTGATGAAATGCAGGGGCTTTTATAGATGAGCTGGTGGGGAGGCAGTGTCTGATTTATATAGCACACAAAAGACTGGTTAGACCAGTTGTGCCATTTGCATAGGGTGCAAATCTCTGGTAGCCCCCAACCTAATCTTTTATTATGCAGGTGGGTTTTCTGTTTGAGCTGGGCCATGTTGCCCATTCCTTTATTACTGTATACATGGTAACAAAAAAAGAGACGATAGAGCCTCCACGTTGGACATGCCTGGCCCCAAGGTAGCCCTTTTCTATTGGTACAACTGCCGACATTCCCCTATACAAGCTTCCAGCTTGCTTATCTATGTTTGCAGCTCAATTTTCAGGCTGCTCTTTGTTAGAAAAGAAATTATTTGGGGGGATGCTTTTTGTTAGAAGGGAAATTCTGCCAAGAACTCTGTTGCCCTCACTCTCTGCCTAAATAATTTATTTCTACCTCCTGTATCAAACCCAGAGAATTATGATTTCAGTGTGTGTGTGTGTGTGTGTGTGTGTGTGTGTGTGTGTGTGTGTGTGTTTTCCCCACTATGCCACAATTGTTCTAATCAGGTCACATTCAACAATTGGCTTTTCTCTTCCTCTGTCATGCAGTTGTATTATTTGGTTGCACATTTGTATGATTTGGTTTCTTCTGTCAGACTATAACAACCCTTGAGGACATGAAATGCGTCTTCTTTATCTCTCCATTTCTCTTTACTACACTCAAAGGAGCGAGCATGATGTTTCATAAAGTAGACACATTCAGTTATCATTTATCCAGGAATAAATGTATTTTATGGCATATAGGTAAATATTTTGAAGATATAACATGTTATATACCTCTTGATTTGTCTCGATGGGAATTATTGTTCTTAAGACTTCAGGAATTAAAATCAGTAGCAAACACAGCATCTTTTTCTTGCACGCTGGCCAAAAGTCACCACAAATAAACATCATTTTTTTCTTTGCTCTTGTTTTATTACTCTGGTATTTTGTTTTGTTTTGCTTTAACTTTCCAGGAGTGTTGAGTCAGTAGGCTGGTGGCTCTATGCTGTAGTGCAGTCCCTCGGTAAGTAAGCAACTGAATGAATTTATCACTAGGTATTAAAGTAGTCCACCAGACAGAGAAACTTAATAAATACAAAGTGCACCAATAAGCACATATTCCTATTTATCATGAACTCAATATTATTGGTTAGATCATTATTAATAGGTGACCTTAATTATCAAATTTATTGACATTTTGAACTTTGGAAAAAATATTGCATTGCATTTAGATTGTAGAATCTATGAACTAGACCCGGAAATGTATTCTCATTGCTCTGACTTTTCTTCTTCTATTCCCTCCAAACATCCAAATTTACTTTGGCATCTTCAGAATGTCTGGCAAGACTATAGCACTTAAAAATGAATGCTTCATCTTGGATAATTCATTTTGGATGTTGGACTTTGCTTGCTGCAAAGAAGCTTTTTAAAGTGTCTTACATATCTATCTTGTACAGATAACTGTAATATGGGAAAGTATTGAAAGTGAATGTTTTAAAGAAATAATACCTTTTTTTGAACAAGTCAAATTGTCTGTCCTTGAGGCTTTTTATCCATATGGCATGTCAAAACACTTCAATATCAATTGACCTTTCAAAGTTCGTAGTTATGCTCTTTTAGGAAGCTTTTGAAATTATGTAATACCCTGTACTACATTTTACCTTTTGTGCTTGCAAATTATGTGTTTATTGCACTTTTTTTCCTTTTATCTGTTTCAAATTGTATAGTGAGATATTAAAAAAATGTAACCATTTGAAGAAAAAAATTCAAAAGATGTCAGTTATTTGGAAGGAAAAGTAAAGAGATATGTTTTTAAAAATTTTTTTCTGGTCAATTTTCTCTAACTTCTTATTTATCTATTTAAGGGAGGATTAGAGTCTTTATTGAGAAAGGTAATATCTGGACATCCGAGCAATAATATTCTCTACAAAATGTTTTATTACTGTAGATGAATTCAGGTGGAGGATACTCCGCTGTGTTTGAGATATGCTAAATTAATTGCACACCAATTAATCTGTGATTTGGAGAAATCATTATTAGTTACAACACATTGCTTCTTCGATGAGAAGAATATGTGTGTGACATTTGCTGTCTGTATATCTCAGTAAGGACATGCATCATTGTACATTTGGCAGAACCTGGAAGAAATGATACATTTTAAAGCACTTCTATAATGGGACACTATAAATGTCTTCAGGTGCCTGTCTTTAGAAATTCTACCTGCTTACTCTAGCTGATTTCTTTGCATATAGCACCCCCTGCTTTCAGTAAATGAAAAATATGTACAACAGAACTTCAGTGAAGCTTTGTTTATGTAATAATTCTGATTTTTATTTCATATCTCCTGTGCGAAACATAAGCTGAAAGAAAAGGAGAGTTAAAGTGCTGACAATAAAGGTGATACACAGAGAACTCCCAGAGATTAAAACAAACAGGGGAAAAGGAAGAGGCCTACAACAAGGTTATGCATGCTTTGTGTGTCTTCATTGAACTAAACTGGTTGGCATGTAGCTGGTTAGGTAAATCTAAAATGTGATCACTGGAAAAATTGGCTGAATGCAGAATTCAATCATGGTGCCTCTTTGCAGCCTTGCATGTCATCATATTCACTCACTGAAATGATAGCCTTTGTTCCCCTGTCCAACCCAGAGTGACAGACAGCTGCAATTAGTAGCTGTGGGTGAAAGAATATGGGATTAAAAAATCAATGATTCCAGAAAAGAAGATTGGTGCTGACACTTTCTTTAATGTCAGGGGACCTGCAAAAGTGGAGCAATATGTGAGAAGGCTATGATCTTACTTTTGATTTTCTTTAAAGGCAGATTTTACAATGACTCTAAAAGGGAGGAAAATAAAAGTGTACAAAGAGAGAGAAAAGTTGAATAAAGGAGATAGACACTGGGGTAATTGTATATTTATCTAGGTGGTAGGCAAAGTTCTACCTGTATTCTTCCCACCTTCAACAATTTGAGTGGTATTGATTGTTCTCTTTTTGTCCTTAGCCCAAGTTAAGGGACACTAGAGAGCTAGGACAGCATAGTTGGGGGATGTGGTTGGACATAGCAGAGGGACACAGTATATGGCCTCCTGTTCATTGCCCATCTTGTGTAATTATCTTACTAGGCTTCTCCTGAGCAGGACACATAGAGGATAATATGTCAAATATGGAGGCAAGAAGCAGGTGGTAAATAGGTAATAAATGTAGCAAAGAAAAAGACAGAATGAAGAAAAAAATAGGGTTAGAGATGTAAGAAGAAACAGAGAAAAGATGAAGTAAGTATTTGAGACACAAAGGAACTGCACGTTTGCAGAAAGTGCAGTGCTTTAAGAGCAAAGCTTTCGGGATGAATGCTTTCACAATCAGCGTGGCTTTCTCAGTGATATTCAGTCATTAGCTCTGCTTGGCAGTATCAAGCAGCCATATGTAAAACAATGAGTCCAGATAGAAATTATATTTTTGTTTGACATCATTGCTAGCAAGAAATTGTCAAAGGGAAACCAAAAAAAGTGCATGTAATCATCATTCTTGAATTCTTTTCTGCAGTGCTGGTTGCTTAACAGTTTCAAAGCAGTTCACAATGATAATTCTTCAAACTTGTTTTCCTCCCTCTTCCATTTTAACATCTTTCCACTAAATTAGTTTATTCAATTGCCTTATTAAATGCTGTTCCTTCAGAATCCTTATGAAAGCCCACACAAATACTTCATGGAAAGCTCCCTTTTTGTTCTACAATATACCTGAAACTCAGGTACAATGAGTTCTTGCACCTATCATTCTGAATCACAGTCATTCATTTTACTAATAGTGAGTTCTCAAGGATAATGTCTGTCTTATTCTGCGTTTTGTCCTTATGACTGGGATACAGTAAGCATTTAATCTGTACAGTTTCCTTTCTCAATATTAGGCAACACTCTCAATTACTAAACTCCTAAAAACAACCTAAGAAAAGATTCCGTTCAATGTTTTAGGTTGCCCCCATGTTCCTCTGGCTTTTTTCCTCCCTACTTCTCTACTGTGACTTGCCATCTTATAGGCCATTATCTTATATTTTCACCATGGCCAGGTAAGAAATGAATTAAATTTTAACTGTGATGAACTGCTAGTGATAGAATAAAAGGTCATTTTAAAGTTAAATGCTAACGTCTTTTCTTATGATTGGGCACATTGGGTTGGCTAAATTTTTATCTAAGATGTTTATCATTATTAGTTATTTGGAAACAATGCATAGCTATTCATTCTGCAATCGATGAGACAGTAAATCTTTTAATGAAAAGGCTTCAAGCCTAACCAATAAAAAGATACTTAGCTTGAACTCCATTAGCAGTAATGAATGTGTTATTTGACACATGCAACTTTCAAAAACATACTCATATTTCACAAACCAAAGAGTTCTACACATTGGTTACAGAGAATGAAATGTATTGCCTGCCAGTTTAACCTATGGAGACAAAATAAAAATTACCTTTACTTTTTAGTCTGTTGAAAGAATGTGGATCCTATTTATTTACTTTTAAAATATTATAATTATTTATCAATTTATATTAGCATTTCTAAATGTTAATTTTAGCTAATATTAATTATCTGCCTGTGTTCGCTAGAGGAAGAGCTGTGTGTTTTGAAACAGAGTTTTAGGAATAGGAAGCGACCTGTTCAAGGACATATACCAGTCATACTTGGTCACACTTCCTTTCTTGGCAGAATTTAAAGCTTGATTTCAAAGCCAATACTTTACTGTATTTGTGAGCATGGTTTCTTCTTTGTGGGGTATAAAATGTGCTTATAAAGTTCTAAGGCAAGAACTCAAATACTAGTGCTGAACATGAAGGGGCATTAGACAAGAGAGTGGGTCACGGTGAGGGAGCATGAGAGATGTGAATCTACCTTAGTGGTGACAGAAACTGAGAGAGGGGAGGAGGTTGCTCACAATCTGTGTGGAGAGAAATAAGAGGGTTATGATAACATTCTGAGTTCTCGCATGCTTTTGGAGCATGCAAAGGAACAATGGACTTTGACTAGATCCAGATGAATAGGCTGAGGAAATTAATGACTAAAAACTAAAATTACTATTTGTATTTGTCTGTGTGGCATTGCTACGAAGGAAATACCTGAGACAGGGTAATTTATAAAGAAAAGATCCTTATTTAGCTTATGGTTCTGCAGGCTGTACAAGAAGCATGGTGCCAGCATCTGCTTCTGGTGAGGGCTTCAGGAAGCTTTCAGTCATGGTGGAAGGGGAGGGGAAGCTAGCTTGTCGCATGGAAAGAGAGACAGAGAGCAGGAGAGAAAGGATGTGCCAGGCTTTTTAAAACAACCATCTCTCACAAGAATTAATAGAGCAAGAACTCACTCATTGACTCAGAGAAGGTGCTAAGCCATTAATGAGAGATTCACCCCCATAACCCAAGCATCTTTCACTAGGTCTCACCTCCAACACTGGGGGTCAAATTTCAACATGAGATTTGGAAGGGACAAATATTCAAACAATATCACTGTTCTATCAGATTGCAGCTAACATAGACATGACCACAAAATGGAAATTACAGTTTCACTCTCTTATTCCCTACACAGAAAATAATTGGTATATAAAAAGCAACCTATCTATGGTATAATATAGTTTATTTTCATTAGGGAGAATAGACAAGTTAAGGACAATTTTTTTTCCAGTTTTATTGGGGTATAATTAAGTGACAAATAAAAATTGTACATATTCAAGGTTCACAATGTGATAATTTGATATACATATACACATAAATTGTGAAATGAGTACCAACATGAAGTTAGTTAACACATCTGTAAACTCACATAGTTACCATTGTGTTTGTGTGTCAGGAACACTTAAGTTCTACTCTGCTAGCAATTTTCAAGTATATGATACTGTATTAACTGTAGTCTTTCCTATCTGTGTGGCTGTGGGGATGTCTTAGGCAAGCCCCCTGGGAAAGTTTCCTTATCTGTGCCTGCAACTAATGCTGTACATTAGATGCCCAGAACTTGTAACTGAAAGTTTGAACCATTTGACCAATATGTTCCTATTTCTCCCACATCTCAGGCCCGGCTACCAGCATTTTCCCTTTTGTTTTGAGAAGTTTGTCATTTTAGAGTCCACATATAATTAAGGTCCGATTAAGATGCTCTTGAGAGTTGACCAGCATGTGCTCCCAGTCCAAGGCTGGGCAAAGTTTCACTGGGCACCCCTGGTTCACCCAAGTGACAAGGAGATAGGTTACAGAAGTGTTGGGTGAGGGGAAATGATATTCAGATTTTCTTAATGTTTAGGAATTATTTTTTCTCTCCTAAGGCACCAGAAAATAATGCTCTGTACATTTCCTAAAGTCTGCAGAATTAGTAAAGGATTTCCTTTTCACCTCAAGTATAATTTGGATAGAAGCAGATCCATATATCTTTATAACTCTTTGCATACATACTGCTCAGTTCTCTACAGTGAGAAGCATCTTTTGAGATTAAGTCCCAAAGAAAACTACTAGCCAGCATTAACACCAGCAAAGTTGTTGTTGGTTGTGGGAGGTTCTTAACCTCTCTGTAATCAGTAGAAATTACTGTGTTCCATTCCCTCATATCTTCTGTGACTCACCACTGTCTTCTCTTCTGAAACAAGCCTTTTCCCAGAAAACGAGGCATATTTTGCACAAAGATGCTGTGACTCCTTCTCTTTTATCTCTCTGAAGTTTGAGTAAGTAATGAAGGGAACTGTTACCATAGCTACAATACAAGTAAACACAGAGAACAGATTCAGTGCGGTAGAAAAGACAAGAACTCTGGGATGTGATGAACATGCACTCTTAGAGACTGTGATCATCAGGTGGGAGACCTGGGTCTCACCAGAATGTGCTCTGTGCTTTAGAAAAGCAGATTTCAAAAAGTTCAGAGAGAGGACTTCAGAATACAGGTGGCAGAGTAAAAATGCATCTAATCTCTTCCCTCTACAAACCCCGCTGAAACTACTATAAATGGATTGTTTTTAACTAGACATAAACCCGCAAGAATGGAGGGAACAGAGAGGAGGCAACAGCATCAAACGTTTAGATTCTGAAAAGCAGATATACAAGTTTGAACTGACCTATCAGGAAAGAACAAAACAAAGCAAAACAAAAGCAAAAAGCCAAATCCTAAATCAGCAATGACAAAAGCCAAGAGACAACACAATCCATACACAGAATTTCCAGGTGGTTCAGGAACGGGGGACATCAAACATCACAGAATAACTGGAAGGAAGAATTAAACTACAGAGAGTCAGTCAGAAGTTATTTAAGAAACTAGATGCCTAGAATTCTTTCCAACACCTTGACTAACTGACCACATGATTTTATCTCAGCAGACATTTGCACTTCATTCTCTGGAGACGCAAAAACAGAGGTTTTGTGGGCTATGAAAACCCTTAGTGACTGAGGGTGGGAATACCATCCCCAAACAGAAAAATAAACATGCAGACTGGATGCTGAATGCTGAGACCTCTTCCACCTCCTCTCTGACTTGCCTATTCCCTTATAGGGCTCAAAAAACATTGGCTGGCCATTACCCTTGTGACCCTGAAACTCAAAGACAGGTTTCAGTTAATTTAGAAAGTTTATTTTGCCAAGGTTGAGGATGTGTGCCCATGACATAGCCCCAGGAGGTTCTGATGACTTGTGCCCAAGATGGTTAGGGTGAGACAGGAGAAAGGAAGAAACGGATTAGGCAGATTCTTAAGACGAGTCCTTGGTTAAATTCTTTCAAACAAAAGAACAGCCTGAAAAATCAAGTTGCAGGCACAGATAAGGGAACTTTCCCAGGGGGCTTGCCTAAGACATCCCCACAGCCACACAGATAAGAAAGACTACATAAGAGACTTGCCCAGGCATGCCTGCAAGGGAAAATTCCACCCCTTGACACATGTGCAGTAAGGGTAACAAAACAACATGGAATAACTCAAACTAAGAGCCCGTGCATGAGGATGATGGGGTGGAACTACCAGAAATGCATGCCTTTTGCAAATGAGATGAGCAGCCCACTATTGATTTCTTATAAAAGCCTCTGTATCCAAACTGTGAATCGGCAACCCATTTTTCTGGGACCCCTCTCTGTAGCAGAGAGCTGTTCACTTTCTTTCACCTATTAAATTTCTGCTCTAAACCTCACCCTTTTGTGTCCATGTTCTTTATCTTTATGGCCGTGAGACAACGAACCTCGGGTGTCACCCCAGACGATGAGGCCACTTCAAGAGCACAGCTTGGTTTTATATGTTTTAGAGAGACATGAGACATCAGTCAATATATGTAAGATAAACACTGGTTCTGTCCAGAAAAGGCTGGACAACTTGAAGCAAAGGTGGGACAACTTGAAGCAGGGAGTGGGCTTCCAAGTCATAGGTAGATAAGAGATGAATAGTTGCATTCTTTTGAGTTTCTGATTGGCCTCTCCAAAGGAGGCAATCAGATACGCATTTATCTCTGAGCAGAGGGGTGACTTTGAATAGAATGGGAGGCAGGTTTGCTGTAAGCAGCTCCTAGCTTGACTATTCCCTTTAGCGTAGTGATTTTGGAGCCCCAAGATTTATTTTTCTTTCACAACCTGCAGGCAAGAGAACAGAATATTTTCTGTGAGAATCTAACAAGTTCAAGAAGAAATATTTAACCATACTTACCTTAACTTTTCTTCAACAAATGGCCCACCCATGTCGACAAATGGCCCCCAGTGATGTCTTTAGATATAAGAACAACCTACAGACTCAAAGTTGCCAATCAGCTTTTTAGTTCCTCATTGTTTAACAGGAGTTGATACTTAAGGATCACTGGATTTCTGACCAACATTTTTTAACATGTGATACAGAAACCAAGGTAAATGAAGAGATAAAGAATCTTAGAGGAAACAGACATGATGCAGGGAGAAAAAAAATTTTAATGTGTTATTACTTACCTCAGATATATAAAGATACTTTATCCAAGAAAGAAAAAATTGATATAATAGAGAATCATTCGGAGAAAAGAAAAAAAGATGAGCTCTTGCAATTAAAAAAATGAGAATAGAAATTGAAAATTGAAGAGCTACATGATAAAATTTGAGAAAGTCTCCTAGAATGTAAAGTGAAAAGGCAGAAAAGAAGAAAAGAAAATTCTCAAAGAAATAACTTGGGGAAATTTCCCTCATCTTGAGGATGTAATCTGCTACATTACGAGAATCCATGGAGGTCCCAGCATAAAGAAAGAAAGGCAGTTCATATTAAGGCACATCATTTTGATAATTCAGAGCAATGGTGTAGCATGGGGTATGTTACAAACACCCGGAGGTACAAGGTCAAAAACAAAAAGAAAGGAATCAAAATGGTTTCAAACTTTTTGAAACCAAAGGTGAGTGAGAGAAGACAATTGAAAAGTACATCCAAAATATTGATAGAAAATGATTTTTAGTATAGAGCTCTATGCCTAAGCCATCAAATAAATCAGAGAGTAGAATAAAGACATTTTCATATATATATATATAATTTCAAAATATTTATCTCCCTTTGTCAAAAAACTGTTAGAAGATATGCTCCACAAAAAGATGGAGTAAACCAATATTGAGAAAAATACTGGATAATCAGAAAACAGGAGCATAGAACCTGGGAAGAAATTAAAGTATCCTCCTCAAGGGTGATGTCAAGGCAATTGAAGAATGACAAGTGGGAACTTGGCAAAGAGAGCTTGGTGTTAAGCGGTTTGACTCAAGGTAAATATATTAAGGTCATCAACACCATGTCTCTGCTCTTTCTCTGCTTTATTCTTTGGATGAAGCCATAAGTGAATGTGGTCCAATGACGGAGTGAGAAAGAAAGAGATATAATAAAGACATATACATAAGATCTATCAAATGGCAGAAATATATACACCAACTAAGAGAAAAACAAAAAGAGTTTTTACAATTACAGCAAGGAGAGTCCCAGAAAGAGAGTTGTTCACTAAGACTAGAGAATAGACAGTCCAAATAGAAGAAGAAGACTCCAGGAGAAATGGCTCCAAAAATACTTTGAAACTGTCAGATTACAGATCATAATATTTGAGAAGTTATGCTGAGAGGCTATTGGAAGTTGTGGAAAAAATTAGCAATAGGTACAAAACTATATACATTTATTTTAAAAAAGGTAATCATTAACTTTAGAAGAAAGTGAAAAATAAGTAATAATAGTACACAATATTCAGTGTGATTTCATATTCATAACACAGTAAATTAAAACTTAGTATTGATTCAAATAAAAACTGTCACTCAGCAACACTAAAAAGAAGGCAGAAGGAAATAAAAAAGGGATGGCAGCGTTAGAGAATTAAATCCTTCTGTACCAAAATAAGAAGACAACGTTTAATGTCTAAAATAGATAAATAAAGAATACTTGTCAATTCTTATTAATAAAAATTATTTAATGATGCCTAAATGCTGAATTGAACAGCTAACAGGGTCCAGAGTTGTCACTTCTGCAGAGAGGACTCTAAGGACTAAGAGGGTACTGGGCATGAAACCACTGTTGTTGAAGTGAACAGAAGTGTATGCTGGTGCCAACTCATACCAGCTCCCCTGGACCAATTGTTCTCATCTCTTTCCTATGCCCTGTTCAGTGCTGTAGTGCTGGCCATCTGAGCTTGATCATAGTGGGAGCATTTATGTCAAGGAATTTAAGAAATGCTACCCTTCTGTATTTTTCCCCACCCTTGGAGAACTGGTTATAAGAAACATCTACTACTACTGCTACTACTACTACTGCTACTGTTCGTTGGCTATATGTCTACTTTGCTTTTTTTCATAACTTCATATAATATGTGTAGCTCAATCAATAATAAAAAATAAATAATTTTATAATAATACATCATTAAAACATTCCAGGAAATACTTTTATGATCCTATGTTCTATGAGTCTTAAGAATATTGATAAGTCAGGAATACCTGAAGGCTGTAAAAGTTATGCTAATATAATCACAAATTATTCCAGTGAAGAAGAAAAAAGAAGGCACTTAAATTAATGCAAATGAGAGAGAGCTTTATGATAAACTCAGAATGTTTAATTGTCTATACAAATGTTGGAAAGAGGGCTGTAAGATCAAGTATGATTACACAAAAGGGCCACAATGTCAAGAGAAATGAACATGCTTAAAATCAACTCAGACTTATTTAAAAATTTAAGGATAACACAAATCTTTTTAAAGCTATTTATGAACTAGGAAAGTAAATAAACAAAAGAAGAGTAGGATGTCTTTTTTGAAAAGATAATTAGTGTGAGCATATGATAGAGAAAAGAGCAAAACTATTCAGCTCCTCCTTTACTACGGTATAATCTTTATCAAGGAAAAGGTCAGAATCCCACTTTGGGAATGTTGAGCTAGTCTTGCAGAAGATAAGGAGATGAGACACTGTTATGTCCAGCCTGGCAACCTGAGAGCTAGGCATAGATGCTCCTATCCAAACTCGAAAATTAGTGTGTTGACTAAGATAAATGTCAGAGAAAATTTCCTCCTACCTTTCCACTGACCTTTCCTCCTTATTCAATTTCCTCTCTATAAATCCCAGATCATCTAGACTTTATTAGATGATCTGTTACATGGGTAATCCCCCTGAGCCAGCATCAACATTTTGGCAAGCATCCCATATTATGGGGATTCAGTAAGAAACCAAGAAAAAGATGAAATAATCAAAGAGTAAATAAGTATAATTCTGTTCCTAATTAATAAACAGGAGATATAAGAGCCTGAGGCAACAGTAAAGATGAATTATTGAAAACAGCTGTTTTGATTCCAGAAAGCCAATGCTTAAATTAACGAACCTCCAATATATCCCTAATTCTGATTGCATGACTTTAACATTTAACACTTTAACAATATTTAATTCACATTTATCTCTTTTCTCTTTGATAATCCACATCTAGAGAGAATTTCAGTATAATAATCAATGTTGGTGGAAAATTATCTGATGGTGATGGTATTCTGTTTTTTTCCAAAAATAATATTTGAAACTACTGTCTTCCTACGTAATGAAATAAATAAAGAAACATGCCAAAAGACATGGAATACAGAAAATGATCTCTTGTCTTTACAGTTTAAGTCAATTACATATGAATTCCAAAGGTGTTCTTGTGAAACTGAAGAAGTCTTACTTTTCTGTCTCCTGCAGTTCTATGAAGACATTTTACAATTAGGAAACATCAGTGCTAAAACAGATAAGACACATTCCCATTTAAAAAAAAAAAAACATTTTTGTGTATATTGCTTTTTGTCACTGAACCATTTAAAATTTTTGTTGATTTGCCTACAAATAATTTATACAGTAATTCAAAACTTTTCACCACATTTTTCCTTACCAAAACTCCATGCTATAAAGAGGTAATTTACATTTCTAGCCACTTTGCTTGCCTTGGGTCTTCTGAAAGACAGCTGGTGAAGGATGGAGAATAGGCTCAAAGAAAGCTGAAGGAAGCTCTGGATACTAGTCACTATCATTCTTTGTCATAACTATATTAAGATATTTGTTATAAAAACAAAGGTCTTCATGAGAAAGGGAAGTAACAAGCCTGTTAAAGTCCTTTAAAATGCATCTGTTAAGTGTTTACCCCAAGCGTAATATTACTATAATCCCATGTCAAGCGACATGAGAATAAAACAGAAATATAAATCAATATTTCTTTCTTTCTTTCTTTCTTTCTTTTTGATGGATTCTCACTTTGTTGCCCAGGGTGGAGTGCAGTGGCACCATCTCGGCTCACAGCAACCTTTGCCTCCCGGGTTCAAGCAATTCTCCTGCCTCATCCTCCTGAGTGGCTGGGATTACAGGCGCATGCCACCACACCTGGCTAGTTTTTGTATTTTTAGTGGAGACAGGGTTTCACCATGCTGGCCAGCTGATCTCAAACTCCTGACCTCAAGTGATCCACCACCGTTGACCTCCCAAAGTGCTGGGATTACAGGCGTGAGCCACCACGCCTGGCCCAGACTTTTCTTTCAAGGAGCTCAAAAGCTAGGTCAAATTTCTTCAAGTATTGGGAAACTGTTATGATTATACAATATGAATAAGTGTAAGGGAGAGGAAATAAAAGGAAAAAGAATCTTAAGTACTTGTTTGTGCTTAAAGAGAACCAATTGTCAAGTTTGACCAACCTGAATTTAATCACTCCTATGGGTCACTCCCCACTAATTCCAGTCTTTTAGGATAGTAAGAATATTTTCTGTAGATGAAATGACTTCATCTTTCTTAGCAACACAGGTACCTTATTTCATGTTTTTGGAAACATTCAGTTCATTAAGGAGGAGACAAAGACAAATATCACTGGCCTGAAATTGTTAGTTCAAAATCATATGGTGTGAAATTAAAAACATGCATTGACTGAAAATTGTAAATATGCCAACTATTGAATGGAAAATACTATTTGTCTTTAAAATAGTAGTTTCTGCTAACTTAATGGGGCATTAGAAAATGATGTCACAACTGTCTAAAATGTCATATTATAGGTCTGTGTTTCTGTTATAAATGTTATAGGTTATATGGAGACTAAGCAATGTTTTATGAGAAATCTCATGGTACAGATGGGAAACCAATACAGTATAAGCTGTAGTTTAGAGAGGAAGCAGACTGTGGGGAGAAAACAAAGACTTTTGAGTGAGAAATGGGTGGTCAATATGCTAGTCTCATATATTACTAGCTGTATAAATTTTATCAATGTGGTCAACTTTTCTAAATCTCAGATTTCTTATCCATAAAACAGGACAATTACCTCTGAATCACATGTGACTTTTGGTGAGAATGAAGCCACCAGTGGAGCACCTGACATTGTGTCCAGAACACAGTAGAGACTTGTGTTAGCTCCCCTTCCTAACTTAATAACAGGGACTTTTTGATCTTGAATATAACAATACAGATATGCATATTGTACTTCTCTATGAACACCAATAATTTTTATCTATTTCCAATTAATTGTGTTTGCAATGGAATGGGGCTAAAATTGGACAGAATGCAAATGCACTTGAAAATTTTTCAATTAAAACGGTACTCCTTCAAGAGAAATACAAATTACTTTGTATCCAGTCTAGTCATATATAATATGTGGCAATTTTATATCATTCACTTTATATTATTCATTTTAATCTATACTTTTTTTGAGACAGTCTCACTCTGTCACTCCAGCTTGAGTGCAGTGGTGCAATCACAACTTACTGCAATCTTGACCTCCCAGACTCAAGTGATCCTCCCACTTCAACCTCCCAAGTAGCTAGGACTACAAGCAGGCACCACCACACCTGGCTAATTTTTTTATTTTGGTAAAGACAAGGTCTCACTATGTTGCCCAGGCTGCTCTTGAACTCCTGGGATCAAGGAATGCTCCCTCCTTGGCTTCCCAAAGTGCTGGGATTACAGGTGTGAGCCACCATGTCTGGCCTGACATTATTTTCTAACTTACGTACTTTATTTCTACAAATAATAATTTATTTATCTTTCTGGTGATTGTTTGGGTTTATTAAAACCATGAACCTTTACAGAAAAAAATCCATACATTTGCATTTTCAAAAATGTTACAATAGTTAACATTTTAAAATTCTTGCTATATATCTGGCTGTGTTGGGCAGAATAATGGCCCCAACAAAAATGCCCAAGTCCTAATCTCTGTCACTTGTTATGTTGCATGGCAATAGGAAATTAATGTTGCCAATTACCTGACCTTAACATAGGAAGATTTTCCTGGATGATCTGGGTGGATGCAACATAATCATTACAAGTGTCTTTTATTATTATTATTATTATTATACTTTAAGTTTTGGGTAAATGTACAGAACGTGAAGGTTTTTTACATAGGTATACATGTGCCATGGTGGTTTGCTGCACCCATCAACCTGTCATCTACATTAGGTATTTTTCCTAATGTTATCCCTCCTCTAGCCCCCCACCACCCAACAGGCCCAGGTATGTGATATTCCCCTCCCTGTGTCCATGTGTTCTCATTATTCAGCTCCCAATTATGTGTGAGAACATGCGGTGTTTGGTTTTCTGTTATTGTGCTAGTTTGCTGAGAATGATGGTTTCCATTTTTATCCATGTCCCTGAAAAGGACATGAACTCATCCTTTTTTATGGCTGCATAGTATTTTATGGTGTATATGTGCCATATTTTCTTTATCCAGTCTATCACTGATAGGTATTTGGATTGATTTCAAGTCATTGCTACTGTGAACAGTGCCGCAATAAACATATGCGTGCATGTGTCTTTATAGTAGAATGATCTATAATCCTTTAAGTATATACTCAGTAATAGGATTGCTGGGTCAAATGGTATTTCTAATTCTAGATCCTTGAGGAATCGCCACACTGTCTTCCACAATGGTTGAACTGATTTATACTCCCACCAACAGTGTAAAAGCATTCCTACTTTTCCACATCCTCTCCAGCATCTGTTATTTCCTGACTTTTTAATGATCTCCATTCTAACTGGCATGAGATGGTATCTCATTGTGGTATTGATTTGCATTTCTCTAATGACCAGTGATGATGATGATGTTTGTTGGCTGCATACATGTCTTCTTTGGAGAAGTGTCTGTTCACATCCTTCACCCACTTTTTGATGGATTGTTTGTTTTTTCTTGTAAATTTGTTTAAGTTCTTTGTAGATTCTGCATACTAGCCCTTTGTCAGATGGATACACTGCAAACATTTTCTCCCATTTTGTAGGTTGGCTGTTCACTCTGATGATAGTTTCTTTTGCTGTGCAGAAGCTCTTTAGTTTAATTAGATCCCATTTGTCAATTTTGGCTTTTGTTGCCATTGCTTTTGGTGTTTTAGTCATGAAGTCTTTGCCCATGCCTATGTCCTGAATGGTATTGCCTAGGTTTTCTTCTAGGATTTTTATGGTTTCAGGTCTTGCATTTAAGTCTTTAATACATCTTGAGTTAATTTTTGTATAAGGTGTAAGGAAAGGATCCAGTTTCAGCTTTCTGCATATGGCTAGCCAATTTTCCCAACACCATTTATTCAATAGGGAATCATTTCCCCATTGCTTGTTTTTATCAGGTTTGTCAAAGATCAGGTGGTTATAGATGTGTGGTGTTATTTCTGAAGTCTCTTTTCTGTTCCATTGGTCTATATCTGTGTTTTGGTACCAGTACCATGCTGTTTTTGTTGCTGTAGCCTTGTAGTGTAGTTTGAAGTCAGGTAGCATGATGCCTCCAGCTTTGTTCTTTTTGCTTAGAATTGTCTTGGCTATGTGGGCTCTTTTTTGGTTCCATACGAATTTTAAAGTAGTTTTTTCCAATTCTGTGAAGAAAGTCATTGTTAGCTTGATGGGGATGACATTGAATCTATAAATTACTTTGGGCAGTATGGCCATTTTCATGATATTGATTCTTCCTTTCCATGAGCATGGAATGTTTTTCCCTTTGTGTCCTGTTTTATTTCCTTGAGCAGTGGTTTGTAGTTCTCTTTGAAGAGGTCCTTCACTTTCCATGTAAACTGTATTGCTAGGTATTTTATTCTCTTAGTAGCAATTGTGAATGGGAGTTCACTCATGTTTTGGCTCTCTGTTTGTCTGTTATTGGCGTATAGGAATGCTTGTGATATCTGCACATTGATTTTGTATCCTGAGACTTTGCTGAAGTTGCTTATCAGCTTAAGGAGATTTGTGGCTGAGACGATGGGGTTTTCTAAATATACAATCATGTCATCTGCAAACAGAGACAATTTGACTTCCTCTTTTCCTATTTGAATACCCTTTATTTTTTTCTCTTGCCTGATTGCCCTGGCCAGAACTTCCAATACTATGTTGAGTAGTAGTGGTGAGAGAGGGCATCCTTGTCTTGTGCCAGTTTTCAAGGGAATGCTTCCAGTTTTTGCCCATTCCGTATGATATTGGCTGTGGGCTTGTGATAAATAGCTCTTATTATTTTGAGATATGTTCTGTCAATACCTAGTTTATTGGCAGTTTTTAGCATGAAGGGGTGTTGAATTTTCTTGAAGGCCTTTTCTGTATGTATTGAGATAATCATATGGTTTTTGGCATTGGTTCTGTTTATGTGATGGAGTATGTTTATTGATTTGCGTATGTCAAAGCAGCCTTGCATCCCAGGGATGACTCTGACTTGATCGTAGTGGATAAGCTTTTTGATGTGCTGCTAGATTCGGTTTGCAAGTATTTTATTAAGGATTTTCACATCAATGTTCATCAGGAATATTGGCCTGAAATTTTCTTTTTTTGTTGTGTCTCTGCCAGGTTTTGGTATTAGGGTGATGCTCGCCACATAAAATGAGTTAGGGAGGATTCCCTCTTTTTCTATTGTTTGGAATAGTTTCAGAAGAAATGGTACCAGCTCCTCTTTGTACCTCTAGTAGAATTTGGCTGTGAATCCGTCTGGTCCTGGACTTTGTTTAGTTGGTAGGATATGAATTGCTGCCTCAATTTCAGAACTTGTTATTGGCCTATTCAGGGATTCGACTTCTTCCTGGTTTGGTCTTGGGGGGTGTATGTGTCCAGGAATTTATCCATTTCTTCTAGATTTTCTAGTTTACTTGCATAGACTTGTTTATAGTATTCTCTGATGGTAGTTTGTATTTCTGTGGGATTGGTGGTGATATCTTCTTATCATTTTTTATTGCATCTATTTGATTCTTCTCTCTTTTCTTCTTTATTAGTCTGGCTAGAGGTCTATCTATTTTGTTGATCTTTTCAAAAAACCAGCTCCTGTATTCATTGATTTCTTGAAGGGTTTTTCATGTCTCTATCCCCTTCAGTTCTGTTCTGATCTGAGTTATTTCTTGCCTTCTGCTAGCTTTCGAATTTGTTTGCTCCTGCTTCTCTACTTCTTTTAAACGTGATGTTAGGGTGTTGATTTTAGATCTTTCCTGCTTTCTCTTATGGGTATTTAGTGCTGTATATTTCCTTCTACAGACTGCTTTAAATGTGTCCCAGAGATTCTGGTACACAGTGTCTTTATTCTCATTGGTTTCAAAGAACATCTTTATTTATGCCTTTATTTCGTTATGTACCCAGTAGTCATTCAGGAGCAGGTTGTTCAGTTTCCATGTAGTTGTGAGGTTTTGAGTGAGTTTCTTAATCCTGAGTTCTAATTTGATTGCACTGTGGTCTGAGAGACTGTCATCTGATAGACTGTCATTTATGTTCTTCTCTGAACTGGTTATTCTAGTTAGCGATTCATCTAATCTTTTTTCAAGGTTCTTAGCTTCCTTGCATCGGGTTAGAACGTGCTCCTTTAGCTCAGAGGAGTTTGTTATTACCCACCTTCTGAAGCTTACTTCTGTCAGTTTGTGAAACTCATTCTCCGTCCAGTTTTGTTCCTTTGCTGGCAAGGAGTTGTGATCCTTTGGAGGAGAAGGGGTATTCTGGTTTTTGGAAGTTACAGCCTTTTTTCGCTGGTTTCTCCCCATCTTTGTGGATTTATTTACCTTTGGTCTTTGAAGTCGATGACCTTCGGATGGGGTCTCTGTGTGGACATCCTTTTTGTTGATGTTGATACTATTCCTTGCTGTTTGTTAGTTTTCCTTCTAACATTCAGGCCCCTCTGCTGCAGGTCTGGAGTTTGCTGGAGGCCCACTCCAGACCCTGTTTGCCTGGGTATTACCGACGGAGGCTGCAGAACAACAAAGATTGCTGCCTGTTCCTTCCTCCGGAAGCTTCGTCCCAGAGGGGCACTTGCCAAGTGGCAGCCAGAGCTCTCCTGTATGAGGTGTCTGTCGGCCCTTACTGCAAGTCATCTCCCAGTCAGGATACACGGGGTCAAGGACCCACTTTAGGAGGCAGTCTGTCCCTTATCAGAGCTCAAACACTGTGCTGGGGGATCTGCTACTGTCTTCAGAGCTGCCAGGCAGGGACGTTTAAGTTTGCTGAAGCTGCGTCCCCAATCACCCCTTCCCCCAACTGCTCTGTCCCAGGGAGGTGGGGGTTTTATTTCTAAGTCTCTGACTGGGGTTGCTGCCTTATTTTCAGAGATGCTCTGCCCAGAGAGGAGGGAATCTGGAGAGGCAGTCTGGACGCAGTGACCTTGCTGAGCTGCGGTGGTCTCTGCCCAGTTCAAACTTCCTGGCGGGTTTATTTACACTGTGAGGGTAAAACTGCCTGTTCAAGCCTCAGCAGTGGCTGACCCACCTCCCCCCATCAAGCTGGAGTGTCCCAGTTCGAGCTCAGACTGCTGTGCTAGCAGCAAGGATTTCAAGCCAGTGGATCTTAGCTTCCTGGGCTCCATAAGGGTGGGAACTGCCCAGCCAGACCACTTGGCTCCCTGGCTTCAGTCCCCTTTCCAGGAGAGTGAACAGTTCTGTCTTGCTGGCATTCCTGGAGCCACTGGGGTATGAAAAAAAACCTCCTGTGTCTATCTTGGTGTCTGCCCAAAGGGCCACCAAGTTTTGTGCTGGAAACTCAGGGCCCTTGTGCCATGGGCACTGGAGTGAATGTCCTGGTCTGTGGGTTGCAAAGACCGTGGGAAAAGTGCAGTGTCTGGGCCGGAGTGCATGGTACAATCCCTAATGGCTTCCCTTCGCTAGGAGGAGGAGTTCCCCGACCCCTTGCCCTTCCTGGGTGAGGCAACGCCCCACCCTGCTTTGGCTTGCCCTCCTTGGGCTGCACCCACTGTCCAATCAGTCCCAATGACATGAACCAGGTATCTCAGTTGGAAATGCAGAAATCACTCACCTTCTGTGTCAATCTTGCTGGGAGCTGCAGACCAGAGCTATTCCTATTCAGCCATCTTGCCAGCAATCCCCTGACAAGCATGTTTTAAATGTGGAGGAGGGAGGCAGAAGAGTCAGATATCAGAGAGACCAGACTACATACTGGTGGCTTTGAAGATGGAAGGGGGCCAAGAGTTAGGGAATGCTGCCACCTCTGGAAGTTGAAAAAGACAAGTAAACAGATTCTTCCAAGAGCTTCCAGCAAGGAACACAGTCCTGCTGACCCCTTGATTTTAGCCTAGTGAGACATATTTCAGGCTTCTGAAATACAACACTGTAAAATATTAAGTTTATGTTGTTTAGGCCACTACATTTGTGGTAATTTGTTATAGTAGTAATAGCAAACTAATATATAGACAGTCTTCTAAATATTTTACATGTATTGTCATTTAATTCATCATGATCTTATAATTTAGGTTCTTGTGATTATACTTTTTTCCTTTGTGTGGTTAGAAAAAACAAGGTAGATGCACGGGGAAGTCAAATAACTTGCTAAAGATGGCAAGGATTTTATCATAGGGCATTTAATTTTGGCATTCTGGCCAGAGGGCCTTAAACACTACAAATATTATCACTCTTAAATAAATACATTTTTGGATGCTCCATGTGAGCCCATTGATGTTTATCCATAAATGCTAGCAATCTTAAAAGTGTTACTTCCAATCATTAAAAGCAATATTTTATTCCTCACCTTAAACTTCCTTTTTGTGATTGAAGCACATCATGGGCATAGTAGGATGGGTTAGTGTAAAATAGTTTAAGAATAAATTAATTTCTCAGTAGAATAGCAATATATCAGCAATATTGGTGAAAATCCCAGAATTAGAGGAAAACAAATGTGTCTCTTGTGCTCTTCTTTTCCTTGCTTCTGTCTCTCTTTCTGGTCTTCTGTCTTTCTCTCTCTCTCTCTCTCTCAAACACACACACACACAGAACACACATATGCATGCACATATATTCTTTCAAGAGTAATTACTATGTAATCAAAACAAAGCAATGGCCTCCCCAAGTGAACAGGCCAGAGAGAAGTATAACATGAAAAGGCAGAGGGGAGTTCAGGTTGTGTCCATGGTGTCTGAGATGGTTGGCCAGCAAGGTGTATTGAATATACTTTCTGCCATTTTTCTCATCTCTCACCTAGCAGAATCTGCATCTATCATCAGACATTTGAATATTTTTGCTTCACTATGGACAATCTAAAGAAAACTAGGTAAAAAGAAATCATAAATGTTTATAAGAGCCTTTTAAAATAGCCATTTCTATTACAGGCATACTATGAAAATAAGAAAAAGTGTGAAGTAGAGACCATTTATTTTGTGCTCTCTCTCTTACCTTAGTGATGACTGACTTCTTACCTCTCTACTCTTTTGTTTGTTTGAGACGGAGTATTGCTCTGTCGCCCAGGCTGGAGTGCAGTGGTGCGATCTTGGCTCACTGCAATCTCTGCCTCCCGGGTTCAAGTAATTCTCCTGCCTTGGCCTTCTGAGTAGCTGGGATTACAGGTGTGTGCACCATGCTTGGCTAAATTTTTTTTATTTTTTATTTTTTAGTAGAGACAGAGTTTCGCCATGTTGACCATGCTGGTCTCAAACTCCTGACCTCAAGTGATCATGACCACCTTGGCCTCCCACAGTGCTGGAATTACAGGCATGAGCCACTGTGCCCAGCCTAAAAGTCTTCTTTCTTATTGCATGAAGTTTCATAATTGTTTAAATAAAATCTAAAAAAATTACTTCATCTATCTATCTAAATTTTATTGTAGTAATGAAAGAATGCATGCATTTTATTTGGAAATTATGCCGAAATAAAGAAATAAGAAATGGTTAATTGTACCAAAAATTAATGTTAAGTTATATGCCAGGCATTTGAATTCCCAAGTGATGGCAGAAATATCTTGCTACTAGTAAGCAAACCCAATTATTAATTCAATGACATCGCATGCTAAATGGAAACAATCACACTGTGCCCATGAACTGAGATGCCACCATCCCTCACTAGACAGAGACAATGCACTCCTCCTTTGCCTGGAAAAGCGTTTTCTTAAAATAATTTCTCCACACTGCGAATCAGTGACAGGTATTAACCAAGTCAGTTGGCAAACATCATTATTTTTTTACATAGGATGCTTCTACATGACAGTTTCATAATAACCTAAAAGTGCACATAATACCCAGTGCAAGCCCTACATTAAATTATTAAGTAGTGTATGCAGCATGTTTGTAATATTCTCCAGACTACTCATTCTTTTTGGCAGATCTTTTCTAAACCTGCACTGCCTTGTCATTTGTGCGCACACACACACTCACACACACAGACGCACCAACACACACATGCATATGCTCATGAACGATGTCTATTTTAAAATGTTTTTCAACTTCTAGCCTATGGAAAATTGCTCTCAGAAAAAAAAATCTAAATAACTAACACAGACTGTGTTATTCATAATATTTATAGCAGGATTAAATTTGTTATTTCTAGTGGTGTTTGTAGTTTGCCTTAAAAAAGAAAAAGTAGCTGGGAGGTCCCAAGGGAATAGATGTATCTTGGTGAGGTTTCAGAAATCAATTGGCAGGTGAGTACCTTTTTCTGTTAGGATCATTCTTCCCTGTAACTCAAGTCAAAACATTCTCTGTTTTTAAAGTAAACATACCTAAGCTGCATATGTAATATGAGCTCCATTGTTAGGCTCAAGATTCCAAATTTGTAGATTCTGAGCAAGACCAATTATCTGTAAACATGTTTAAAATATACCATATAATTACCAGATCACCAAGATTTTATAAAGATACCTCAAAGTCAACTAATAGTATCTGTAAGGCAGGTTTGGGGGGTATTGAATTGGCAATAACTATAACAAGGGTCAATTCCAGGCCAAGAATGCTTCCTAGATCATATCACAATACAAAGAGTGTATCTAGATCAAATAGTAACATTTTATACGCATTTACATTTAAAAATCACTTTTCTTAACACACAAAATATAATTATTTATTTACTGTAAAACGTTGGAAGATGGAAGATAAATCAAAATGACATACTTTTGCAATGTTTATTGTTTACTGATATTTTGAGGCCAAGATAAAGTAATCTTTTAGAGTAAATGCTATTTTAATTGTAAGCAGCAATTCTCATTTTCATGTGACAAAGAGTGTCCATATTAATTGGCTAGAGAATAATAAGTAGAAAAAATGCAGATCCACTTCTTTATTTTACATTTTTTAAGAAAAAAATAACTAAATTCTTATTAGACTATAGCTTATTAGGCTATAGCTATTTCTTTAAGGCTTCATTTTTTTCAGGCCAATGTTTTATGAGAGTCTACCAATGTACGCTTATCTTTGTAAAAATAGAAATTGATTTTCTAATATCAGTTGCTTACTCTAGAGAATAAACACATTCTAGATGGAAAATACCTGGAAATGCGTTTTTGTAATTCTTGGATTTTATTTTCCCCTTCACATATATTATAAATTTGAGGAACATATTGCAAAATGAGACTACAGCAAGAAGCCAACTCAAACTTACTCTTTGGAAATAATTTTTTTCTGAGAAAAATAATAATTATATGTATAATTATAAATTAGGAGATTCTTGATTTAACATGCTACGTTAAAGGCTTTAAGTTAAACAAAACTGAGAGATAAAATTAAACATAGAAAATGACTAGTAGTCCTTAAGTTCTTCCATGTGCCAATCGATTTGCTATGTACAAATTTAGCCCAACTACACTCTCTTAAAGATCACCAACTCCAACTATAAGCCTTCCTGAATATTCTTTATTAAAAATTGTGTAGCACTCTGGATTATTCCTGTCCTTTTTCAAGAATTTAGGAGAAACTATTTTTTTAAAATATAAGATGGATAGAGAAGAATCTGGAAACACAATTTAAAAATAATAAAATAAATTATCCAAAAATTAGAAATGAATAATTCAAGAAGAATTTATAGAAATATAGCATTTCATTATCCTAATATTAATTATCATTCAAGCAGATACAATCATTCCAAAACATGTAAACTAGCAGAGCCCATATTATTTTTCATAATAATTATTCTAAATGCCAATTTATAATAAAGAAACAATAATAATTAATTTATTGAACCAGTACTAAAGGCATTCCAAATACCTTTTTAAGAATAAAAGGTCATTTTTTATGAACATAAACTAATCATTCAGGTAAGCCAACTGAGCTAAAAATTGATCCAGTATTAGGTACTAACTTGCTGACAGATAGCAAATGGAAGTAAATCTGTAAAACTGAAAATAAGGTTATTTGGATGGATGGATAGATAGATAGATGATAGCTGTGTGCATGTGCGTGTGTGTGTTTGTGTGTGTGTATTTACTTATATGAGCTTAAATCAGATTTAAATTAATTTTACAATCAGTGGTCTTGGGTACTCTATTACCATTAAAAGTATCTTTAAAGGTCGGGTGCCGTGGCTCACGCCTGTAATCTCCCAGCGCTTTGGGAGACCGAAGTGGGTGGATAACCTGAGGTCAGGGGTTTGAGACAAGCCTGGCCAACGTGGCGAAACCCTGTTTCTACTAAAAATACAAAAATTAGCCAGGCATGGTGCTGTGCGCCTATAATCCCAGCTACTTGGGAGGCTGAGGCAGGAGAATTGCTTGAACCCGGGAGGCGGAGGTTGCAGTGAGCTGAGATAGCACCACTGTACTCCAGCCTGGGCATCAGAGTGATATTCCATCTCAAAAAAAAAAGTAGCTTTAAAATATCACCCTCCCCACCCTTAACTCCCATCACAAACCCACAAGGGTAAGTTAAATAATATTTATTGAATTTCTTTGAGCCAAACAATTAGTTACTTCATTTATTCCTCGAAGTCACCATAGTGTTCTTTACTATACTTTAGCAGCACTTATGGCAATTTTGCATGCAGATTACTTGTTTAAGATTAATGTTTTACTATATTGCAAAGCAGAAAGCAGACTAGCTTGAGTTTACCAACATATTTCAGTGCTTTGCAGTGTTCTATTCAAATAGTGCATTGAAAGAACAAAGAATAAAAACAGTACATATTAGCTTTGTAAAATGTCAGTAGTTAGAGGCATATTTTATTCCTGTCCATAGACAATATTTAAACGTGTCCTTAAATCCTGGATTATTTCTATTGTGCATGTAACTACATTGAAGAATAAATATGCAAAGTGCAGATAATAAACATCTAAAGATGAGAGAGCAAAGGGGGAAAGAAGTTTTGAACACGGTTAATGCTCTAACTAAAGTAACTAGGACATGATAAAAGCCCACCATGAAAATATATATAAATTTTTCTAAAATTATGTTCCTTGAATAAATTTGCATAATAATCACCTGAAAGGTAGGTGCCAAGGCTGACCCTAAGCCTACTGAATGAGAATCAAAATCTCTGAGGGATGAGGCTGGGGTGAAGCAGTGATCTACGTTGTAGGAGGTCCCCCTTTCTCGGTAAAAGCATTCATAAAGTAAGTTAACAAAAAATATACCATTTACATAATTTACAGTCTTTATATTTAATTTCTTAACTATCTGCATATGAATTTCTGTTCACGCGGTTTAACTACAGAATTTGGACCTGTTGAGGAGGTCACACACATGCTACCGTAATGACTGGGATACTGAACCTTTAGCTTGTCATCTTCTTAACTCTTAACTCAAAGGCAAGAATTGTTTGGCCAGGGACAAAGGAGCAGCTGCAATATTTGGATCTGCCTAACTGTATTTTCCCAAGTCTTTCAAATGTATGGATCTTCCTGGGCTGTAACCCCAAAGCATATTACAACCATGATTTTGAAAAGTCATTTAATGAAAACACTTTGATAAGCCATCAAAGCCTGATATTGTCTTTTACTAACATTTAGTGGAACACATTGCTACATACTAAGAAGTGATAGCTCAAAAGCCAATTGATGTCACAGACAGTGCTAAGGTGGTTCATAAATTTGAAATGACAACAGATGCTTTGAAAAGGAAAGCCTGCTGGATTTTGATTGAACATGCTAATTTTCAAAAGAATCATTCCCTAGCTTGATTTTATACAGTGCAACCTGTTAAGGCTATTTGGAAAGCACAGAGGCGGGTGATAAAATAATATTGAGCTCAATTATCCATTATCAGAGGAAGAGATGCCAGCATCCCTTTAGTCCCTTTGCAGGCTTATTTGAATACACAATACAAGAGGGGAGTGGTGAGATGACTCAGAGGACAAGCAGCTGTGTGCTCAGGGAGCTATCAGGGTGAATAAGTGACAAAATTTGGGGATCTATTCCTGCTAATTTGGTTTTGCTTCGAGATTAAAGCTTTAATTTCTACCACTCGAGAAAAGAGAGTTAAACAAACAGCCTCTGTCCTTAAGGCAAGATTAAATTGAATCCTTTATCATAAGAATCCATAGAGGCTGAGATTAAAAATTCTCATCAGTCAGTTAACTTTAGAAAATATTTAAGTGGAGGATTTCATGGCAGAGAAGTTTCTTTATAGCCAAGATTTCTTTAGCTGCAGAAAACTAAATATAGACATTCATGACTTGTTGGAGTGATTAACAAATTGGTGGCAGTCCTCAACCTCCCTCTGCTTAAGCATTTTAGAATTTCTCCTGAATAAATCACTGTGAAAGGATAGCCTTGTGTACCGACAACTGTGAAGCAAGGGTTGGCCCCCAAATATTCTCTAGTTGCCTGATATTTCTCCTATTTAATCTGGTTCTTTAAGGCTTTTCTAGGGATACATACTTTGTTAAGCTTTAGCTTTAGTCAGGGATGGGATTAGGATGAGGTGAATGAGGCAGTCACCTTGGAAACAAAATTAAGAGTGTGCCAGATAAGTCAGTATTAAATATAAATGATATTTGATGCAATAATTCAAAAAACCCCATAAACTTAATGCAAAAAAAGTCATAATGAACAATGATCAAAAGTTTCAATAAATACAAAATGATGTTTATTTTTTGACTCTGCATTACTCTGCAGCAGTAGTTGCTTCTATTCAGCCTGGCCACTTTTAGGCCCCAAAGCCACTGCATTCTCCTTGTCCCCCACATTCTCCAACAAGTGGACTTATAAAGATGGGCAAGGACAGGCAAGTGGAGGGTAAACCATAGCGATTAGATATCATTTTTTATGGTAAAGCTGTTTTTTTTTTAACTGCTTTGTTCAATATAAATTTACCCATAAATTAGAATATTTTGAAACATCATAGTTCTGCGGTCAGATTGATTCTCCTTTTCCCCCACTGGTTAATTTGTATTATGTTGTTTGTTTGAAATATGATTAACCACGCTTTTCATAAATCCAAAATGTGGAGTTTTGTGTTTTGAAGTGAGTAATCTTAATAGCCTGTTTGACTAGCAGTCAGAAAGTTTAGAAAAAAAAAATAAAGAATTTTATCTCTACTCTGGACCAAAAAATCCGGCTTAGACTGCTGCCTGTAGAGAAGCTAAAGAAAGATTTACTGGAAACATTTTTGGCTTTGAAAGCTCTTTTTAATGGGTAACCCAAATGCCATTTTACTATAGAGCATATAGACTTCTAACAGCAATAGCTGAGGTGTTCTGTCTAATTGGCTACTTAGATAACTGAGGTTACATATATCAATCAAGGTATCAGACATTTTGGAAGTGTATCAGTTGGAAAGTAACAATGAGAGAATTAAATAATTTTTGTAGTTTTCATTCTAAAAAGTATAATAGTAGAAATATAATCTCAGATATGTCATATACTTATTCTTCTGATTAATTTTAAAAATTTAACTTGTTTCCTGAAAAATTTCACCAATGCAAGAAAAATAATCAAGTGTTTTTTGTCCTTATTTTAATTCCTAAAGATTCTGTAATGAAAATATTTTATCTCATTCAATGTAAATATGTGAGGATATCTGCTTCTATTGGTGGTCAGTTTGAAAGCCTGTAATATTTTAGATGGCATGTATATCAAACATTTAGAGGTGACATACATTATGAAAACAAGGAGATTAATTTAAAGATATGGTTCTAAGACCATCTTTCTTCTCCTCCTTTTCCTCTTTCTTCTTTTTTCTTTAGAATTACTTTGTTTTTATTTGGTCCAACCTGAAAAGATGTATATCTAAGTCAATATAACAAGAGGATGCTCTGAAGATAGAAAAACCATTGGCTGGTCTCAAAACAGAACAAAGCCCACTGTTGAAGGAAAAAGATGTGAGGTAAAGTCATAGCTTTTTTTAAAAGCAAATGTAGGCAATCTTTTCATTAATTTAGTCATGCAGTGAGGACTCCTAAGGTACCCTTATGGCACACTTTGAGGAATAAATGGTTCAGCTTTAAAATGTATAATATAAAATTTGAGAACAAGATAATTTCCAACAACTTAAAGAAGCACTTTTTGAGAAGCCCTTTAGGGCATACCTCATTGTATTATATGTTATACACAAAAAATGCATAAATATCTTTAAGCAGAATGTAGTTTCTTCCCCTTCAAGAGGCTTTGGGAGGCTGAGGCAGGAGGATTGTTTGAGCTCAGGAGTTCAAGACCAGTCTGGGCAACTTAATGAGACCTCATGTCTACATAAAATAAGAAAATTAGTCTGGGTGTAGTGGCATGCACCTGTAGTCCCAGCTACTCAGGAGGTTGAGGCAGGAGGATCACTTGAGTCCAGGAGTTAAAGGCTGCAGAGAGCCGTGATCATGCCACTGCACTTCAGCCTGGGTGACAGAGCAAGACTGATAAAGTTTGGATGTGTTCCCCACCCAAATCTCAGGTTGAATTGTAATCCCCAGTGTTGGAGATAGGGCCTGGTGAGAGGTGACTGGGTCATGGGGGTGGATTTCTCTTAATTAGTTTAGCACCATCGTTTTGGTGCTGTCCTCACAAAGTGTGTGAGTTCTGGTGAGCTTGGCTGTTCAAAAGTGTGGCACCTTGCTCCCTTTCTCTCTCTTGGTCCTCCTCCAGCCATGTGACATGCCTGCTCCCGCTTCATCTTTCGCCATAATTGTAAGTTTCCTGAGGCCTCCCCAGCAGCCAAGCAGACACCAGCATCATGGTTCCTGTACAGCCTGCAGAACTGTGAGCCAATTAAACATCATGTCTTCATAAATTACCCTGTCTCAGGTATTTCTTTATAGAAATGTGAGAATTAACTAATATAAAGACTCTTTCTTAAAAATAAAAGTTTTCTGGTGATAAATAGAACACAGTGGACTATTTAGGGAGCATCACATGAAAAAATAAAATTGTTTTAAAATTTACTTGCCAATATTCTATATCATGCTCTTAAAGCCATTATGGTTTTTGTTGTTGTTGTTGTTGCTATACATGTTGGTTCATGTAAAATATAAAATATATGTATATTTTTGGAAGGCGTTTTAGGTCAATTTTTTTTCTTTCTCAGCAAATAGAAGTGATGGAAATGTGGCTGACGACAGACAAGCAAATTTTATAATGACTGGCAGTAGCAGGAGAGAAAAAGTAAGATAAATGGAAGTGGAAAGACTATATAAAGGAGAGAACTGACAGCATAGATTCTTTAACCCACAATTTTTTTAACTTCTTAATTTTATGTTTTTAATATACATGGTTCTTTCATATATACCATGTTATTGAAAATGAATGGCACGAACCTAGATTAACTCAAAAGAGCAAGAAATGTGAAACCAGAGGGGAAATTTGCAAATGTATCTTTTTAAAACAGGATTCTCTTCTTTTTGTGGCAATGTTATTTGAACACCTACTGCAGGCTAGATGTCAAGAGTCAAATCGTTCTTTTGTAAACATCTTCCTAAGTATCCCAGTGAATATATTCAAGAAAAAATAAAATAAAATAAACAATGTGTATAAATTCCTCTTTGTCCTTATATGAAGGGAAAGTCAAGTTTTCGTTATTTTGGCAGGGAAGTGTAATTTTTGTTTATACCATTAAAGGAAACTGTACCCCTACCATATCTCATTATCTCTCTCTCTCTCATGTACACATAAAGACACACACACACACACACAACACACAATTTTAATAGAGTTAACTCATTACTTTGATCTCCAAGTTCATTCATATTTTTCTTACCTCATTAATAATAGGCCAATGTCTGTTATATGGTAAGGAGTGCTGAACTAGGCACTGGGGACACAGTACAGAATGAAACATTGCTATTACACTGAAAGATTTCTTAATCTCTTTAAGAGCAGGGATGTAGTATGTCTGAGTGGATGTATGCCTGTTACCATTGACTACATAGGATAGTTTTTTGCACATAGAGGTTCTTCAATAACTGCTGGTGAATGAACAGTGATAAATTTGTTTCATTGATTTAATTTCCACCTTTTTGTTTATTCAGCATAAGGATTAGTGATCATGAAACAAAATACATATGAAACATTCTTATCTTCAGTAAAAATTCTCAAAATTAAATTTTACACTTTAGATGACTTTTTATTCATTTACTAAACATGCATTGAGCCTCTATTAGGTGCTAAGCACTTATATTGATAGACCATGATGCACACCACAGACACAGTCCCTGCCTTCTTAGAGAAGACAATGTGTTGAGGACTCCATTTTCTTTTCTGAATACAAACTAAGAATAATGCAGTATGAAGCAATAATGGGTGATCCTGTTAGAGGACCAAAGATGATTGATGTACAATGCTTAGATATTTTATGTAGTTGCCAAATATTTGAAAATTTACCCAGAAGTGATTGAAAACTTTTTGGAAACAAAAACAAATAAAGCCAAAAGGTAAAATAAAAATATCTTTGCACTCTCGTTATTACCTATCCATAACTTTTTCACCGTAAGCTCTCCTGCTTGTTAGTGTAGTGTGGTTACATTAAACTTTTTAGTTATTATTTTTTATTCACTTTTCCACTAGAAAGTCATTATTGATTTAGCACACATGTTGATCTCATTTCATTTTTTCTTTTTATAGGCAAAATTTGATGCTATGCAACAAAAATACTCAAGCCCATTATCTTTTTTCCCCCCGAAATCTGAAAATTGCAGGGGACAGAGGGAAGTTATCCCATTAAAAAATTGTAAATATGTTCAGTTTATGTTTAAAAATGCACAAAACATAAGAAAATTGTGTTTACTTGAGCTGCTGATTGTAAGCAGTTTTATCTCAGGGGCAACTGCATTTGGAAACAGACAGATATCTTGGCTCTTACCAGTGACAGAGAGAATCCTTTGAGGCTGTGAGTTCATGCTGAGTGATTTCCAATTAACCCATTTCAATAAATGAGTGTTTATCCCTTGTTCACATAAGAGCTGAGCCCTCATGCCATGTTTTCTTTTCACAAATTTCCTGTTACTTTACTCCCTTTGTAGGTGTCTTACCTTAGCTTTCAAATCTATATGTGTTACACTTGTCATCATATATAGTCAAAAACCAATTGGCAATTAGTGAGAAATAATTATCGACATATAAAATGCAAATTATAAAACTATGTCAAACAAAATTAATTTGGAAATATTTTAACATATTTTACAAAAGTTCAGTTCTTTGATTTATAAATTGCTCTTATATTAGCAAGAAAAACACCAACACCGATTAAAAAAAAAGCTAATGAGCAAAGAACAGAAGTAGACAATTCACAGGAGAAGATACACAGGTTGATAACCAACAAATAATTAGTTGTATTCTGAATTATCTAGAAATGCAATTTTAAAAAGCAACAAAATATATCTTACTGCCTCTATGTAAAAAACAAAAACCAAACAAACAAACAAAAACCACCATAATTCTAGTAGCTTAAAACCATGATGATTCATTTCTTGTTCTTGCTATATATCATTCATGGGTCAGGGCTCTGCTCAATATCGTCAGTACCTTTAGACCAGCCCTAGAGAAGCACAGAAACTATATAACTTTGCCAGTCATAACAGTAAGAAAAACAGAGACCTCTGCTGTGGTTCTCACAGGGTATTCAATACTCTAGCTCAGAGATAAAACAGGTCACTTTGACTTGGCACTTATTAAGTAGAACTGACTAGATGGCCCCAGTCAACCACAGCCCTCCAGGATTCGTTAGAAGTCTGAGTAACAAGTACATAATGAGCATCAATAATGACTATTTCACTGGTATTCCCTTTTGTGCTTTATTTTTCTCCATACCATGGTACCACTTCTGTGCTACATTTATTCACTACTTACTTATTCTGTTCATTGTCTATTTATACTCTCCTCTCTTCTTTCTCACTGAAAAACTAAAGTCCGTGAGGGCTCAAGGGCACAGACATTGTTTACCTTGTTCACCATTATATTTCCAGCACTTAAAAATTGTCTGCTATATAGTATTTGCTCCTTAAAGAGTCACTAAAAGAATATAAAAAAATCTATCAAGTTCTATTTTTTAAAAAATATATTATAATCCCAAATGCTAGCAAGTGTGAAATGTTATGGATATTTGTATATACTGCTAGTGAACTAAAAATCTGGATTCATATTTTCTGGAAGTCAATTTGGCAATATACAACAAAATTAATTACAAATACAAGTAATTGTTTTGGAAAAACTGTTTCTTTTATAACCATTTAAAATATTAAATATTGAAAAACAATCTAAATTTCCAATGATGACATTATGGTTAGATACATTTGATATGTCTATTAAAATATTAGCTATTCTAGTATAGAAAATTTATGTAATAATGAAAATATTCACAATGCAACACATACGCAGCATAAGTTATTATGTTAAACACTCATGAGCTAAAGGAGAAATTAGGACAAATGCTCCTAACCAGGTGCAGACAGAGCTTATATACTGCCCAGCTTGTCTTTCTATACCAAACACCTAGAATTGACCAGTAAATTAATGTCTGTAATAGCAATGGAACACAAGAGTAAGCAACATTATTAAACTGTAATATATAAAGAAGCTCAAAGAAGGAAAGCAGTCTTCATGGATCCCAAGCAAGTGTGAACCTAGCATGGCACATTTTATCAGATGTTAAGGCTGGAGAATAATGCTCTTTGGCTCAATGCTCTGTTCTTCAGTCTCACTAATGTCACAGCCCCACCTTCTGGTTCAACTGAGGTGGCCGCTTGACCTTGGAAGCCATGCATACATCTCTGGTATCATTTTATGTTTTTGTCCTAGTCTCTTTTTATAAGGACACCAATCACTTTGGATTAAGGCCCACGCTGATAGCCTTATTTTAACTTATTTACTTTAAAGACCTTATCTCCAAATATTGTCACGTTCTGACTTGGGGCTTAGGGCTTAACATGTGAATTTTGGGGGACGAAACCAGTCCGTAATAGTTATAATTGGTTATCTGAAGAAAACCAGCCGACAACTTTGAAAGGATGCTCGTACTTGTCTCAACAATGCATTTCTTTCACTTTCATGAAGAGAGAGTCCTCTGGCTTATTCCTGGGGAGTGTGGTTAGGGAGTGTTTAAACAGTTTGCACATACAAGATCCATTCAACTATTTTTATCTCCCTGAACCTTCACATTTTTTCCTATACAGTGTGTTACCACTGTATCCAACTATTAATGCCATTCCCTGGTACTTGAACCACCATATTTAATCTTTGTTTCTAGGTGAGTTGGAGTTATATTGATAAAAGCAGCCTGACTCTGTCTTACAGTATTAGAATCTATTTGCATAAGTGTAACTCAGACTTCTGCAAATAAAAATTGGCAAGAAAGATCATGCAATTTGGGGGAGCTATATTTCTCTTGGTTCATTGAAGACCTTATACTATTCTATCTAGGAAATTTTGTGATCTGCCTCTCTAAGAACATAGAGACAAAAGTTATTCCTTGATTAGGCAATGCTCAGTTGAGTCCTTAAAAGGTTTAATCAGGCCAGGTGTGGTGGCTCATGCCTGTAATCCCAGCACTTTGGGAGGCCAAGATGGAGACCATCCTGGCTAACATGGTGAAACCCCGACTCTACTAAAAATACAAAAAATTAGCCAGGCGTGGTGGCGGGCGCCTGTAGTCCCAGCTACTCAGGAGGCTGAGGCAGGAAAATTGCTTGAACTCGGGAGGCGGAGGTTGCAGTGAGCTGAGATGGCGCCACTGCTCTCCAGCCTGGTTGACAGAGGGAGACTCTGTGTCACCAAAAAAAAAAAAAAAAAAAGGTTTAATCAAATGAAGTCTGGATTCATCAGAAGGGTAAAGAGGATCTCATCCCGCTGCAAGATTATTTCAAGGTATTTGGAAATTCAGAGTTCAAAATCTCAGACCATGTTGTATTTGTTCTAATGTCTCCATTGTACCTTTTTTGGTTTCCTAAGTCTTTTTTTCCCTTAGCAGGCAGAACTTGGTGCAGGTGATTTTTTTTTGGTGTTGCAACACAGTAAGCAATACAATCTGGTTTGGGGGTCATTGTCAGCCATGGCTATAGGAGAAAAGGAGTCTTGAGGCTTTTTTGTTCTCCATCAGTTCATTTCGAGATAATCTAAATTCCTGATTTGACCTTTTCTTTGGGTAGGATCTTCCAAGAAAGTCAGAAGAAGTTAGCCCGGTCTACAGACTGGGTTAATTATCTAGAGAAAAAGTTATTACAATTTTGAATAAATCATGAATTTTTAATAGTTTAACTTGAGAAATTGACTCAAGGTTACTATTCTCTCCATGCAAATAAAGCCAGAAAAGACAAGAGAAACTGGTAATTACAGTAAAGTATCTGAAAGCAGTCACTCAGGAAACTTTTCTGGTGAACAGCTGAGAATCAGCTACTTAGCTCTATTCATGGAGACGCATCAAAGAATGGTTCATTTAAACCAAGCTCACACATGCGGATATTTATAGCTCCTTTTTATACAGAGGAGGATGTTGTACATTCATTAATGTTAGTTGAACAAAAGATCAAGGTATATTTTGTGTCAACTTGACCAGTTAAGAGTTCAACAATGAATGATTATCAGTTAGTTAAAATAAAGTTTATTTAGGGATGATAAAATAAACTTCAATATTGATTTATGAAAAGGCTTTAAAAAGGGAAATTCTCTGTAAACATGTGTACTCAATGGCCCATCAATAACTGTGGTCTTCTTGCTTCATTTATCCTGATTTTATCCTAAGCCAAGAGCGTAAAAATAAATATTAGATGCCAAGAGAAATGTAAACATGTCATTCTAATAAACCTCTTTACCGAAATCTTTTTTTAAAACTCAGAACACTTACTTGTTATTTTTGCCTCAAATATATTTATATTTGGTATGCATCTCTTAGCAACTTTCTGAGCAATATATTTTTAAAGTGCTGACAAAAATTTCTATTTTCTATACTTAGTACAATTCAATATTCAAATAACAAAAAAAAGCCAAAACATTTTACTTGAACTTTGAAAACCAAAGATGATTTATTTTATATTAATATGTTCAGTTACATTTAGAATCGTTTGACAGAAAATTAATAATGATTAGAATTATACTGTTTGTATTGTCTAACTTTATCAGAAAGATATAAAATTGCTTAAAGTTTTAGGCATTTTGAACAAGAAATATATGTATATGTAAATGCGTATATTTAACACTAAATATAACACTAAATTATACTCTACCATGAATATTTGTGAAAATTATTGAAAAATGAGAATGAGTTTATGAAATAACATGCAAAAGATAGTAATTTTATATATGATGATGATTATAATGTACATTATTTCACAAATGGATAAATACTGAAATAAACTTTAATAAAAACATTTTTACTAGGTAGATAAGATTTTTAATATTTTCAGAATGAATTATATAACATAAAATTTGAGTGTATATGTTAATCAAAAAAGTGAGGAAGAAAATCTAAAATGTCAAGTTAGAGAAATGGAATTGCTTGAAACTCAAAATGAAAAAAATATATAAAAAATAATAATATATTAAAGAGAATGCCAGGATTCAGTTTGGATAAGGAACCTTTTTTAAAAAAATGTTTGTAGAGATAGGGTCTCACTATGTTGCCCAGGCTGGTCTCTGAAAGTGCTGAGATTACAGGCATGAGCCACCATGCCCACACCTGGATAAGGAATCTTAAACATTAAGGAAAATGTTGGCAATATACAGCTACAAAATTGAAAAGTACACAAATACAGTTACTAAATTTATAGGAAAATAAGAGGAGCATTTAAAGGAAATATAAAGAGATCACATGTGAAAATATCTGTCACAGTGCTTTCCTGAGTCAGTGTATTTTAATTTTTTTCTTTTCTTTCTGGAACTTACAGATTTGAAAAGAAGAAGAAAGGGAAAGCAAAGTGTAAAATATGTATTTGAATTTATAAATAGGATAACTCAGTGGATACTGTTGCTATCACTTATACATATTCTGCAATAAAAAAGCTTGCTTTGCTGTGAGGACAGTGAATTCCACTTTGAGTTGAAACACTGAAAGATGCCTGATTTGAGAAGTCAGGCAGGCAGATGAATAGTACTCAGGGAAAAGGCCCAAGATACAGATAAATCTGGTAGTTATCAGTCTATACAGAGGGGAGAATCATTGTAGATGTAAAGCATCTCCTATCTTACTCGAAATGTTGTCCTTTGAGCAACAGAATTTGGTTCACCCAGGAGCTTGACGGCAAGGTGGAATCTTGGGCTCTGCCTTGACATCCTGGATCAGAAATGCATTTTAAGAAGATCTACCCGTGACTTAAATACACACTAAAATATGAGAACTACCGGCCTAGAGAATACCATGAGAAATGAAGACTATGTCTGAAGAATTCTAAATGCTAAAGAGAAGGATGAAAAGAAACACAAATATCAATTTATGGTAATATCAGGGACATAGAGAAACACAGAGAGACAGGTTTCATGAAAGGAAATGGAGGAGTTTTAAGGAAGGGCCCACGATGCCCAGTGCTTCTGAGGTCAGTAAAATAAATATTGGAAGGGGCCCCTAAAATTCGACTATCATGTAGTCATTACTGATGTTTCTGGAACAATTTATGTTAAGCAGTGTTGGAAAGAAGCTAGATATCTGTGGCTTAGTAAGTGATTAGGAAGTGTGAAATTTAACATAACAAGTAGAGAATAGATCACATTTACAAAATTTGGCAGTGAATACAGTCAGAAGTTTTACAGCAAGAAAAAGGTTGGAGAAACTTTCTTGTAACTGGAGAATTTTATGCATAACAAAAAGAGGTCATAGGAGAAGAAACTGATTGCTAGACCAAAATCATTGCAGAATAAAGAGCATGGGAACTCAAATGGGGTTGCTGTTACTGGAGAAGTTAATAGAATGAAAATAATTAAGAAGCTAAGTTGAGAGGTATCCAAGTAATTATCTCAGTTTTTCTGCAAACACAGATAAGATAGGATATGTGTTTATGGGTCTCAACTCTAGAATCACACTTTCTGACTTGAATTCCAGTTGCTCACCCTTTTATTAACTCTGTTTTCTACACTGTAAGATTGGAATTATAATCAAATCTTTTTTTCTTCTTTTTGAGACGGAGTCTCACTCAGTCACCTAGGCTGGAGTGCAGTGGTGCGATTTCGGCTCACTGCAACCTCTGCCTTCTAGGCTCAAGTGATCTTCCTGCCTCAGCCTCCTAAGTAGCTAGGACCACAGGTGAGAGCAACCATGCCCAGCTAATTTTTGTATTCTTGATAAAGATGGGATTTTGCCATGTTGCCCAGGCTGGCCTCGAACTCTTCGGTTCAAGTGATCCACCTGCCTTGGCCTCCCAAAGTACTGGGATTACAGGTGTGAGCCACTGTGCCCAGCCTCAAATCTTTATATCAGAAGCAAACCACAGAAATTTTTTGTTCTGTTTGTTTGAGGTGACAGAAATTTCCAGCAAGCTAGACAACTGAAATCAGAAATGAGCAGGCTTGGTGGCAGGTAGGTAACAGTAGATTTCATCTCCTCCCAAGCACTCTGAGGCCAGGCCTATTCCCTCTTACACTATCCTCTGGCTCTGGCCATGGAGGTAAAAAGACAGGGGAGCTGAAGCTGATGCCTGAAATCTAGAGATCTGCAGTATTCAAAAGATTATTGATAGAGCAACTGGGGAAATAAGAGACAAGCCAGAGATGGTAGAATCCAAAAAGAATTTTAGGGAAACAGAGACTGAATGTTCAAAGAAACCAAATGTTTCAGAGGTCAGAGTAGATGAAAATAGAAGTTCAGGTCTGTCTGTGTTCAGAATAAAAGGAATAATTATGTATGCAGGATTTTAAGGGACTACCACATAATTAGGGCTGCAGTTTAGAATATGACTATGAATATGTATGGGGTAGGGGTCGCAGAGGTTGAGAGGGTGTTTAATTGTAAAATGTGTGGTGTGAAAATGTGACTCATCTACACTGGGGCCTGATCACAAATAACATAAGTAGTGTTCCAGGGAATTCTGATTTATTATGACAGACAGATTCTGTAGATTGGATTGGCAGTCAACACTATAGAGGTGATTATAAGACAGTAGGGCCGGGCATGGTGGGTGGCTCACGCCTGTAATCACAGCACTTTGGGAGGCCAAGGTGAGCAGATCACAAGGGCAAGAGATTGAGACAATCCTGGCCAGCATGGTGAAACCCCATCTCTACTAAAAACACAAAAATTAGCTGGGCGTGGTGGCGAGTGCCTGTAGTCCCAGCTACTTGGGAGGGTGAGGCAGGAGAATCACTTGAATCCCAGAGGCAGAGGTTGCAGTGAGCTGAGATCATGCCACTGCATTCCAGCCTGGCAACAGAGTGAGGCTAACTCTCAAAAAAAGAAAAAAAAAGTAGAATAGATAAAGTATCTGAGGGAGAAAGTGGAAAGAGAAAAGGATGAAGAAGGAGAGCTGAGATCTGCAAAGCTCTTACAACTAGAGTATCATTCTAAAAATGAACAAATGATAAACATGAAAATAAGCAAGCAGCTGCCAGGTGAACATGTGGATGGCAAGATCAGTATGACTGAGCATCTATATTCCAGTAAGTGCAGTAAGTTCTAGAGCATCAGCAATGGAGAGCCATAAAACGGAGTGCACAATTGGTATGGCGCATATATGATAGGATATTATAGGGAGCTTGTTCTGCTCAGGGTGGTGGTGGCATTGGTGCCACTGCCTATAGAGAAGAAGATGAGTAGGAATTCTTGAGCTAATGGAGTGGACAAAGTGGGAGTTATTGTTACAATAATGGTTGTGTTCTGGGGAACAAAGGGATCCAAAGATGCGGGGACATCTGAGGAAGTGGGTACTAAGGGAATATCAGAATGAAGAGGTAGAAGAGAATTATTTTCAGTATGTAGCAATACTCATTTATTAAATATGTCAGGAGAGGCAGAAGTACATAGCAAGGATTTATCTGTCATGAAAATTAATTTATTCCAACGCCTTGCCTGAAGCAATAATCACTAACTGATCATGGTTTCCTTTCATAGGAAGCCCAAACAAACCCTAGAATCTTTCTTGACTTAGTAAGTGGTACAGGGAGTTTACCAAAGGCAATTATTAGTGTACAAAATAAAACTCATTGCTATTGATAGTTTGACTGTAAAGGAAGACAAAATAACACAAGAAAGAGAGGTCAGATAGATTGGTAGTATGGATATTTGTATTAAGAAAGATGCAGAGGGATAGAGGTGAGGAGAACCAAGCGGAAATGCTGAAATAATATAGGAAGTCGGAAATTAATAGAAGTAGCAGATAATCAATATTTGTAGTGAGTTAAAGTATATCCTTTCCTTCTTACATGTTAGCTAACAACGGCTTAAGAAAAATTGGTGCTTAGCATGAAATTGGAAATTTGGAATTGCTAAATTCTTTCTTAAGGTCTGCTGTGCTTGATTTATTTAATGGTCTACGCTCTTTGCAGTGTGACATCACAGTTCATTAGCAAAGTGGTTATTTGGGTCTATATTTGCATTTTGTTCTATGTACCCATATCAGGAATTGTATTTTAAGAACACTTTGAATTTTTAAAGAACTTTTAACTCAAAGGTGTTACAACAACATTTGTAAAAAACAAAAACAAAAACAAAAAAAACCCTGAAATTTGTTATGAAAAAAGTAGGTCTGAAGGTCACTTATAACGTGATCAGAAAGAAAACAAAAATGAAAGCTCCCAAATCTCCCTATTTAAGCTAGAGGTTTTCTTCACATATTTAAACTTGTTCATTGCATATCTAATCCTTTTACCCTAAAGTCCTTAATTATAATACAGGCTTTAGTCCAATTTCATCTCATAAGAATTTTTTTCTGAAACAATAGCCATGCTATAATTTGGTTTTATTATAAAAAAAATGATAGCAATATATCAAATACTATCAAATTACATAACAAAAAGTATAAGGAGTGGTTGTAGATGATTTAAAAGAAAGATGGCTTTTAGAAAGGAAATATAATTATAAATTAGCCTTGAGAAAATAAAGGACAATATTCCAAGCACAGGGTGCCTAATAATGGTTTATGACTTATATATGAGAACAAGAGAAAAAGGGTGAATTAACAAGTTCATAAGAAAAATATGCAATTTATATTCTAAGTGAGCTAAAAAATCAAATGAGAGAAGAGCCAGTATTTTTTACTCATTATAAAATACAAGAAGGGCAATTCAATGTACAAGCTTATTCATATATATATATATATATATAATTTATTTGAATAAGACATAGAAAGTGGCTGGCCAGAGGGAGAGTGGAAAGAGGCAGAAGCCATATTTCTCTAATAAGTAAACTTTCCATAACCCCTATCACAACATTTATCACTAGAGGCAGCAGGGATGCTGTTGGACTACATGACGTAAGAACTGTAAATTTTTCAAAATTCCAAGCAGAATTTTCTCTAAATTATTTTACCTGAGAAGATTTCCACTTAATGGTATATATTTATGAGATCAGTTGCTTAGAAACAGAATAAAGAGAGAAACTGATGACAAGAAAACCATGATACACTCTCTCCATGATTTCTTGTGAAAATTTAGTTTTCATTGAATTTTTTAGTTTTAGCTTTATATATACTTGATTCATGAATGTTTCATAATTGAGAATTGTACTTATTTTTAATACATAGAGTCTTTCCCTTTATCATTTTTATTTGAAATTATATCTTTAATAATATAGGTATTGTAGTTTCTACTTTTATTTAAAATACATTTCATTTCGTGGTTTCCCTCGCATTATTTTTACTACTCACATATCTGTGTTATTTGACTTTAAAAACTGTTTGCAGTTGGGTTCATTATTATTCTGGTCTGCAAATTCTGACTTTTAATATTTGTTCGCTTTACAAGACCAATACTTTTTCTGTGCTAGCCGTTGTTCTAGATGCTGAGGATACAGCCATGAATAAAACAAAGTCCTTGCTCTCATGGACATTATGTTCTACTGTGAAGAAGCTGACAATAAAAAAATACATTTATAATATTTGGGATATTGATAAGTGCTAGAAAGATACAAAGACATGTAGAGAAAAGGTGTGCATGTCAGACTAGAGGGCATTTGAGCAAGCCTTAGAGGAAGCAAGTCAGCGAGCCTCCTGAATATCTGCTGAATAGCAAAGGTTCCAGAGAGTAGGAAGGTAGTAGCATGCTTACTGGGTTTCCACAGCTGACCATCAGTGAGGCCAGAATGAGAAGGACAGAGTAAATAAGAGGAAGAGCAATAGGAGAGGTCAGAGAGGTAGGAGAGTTCAAGGCCATGTAGAATCATGTAGAGTATGGGGAAAGAACTTGAGAAATTCCTCAGGGTAAGGTTACAAGTCCCAAGGCAGAGGAATGGCATATATTGACATACTAAAGGATTACTAGGGCTGCCACCTGGAGAAAGAACTGGAAAGTGGGGGCAAAAGAGAAGCAGCCAGGCTATTTAAACAGCGATTTACCTTAATCCAGGTGAAGGGAATGGTAGGCTGAACTGGTGGGTTAGCAGAGAAAATTGTGAGAAGTGGTAGAAATCTGGATATATTTTGAAAAGAATGTTGATAGGGTTTGAGAATCAATTAGATATGATGTGTGAAAAAGAAAGATCCAGGCTGGTCAGTAGGAATACTGGTTCCATTGACTAAAACAAAGGAGTTTGGAAAATAATTGTTGGGAAACAATATTTTCATATTTCTGCATGGTCAGGGTTTACTAAACACCGATTTTTGGCAATCTGGGTTAAAGAGTAATTGAATAGTAATCACATTTAGGAAGTTAGATATACTGAATTAGTCCAGATAGAGTTAAAAATTGATCGCCTTGAGAGCCATTTGCCATTTATTTACATTTAAAAGAATGAGAAACAATCCAGAGGCTTCCTTTACATTTCAAAGGGTTGTAACAATTTAGGGACCGTCTCCTCCCTTCCCAGAGAGAATTCCTTCACATTAGACAGTGATGACTTCTCTTCCCCTCTCTAGAGGGAGGAGGGTTGGCGGGGCTGCTGAGAGGCACTTCATATAAACTCCCAGTTACACAATTTCAGGATTCGTCTTATGCAGCGACCCCTTTGCATGTGCAGGCTGACATCTACCTTCACAGCACGGCTTCAAAGGAGAAATAGGGAGTGGGGAGCCAGTGCTGTTATTGCTGTACATAAAACAATCAGTCTGTTCTCTGACCCCGAAATCTTGTATGTTCTCCCAGGATAAAATAAATAAACACAGATAATAAATATTTATCAAGGAAACAGGCGCAGTGGTGTTAGACAGAAATCTTATTATTGAACAGCACAGTGGCGTGTGCCTATAGTCCCACCGATTTGGGAAGCTTTGCTTGAGCCCAGGAGTTGAGGCTGTAGTGTACTATAATCACATCCGTGAATAGCTGCCACACTCCAGCCTGAGCAACATATAGAGGTCCTGTCCCTAAAAATTAAAAAGAAAAGAAAAGAAAAGAAAAAACTTACCAAGAAGGCTTCCAAGTTGGTGGGTGGTAATTAAAAATATCTTTATCCTATCTCTAGTGATTATTATAATTGATATGCTTGTTCTTTCTAAAAGCTTTCTTTTTAGCTTTCTATTTCCTTTTAACGGTTTCATAATAGTTTGGTTGGTTGGTTTTAGTTTTATGTTCCATACTGATTTTGAAACATGAATCTTTTCAAGGTAGATTTTACTTTACCAAAACAGTACATTCATAGAATTTAAAATTTCTAATAGCACCAGAAGCCCATGAAAAAAACAACAAAAAATTAACTTGTCCCTCTCCATTCCTCCACAATCCTCAACTCCAAGGCAATCACTTCTAACTATTTTAACCGTTTCTTATGGCATTTTCATACTCCATATTTTCAAATAATATTGATACATTGTTATCGTTCATTTCAATTCTCTGAGATTGTATCTATTGAGTTCCTATTATGATAAAGGAGAATTCTTACTTTGATCCCACTATCTCCTCTGCTTTTCCTTTCCTATCTTTCCAGTCTATTTATACTTTAACTAAACAATTCATGTTTATATAATTATTCTATAAAATACTATTCATACACGAGCATTGCAATATAATCCTGATTCTGAGTCCCGCTGCTCAGCTCCGTACTGTTTGCCTAACAAGCTTGATGTCAACCTGAGGTATTCCATCCCCACTGTCCTGGAAGTTTCCTGACCATCTCTCCTATGTCAGATCTTTCATCATTACCTAAGAAATGGTGCATGACCGCGAAATTGTTTGCCTCTTGAGGAATCTGAAAATGTCTTTTTTTCTACCTTTGAGGCAGGAAACCAGCAGGACTTATTTCCTGGTCCTGATGGGAAGAAATAAATAAACCGGCAGGAACCAGCCAGTGAGGAAAGGGGTCCCTTGCTGCCCTCATTCCTCATTAGCATAAGACACTCTCACCAGCTCCATGACAATCTACAAATGCTATGGCAATGACCCAGGAGCTCTGCCTCTTTCCATGGCAACAACCCGCAAGTTACCACCCCTTTCATAGAAAGTTCTAAAAAACCCACCCCACAATTTGCATGTAGTTGAAAATGGGTATAAATGAGTATAAATACAGTTGCCAACAGCCCACACCTTGCCAATTCTGGGTACAAGGCCTATGAGTTAGCCCTGGTCTGCAAGAAACAGTACTATTCAATAATAAGATTTCTGTCTAACACCACTGGCTCACCCTTGAATTATCTCCAGGGCAAAGTCAACAACTCTTCCGGATTAAGCTCCAATTTTGGGGCTTGCCTGTCCTGCATCATAATTTTGGGAAAAAATTCAGCATGATGTGGACAGAGGAGACTCTACATGCTTCTAAATTGAAAACCAAAGTCGCATGTGCAGACTTCAGATTTTTTTTCAGCCACTATAATGGAATATAGAAAACACAGGAGCAAGAATTTTCCAAATTCTGAAAAAAAACTTTCAATCTAACAATGCATACCTAGTGTGAAGATGATGCAGGACAGGTAAGCCTCAAAAAACTGGGGCTTAGCTCGGAAGAGTTCTTGGCTTCACCCAGTAAAGACTTCAACAGCAAGCTGGTAGCATTGGACAGTAATCTTTTGTTGAATGGTACTGCTTTTTGCAGAGCAGGATTAACTCATAGCCAGCCCAGAGTGAGCAACACTCACTCTGGTGTTGGCAACCCTATTTATACTCTCTTATACCCACTTTCAATTACATGCAAATTGAGGAGTGGGTTAATGCAAACTAAAGGGGGCAGTATATAGAACTTTCTAGGAAAGGGCAGTAACTCCTGGGTCATTACCATGGAGGAGGGTGGTAGCTTCCAGGTCATTGCCCATAGCATTTGTAAACTGTCATGGTGCTGGTGGAAGTCTCTTATACTAATGAGCAATGAGGGCAGCTAGGGAGCGCTTTATTCCCATCAGCTGGTCCTACTGGTTTCTTTCCTTCAGCCCACCAAATAACTTCTGCCGGTTTTCTATCTCAATTTGACTCAGTAGCTTATACTTTCATCCATTGTGCCAGACATATATGGTGCCTTCTCCGCCTAGGAACTCGTATTTTCAGTTTTGCACAATTTTATTAAAATATTTCCTTGATGCTCATCTCAACTCTGTTTTCTTTTTAAAGTCTTTATAGAATTCCTCCTATTGATTTGGAGATTGGAACTCTCTGACCACCTTTCTAACTTTCTTTTCTCTCCATATTTGCTTCTCTTTGTTGCTTTGCTTTACTTTCTGGAAGCTTCCCTCAAATTTACTTTTCAAACATTCTGAGCTTTTCATTTCTGCTTCCTTCTTTAAATTTCCAAGAGTGGCTTTTCATTCTCTGAATATTTCATCCCATTACATTCTGTCCTTTTGTAAATAATACAATATATTTACTTATATCCTTGAAGGTATTACACATATTTTGAAGTTTTCTTTTTCTACAGAACTTCTGTTTTCTCAAAGTTGCTTTTACTTATTCATTTACGTTAGTGTATATACATATATGTTTATATATATATATGAGATTTTTCTCAAAATGAGTTTCCTGCCTATATTTACTTACTTATTTACTATTTTTAAAAAGCTGGTTGTTAGTTTTTTTTTTTTTTTTTTTTTTTTGAGACGGAGTCTCGCTGTCACCCAGGCTGGAGTGCGGTGGCACGATCTCGGCTCACTGCAGGCTCTGCCCCCCAGGGTTCACGCCATTCTCCTGCCTCAGCCTCCTGAGTAGCTGGGACTACAGGCGCCCGCCACCTTGCCCAGCTAATTTTTTTGTATTTTTAATAGAGACGGGGTTTCACTGTGTTAGCCAGGATGGTCTCGATCTCCTGACCTCGTGATCCGCCCGCCTCGGCCTCCCAAAGTGCTGGGATTACAGGCCTGAGCCACCGCGCCCGGCGTGATTGTTAGTTTTGAGCATGTTATCAGGTCATTGAAATTAACTGCAGGATGACTTACCTGGGTCTTTGGCCAAGAATCCCCATATTAGGAGGATAATAAGGAACTTAGTTTTCAAAGAGTTTTAAAACAACTCCCCTTACTTTAATCCATGTCTCCTTCACTCTCATGTCTCGAGGCAACTGTTGCTGCCAAGTTCTGAGAATTCAGTGATATCTATTAAATTCGCTCTCTATGTTCCCCACTGTCATTTATGGCTCAACTTCTCCCCAGTCACTAATGCAATTACTGCTTATCCACTATATATATATTTTTACAGGGTCTCACTCTGTTGCCAGGCTGGAGTGTAGTGGTGTGATCTTGGCTGACTGCAACCTCCGCCTCCCGGATTCAAGTGATTTTCCTGCCTCAGCCTCCTGAGTAGCTGGGACTACAGGCATGCGCCATAGTAAACATATTTTTCCAAAAATTACTGCTGCTCTTTTCGTTCTTGTTTTTGAATAATTATGGTTTTGTTTTTGATTGATTTTTGTCGGCCTAGTCAGTAGTTTTAAACTCAAGGTTTTAGAAATAAATGAAAGTAGTAGGATATTGCCATTTTTTAACTGGAACACTGCCTCAGGTTTTACATTGACAAAACCTTAAGTTTATGCATTCCAAAACATTATTCCGAAACTTTTCTTTCTGGATATGATGGGGCAAATTAAAATTGAAGTGCTGGGTCTCTTTTAAGATACTTCCTACCTTCTGCACTCCTTTAACCTCCCAATTTGTTAAATATTGCTGGTAGTTAAAATTTGAAGTTTGAAATAGGAATTATTACGTTAGGATTTTTATAAACAATTCCACAGTAAATATGTGGATATTTTATTTTAACTGATTTTTACTTCGTCACTAGTCTGTTATTAGTGAGGTATACTCATTTTTTAACTTAATCTGTCAGCTGGTAGAAGTGTGTCTTCTAATTTTTCATAGAAATTCACATGAATAGAATATTTCTTGCATTTATATTTATAACAGACAGTTCGGATGAATATAAAATTATTGAGTCTATATAGTTTTTTCATAAAACTCACCAGATTTTCTTTAGTATCATTTCATATTTAGCTATTATTCTAGCAGACAAATCTGAGGCGATCCAGGTATTCTGATTCACGCTGCTGTATCTGTTAGTTGTGGTTTAGATATTGCCATGAGTGTTTATTGTGTTTTTGGTCTTCACAGATAATATTGCCTTAAGTCAAGGCAATAGGATTTTCTGCTACAAGTCTGTTTTCAATGTAATAAAAATGATTTTTGAAAATTTAGGTATGGATTGAGTTTATGGAAATTATGAAGAGAGATTTTTTAACTGAACTGGCTCCTCTCTCCCCCTCCCTCTGCTCCCTACCACCAGGCCAGAATAAGTGGGGTTAAGAGTACCTGAGTATTGTGCAGAAGGAAACCAAGGAGAAAAAGTGACCTTTGTCCTTCTTTCAAAATATACTTCCCCAAATCAACCAACGTGGAAAACTAGGCACACTGGGCCACGAGATAATAGTCCTTCCTCTGCCCTACTCTCTGCTCTGTGTTTTGGGAGGCATTTAGAATAGTCTGGACTATCTAGAGCCAGAAATATGAAGTGAGGTTGAGGGGACTAGGGGAATCTGATCTGGTCCCACGGGAGCTTGGCCGGTGAACTTTCTGCCTGTTCAGCAGACCTGTGTCCAAATCAGGATACCAAGGGCAAGGCTTGCCTGGAAAGAACACATTTCCCTTAGCTTCCAGGTAACAAAAAAGTTCCCAGGAAACACGCTGCAGAGGCCAGATAATGATGTTTAAATATTTAGACCTGTGATATGTGGTCCTTAATTTGCATTCCCGCCCTGGGTGAGTGACACAAATTTTAAGAGCAAGATGGTTCATGGATATTTTAGTTAGCAGAATCTGAGGGTTATGAGCCAGACAGTATTTTGAACTAAATATCTCCCAGTTTGATATTTTTTGGCAAATGTATACAAACATACATACAACAACAAAACAAAACAAGAGATCTCCCCTTTGAGTGCTATACCAGCTGGATACATCATTTTTCCCTCTCATTGCTACTACCAACCATTGGGTGAATTGTCCCTATTTTAAAATAATTTAGTATCTAGTCCAACTGGCTTCTTCAAAATCCAAACAGTAGCTAATATTAGCTCTTTATGTTCTGGATTATACTGTCACCCAGAATTATTCCTGTTCTGGAATCTTAAATTCCAAATATGAAAATCTCTGAATGTTTTCTCCTATACTTCCAATTTATTCATACCCAGTTCTTTCTAATTTTTTTTAAAAATTATCTTATCAAGGTATCTAGTTCAAAAAAGTCATCTTTCTTTTTCTTTCCTGTTTTTGGCTTATCTTCATTCTCTGTCCAACGTGGATAACAGGGAGGTGATTCATGAAGCTGAGCTACTTCATGAGGCTTGTGGTTGAATTAACAGTAAAGAATAGACTGTCTAACAAAAAAACATCACTAGGCTGAGGAAGCAACCATGTACAAAGCAAACAGGAAAAGAAGGCATCTGGGAAACTAGATGAGACTAGAGATTCAAAGTCATGGAGATTGGAGGTTGAGTCTAGTCTAGAAGACCTTTTTTTCAAGGCATTTCAGCTATGAGTATAGGGATCAGAGGAAAAGGATAGGAAGGAATAAGATCATAAATTCTGCTAGCAAAAGAGGTCCATAGTCTTGAGGTACATACCTATCATCCAGGTACTACTAGATTTGCAGGTAATAACTTACATGACGCAAGTCATTCAACTACCATGTGTTCTACTTTGATCATTTATTAAACGGGGATATTAATAGCTTTTATTCCATGAGCTTTTTAGTTACTAAACCAATTACTATGTGTAAAGTGCCAAAAAAAAAGTGCCAGTTTTAATAGAATTTAAGAAGCATGGCCAGGTGTGGTGGCTTATGCTTGTAATCCCAGAAATTTTGGAGGCTGAGGCAAGAGGATCACTTGAGCCCAGGAGTTCCAGACCTGCCTGGGCAAAGTAGCGAGACCCTGTCTCTGAAAAAAAAAAAAAAAAAAAGAAATGTCAGTTGTTACTATAGTTATTATTCAAATTACAGTGAAACCTCATGAACCATCTCTGTCCCACTGCAAAGTACACTGCTGTGGTACTTAAGTATTCTTCTACCTTCTACTTAATATCCTTCCTCTTAAATTTCAAATACAGGAAAATTCTCTCCTGATATAGAAAATACCACTGATCAGGTTTTAAGTTTCATTCACAGTGAGTTAAGATGCCACTTAAGATTTTCAGAGCCTTCCTGCCTCTCTCTCCTCTGGCCTCACAGACATTCTGACTTAAATGGACAATGAAAGTAGCCAAATTCACATACTGAGTCTTGATTTCACACAGTACCTACTGTGGTTTGTCCTCTCCTAAATTCATGTTGAAATTTAATCCTTAATACAATAATATTAAAAGGTGGGGACATTAGAAGGTGATTAAGTTATGAGAGTAAAGCCCTCATAAATGGGATTGGCAACATTATAAAGGGGCTGGAGGGAACTAATTTTGCCTTTCTACCTTCTGCCATGTGAGGATGCAGCAAGAAGGTCCTCACCAGTCACTGCATACCAGTGCCTGATCTTGGAGTTGCCACCCTCCAGAACAGTTAGAAGATATATTTTCGTTCTTTATAAATTGGCCAGCTTCAGGTATTTTGTTATAGCACTAAAAATAAACTAAGACAGTATCTTTCCATATAAGCACATGGTAATGGCCACATGAAAATATCAAAACTAATTATAAATTGAAACATACTTGGGCCGGGTGCAGTGGCTCATGCCTGTAATCCCAGCACCTTGGGAGGCCAAGACAGGCAGATCACCTGAAGTCGGGAGTTCGAGACTATCCTGACCAACATGGAGAAACCCTATCTCTACTAAAAAAATACAAAATTAGCCAGGCATCATGGGGCATGCCTGTAATCCCAGCTACTCGGGAGGCTGAGGCACGAGAATTGCTCGAACCTGGGAGGCAGAGGTTGCAGTGAGCTGAGATTGCACCATCGCACTCCAGCCTGGGCAACAAGAGTGAAACTTCATCTCAAAAAAACAAACAAAAAACTATATATACATATACATACATATATGTATATATAGTTTTATATATATATAGAATATATATATATATAGACTATATATATATATACATATGTATACTTCAATCCAGTGAGTATCATTTTATTCAACATAAATTCAATGGTTTTCTAAGACTCAATTATTTTTTTCTGGGGGGAAACAAAACAAAACAAAATAAAATGAAATAAAATTAAAAAATCTAAATGAACCTGTCTATTCTATGGTGGTAACTGTACTAGAAAGGTATTTAACAACTATATTAAGTATGATTAAATATTATATATCATACAAGGACTTCTATGCACTATATAAATATAAAAAAACTTGATTGATAAAAATAGAACAAAAATCAAAATTACAGTATATAAAAGCAAACTACAATCTGAAAGATTATATAGAATTTTGTGTCATGCATGCCAGTGTACTTCTCTATGTAAATTTTGAAAATGATATGTTAAAACAATAAAGTTACATTTCAAATAAGTTATTAACATTAATATTTAAGAATTCCACCTTTTGGGAGGCCGAGGCGGGCGGATCACGAGGTCAGGAGATCGAGACCATCCTGGCTGACATGGTGAATCCCCATCTCTACTAAAAATACAAAAAATTAGCCGGGTGTGGTGTTGGGCGCCTGTAGTACCAGCTACTCGGGAGGCTGAGGCAGGAGAATGGCGTGAACCCGGGAGGCGGAGCTTGCAGCGAGCAGAGAATCCCACCACTGCACTCCAGCCTGGGCGACAGAGCTAGACTCTGTCAAAAAAAAAAAAAAAAAAAAAAAAAAAAAAAAAAAAAAAAAAAAAAAAATTCCACCAATCTAGATTTGTTAAAGAAAAATACCAAAGAATTGGCCGGGCGTGGTGGATCATGCCTGTAATACCAGCACTTTGGGAGGCCAAGACGGGCGGATTACCTGAGATCAGGAGTTCGAGACTAGCCTGGACTACACTACACGGTGAAACCCCATCTTTACTAAAAATACAAAAATTAGTCGGGCATGGTGGCGCGCACCTGTAATCCCAGCTACTCAGAAGGCTGAGGCAGGAGACTCGCTTGAACCTGGAAGGCGGAGGTTGCAGTGAGCCGAGATTGCACCATTGCACTCTAGCCTAGGTGATAAAAGTGAAATTCCATCTCAAAAAACAAACAAAAACAAAAACAAAAAAAGGAAGAAAAAAAATAAAAATACTAATACGAAGAATTGTATGATTTTTGGTTCAATATGTTTTACTTCTTTTTTATGTCTTACATGTATGAAATATTTGTGTATAGATTTGTAGGTTCTCAAGGAGCAGTTATTTTGTCTTCCCAGTTTATATCATATTGTAAACATAATACACAAATAACCTAAAAAAGTAAAAATGTGTCCAGCTAAAAGATCTAAAAGCAAATTTTAAAAACAAAATATAAACCAATATAAACCGAATGAGTTTATATACATTAAATTCTCCTCCTGTATATTTCGGGCAAAGGAATGGAAAAAGCCAAAGCTATGACTTCAACAAATTATTCTCAAAAAACGTCATTACATTGCTTAAAAACTTCGCTGATCATGCATCCTGTTCACACACAAAACCATTGTTGATTATATTGAAAGAACTGTCTGCAAAGATTGTAAAATCAAGTCATGTTCTGTGAACAATACTTTTAGAGCCTTTAGTTAAGTCTTTGAGTCATAAAATTGCACCTGCATTTGAAATGGATTTTACCCATCATCCCAAATGCTCAGTTAAGTCAATGTGTGCGCAATTGTATCAGCAACTGCAATACTGAAGCAATGAAGTGAATTTTAAAAAACTCTGTGAGAATGGTAGTGGAAACATAATTTGCAGAAGTATTCTGGGTTCACTGTAAAGTACTACATCATACTTGCTTGTATATTTTATTTTTTAATAAAAATAAACTTATAAAAATATGTGGCATTTCTTTATATTGATTATATGGCTTGAGCACTGTTACATACATTTTAATAAAATGTTAAGGTTTCACAGATTTAGACTTTTATTTTGATCATGACAACATTAAAGTATAACTCATAGGAAAGTATTGATACAAATTTATGACTTACAGCCATTTCATACAAATACATTTAATTAATTTAAGGGCTTGAAAACACATACATTTTAATTAGGCATGTAATTTTTTTTATTAGGAAGTCTTACTGCTACATGTTAGTGCCTGTCACAGAGATTATCAATGTGAAAGGTGGGTCAACAGAAAATACCATCACCTTCTGTATATGTGGGTTCCACATCTGTGCATTCAACCAACTACAGGTCAGAAATATTCCCACCAAAGGATGCTTGTGCATATACTACACATGTACACCTTTTGCTTGTCATTAATCCTAAACAATACAGGATAACCGTGATTTACATAGCGTTGATGTTAAGTATTATAAGTTATCTAGAGCTGATTTAAAGTATATTGGAGGATGTATATAGATTATATGCAAATATTAAATACTACATTTTTCTGTATAAGGGACCTGAGTGTCTATAAATGTTGGGTTCTATGGGGCATCATAGAACCAATTCCCCCACAGATAGAGAAGGATGACCATATAAAGATTGGAACATACAAAGACACAAAGATTTACAGTACAGAAGGGAAACGAATATACCTGTGAAACCACTGGATTCAGGTATAAAACGCCTAGAGAATAGTTTACAGCATTAAAAGCATATATTAAAAATAAGAAAGGCTCAGAATCAGAAATATAGAAGTTCATCTAAAAACATTTGAAAAATAACAGAAAATTAAAACCAAATAATGTGGAAATAAGAAAATATGTAAGTAAATATTGCCCATGACCTTGAAGTTTATATAAAATGAACAAATACAAAGGCTCAACTTCCTAAAACCAAAACAAGAAGAAATAGAAGGTCTGAAAAAGGCCACATCAAAGAATATCCAAAAATATGCTACGTCAAAAAAAATCCTACCAAAAAAAGTGAACTCAGTTTGGAAAGTCTTTCTATAGAGAAACCTAAGGCCCAAAGGGCTCCATTGGTAAATTATTCTAGACTTTTAGTTAACAATTAACACTAATTTGGCAAACATTCATCCAAATAATAAAAAAGAGGCTCACTTCACATTAATAACATCTTTTATGAAAGTGGAAAAAACTTCATAGTAAAACTCGAAAAGGACATTTCAACAAAGGAAAATTCTAGATCAATGTCTCTCATGAACATGGATGCCAAAATCCTAAACAAAATATTAATAAAATGAAACCAGTAATATTAGTAAAAAATACAGTATATCAAAATCCAAGTAGTTTTTCTGCAGAAATTCAACCTTAGTTATCATTCAAAAATCAATCATTATAATTCACTTAATTAATAAAGGAAAAAATATAACAATCATTTTAATATATATGGGAAAATATTCAAAACAAGTTAACAAAAATTCATAAGATAAAACTTTTAAGCAAAATAAGAATATAAACTTTCCTTATTAAGAGTATCTGCCAGACATCAGAAGTTATTGTGAAATATTGAAATATTTCCCATTAGGTAAAAGATGTCTATTATCATGCTTTTAATGCAGCATTGTAGCCGAGATTCTAGTCAGTGTAATAAAATAAGAAAATTAAAAACAGTCAAGGGTTAGAAATAAATAAACTAAATAGTCATTATTTGGAGATGACATGACTGTGCATGTAAACAAATCTAAAATAAACTACTGACATATACACAGATAATCCTTGTATTAGTCAGGGTTCTCTAGAGGATCAGAACTAATTAGTAATAATATTATATATATATATCTCAAAGAATATCTTTTACACACACACACACATATATATATATATGTATAAAGGGGAGTTTATTAAGTATTAATTTACATGATTACAAAGTCCCACAATAGGCTGTCTGCAAGCTTAAGGAGCAAAGAGAGCCAGTCCAAGTCTCAAAACTAAAGAACTTGGAATCCGATGTTCAAGGGCAGGAAGCATCCAGCACTGGAGAAAGATGTAGTCTGGGGGCTAGGCCAGCATCGCCTTTTCACATTTTTCTGCCTGCTTTATATTCACTGGCAGCTGATTAGATGGTGCCCACCAGATTAAGGGTGGGTCTGCCTTCCCCAGCCCACTTCTTTGGCAACACCCTCACATACATACCCAGGATCAATACTTTGCATCCTTCAATCCAATCGAGTTGACACTCAGTGTTAACCATCACAATCCCAGACTTACAATGCTTTGACTTAGCAGTTTTTGACTTTATGATGGTATTTAAGTGATAATCTTTTTATAAGCTTCAATGGGCTGTGTCCAGACAAATCCATCATAAATTGAAAATATTTTCAATTTATGATGGGTTTATCTGGATGTATCCCTACTGTAAGATGAAGAGTATCTGTGAACACACACATACACATACACACACACACAAACGTGCATCTGCTATGGTTTCAACGTGTTCTTCAAAGGTGAGGTGTTGAAAACATAATATTTTAATGTGACAGTGTTGAGAGGTGGGACCTCTAAGAGGTCAGGAAGGCCCTGCCTTCATGAATAAATTAATGCCATTATCTCAAGAATGGAGTTGCTATCGTGGGAATGGGTTTTTTAAATAAAAGCTATGTGATGAAGCCAGTCGTGGTGGCTCACACCTGGAATCCTAGCACTTTGGGAGCCCAAGGTGGGTGGATCACTTGAGGTCAGGAGATGGAGACCAGCCTGGCCAACATGGCAAAACCCTGTTTGGCGAAACCCTGCTTACTAAAAATACAAAAATTAGCTTGGTGTTGTAGTGTGTGCCTGTAGTCCCAGCTACTCGGGAGGCTGAGGCAGGAGAGTCGCTTAAACGTGGGAAATGGAGGTTGCAGTGAGCCAAGATGATGCCACTGCACTGTAGCCTGGCCAACAGAGCAAGACTCAGTCTCAAAAAAAAAAAAAGTCATGTGATAACTTCTGTCATGTCATGATGCAGCAAGGTCCTCACCAGATGTGACCCCTCAATCCTGGACTTCCTCACCTCCAAAATCATAAGCCCAATAAATTTGTTTATTATAAATCACCCAGTCTGTGGTATTCTGCTATAGCAGAACAAAAGGGACTAAGACAACATTATATAATACATATGATGTATTCCCTATATGAGAAACATTTCGAAAATGAATTTAAAATATATCACTTATAAAAGCATCAATAAAACCAAATAATGAAGGATAAATCTTGCCAAAAATTATATCATGTCTCTATACTAAAATAATAAATGTAATTAGTAAAACTGAAGAGGATATAAATAAAAAGAAGTGTATTTTATGTTCATACGTTTGAAAGCTCGGTTCCCTAATGGAGCTTTAAATTCTATATAATGGCAAAATGGCATAACAAACTTCCAGAAAGATATTTCTAAAATGCATTTGAAAACTTAAAGGCTAAGAATAGTCAAATTAAACTTGAAGAAGAAAAAAAGAGGGAGAAGTACCTCTACTAAATGTTCAGATTTTTAATTAACAATTTAGAATATGTGGTTTATTTTCAAATATGGACATGTAGAACAATAGAACGAAGTAGAGAATTCAGAAGCATTGCTACACATATATGACTGATTTTGAATAAAGGTGGCATAGTAGAGACAAATAGCCAGTAAATGTAGCTAAGACAACTGGATATAAAAACCCCCTCCAACATTCTTCTGTCCTCTCTACCACTTGTCATATACAAAAATCCGTGTCAAGTAGATTACAAATATAAATGAAAAAGGAAAAACCTTTAAGCTATTGTTAAAGTGTTGTCAAGCTATGCCATATAGGCCAAAACCAGCTTAGCACCTGCTTTTGTATGGCCTGTGAGCTAAGAATGATTTTTTACATTTTTAAATAGTTAAATAAAATCAAAAGAAGAATTTCTTTTTATGACATGTGAAAATTATATGAAATTGAAATTTCAGTTTCTATAAATAAGGACTTATTGGAACATAAACATTCTCATTAAATTAGGTATTTTTTATGGCAGCTTTTGTGCTACAATGACAACCTTCAGTAAGTGCAACAAAACAGAGTGACCTGAGAAACCAAAAATATTTACTACCTGGCTCTTTACAAAAAAAGTTTTTGGCAACCTCTGCATTAGAGGATGATATCGAAGAATATCTTTTTTACCTTTGTGCTGATAAAGATTTATTAAACAGGACTGAGGGAAGATGGATAAATTGGCCCTTAATAAATTAAGAATTTCTTTCAGTCAAAAGACATCTCATAAAGAATGAACAGACAATCCACATAATGTGAGATGTATTTGCAGCATATGTTATTGAAAAGGGTTAATAATTAGAAGGTATCAAGAACATTTACCAAAAAAAAAAAAAACACAAAACAAATAGGAAAATTTTAAATGTACAAAATTTGATCAAGCACTCTAAAAGAAAGATATTCATATGGCCAATAAACATATCAGAAGGTGTTCAATCACATAAATCATCAGAAAAAAAGTAGTAATAACAATGGAATACTGCAGCAAATCAACAAATATGACAAAATTAAAAGGCTAAAACAGCAGTTATCACCAAAGACCTAGAAAAAAATAGACCTCTTATATTCCTGGTGAGAAGGTAATTTGGTACTATTACTTTGAGAAACTTTTAGGGTCTGTCAAAGTTGAAAACACCCATAACCCATTTATCTAGTAAATCCCCTCCTATTCAAAACAAAACAAAGGTACCATTTGTATTCATACAAAAATGAATATAATAGCACTATATATAACATTACTATTCTGGAAGCCGCACAAAGCCCACCAGCTATAGGTAAAATACATATATTGTAGAATGATCACACAACGGAATGCCAAACAGAAGTTAAAATAAATGAACTATTTTTCCATTCATTAACATGAATAAATAAAATAGGCATAGTATTGACTGAAAGAAACCAGATACGAAAGGGTACATTCTGTACAATCACATTTATACAAATTCCAAACACTGACAAAACTAAGGTTATTGGTCATATTTGGAGAGATGAGAAGGGATGGTAGAGACAAGAGGGTGACCTGGAATGTGCTGCTGATTTTATCTTCTTGACCTGCATGGTGGTTATTTGAATTCATGATTTGTACACTGTCCTGTTTATTTTAAAACATGAAAGGATAAAATCAAATGAGGGAATTTTATGGCATGTATTTAAATTAGACAAACAAATTTTTCTTAAGAACTGAACTTTGTTATAAAAATCTTGGACAGATTGGAGTCTATGGCGTCATCACTTCTATCTAAATATCCAAGAAAAGTATATTCCTTTTTATACAAAGAAAAGGAAGAGTCAAGAACAATAGTATTTTAAATATCAATGTTCCAGACAAAACAGGCTATCTAAACCTGGCAATATTATATTGAATCAGCCATAGGAGATGCACAATGAGCATTTTGGCACTCCTTTTAAGCAATATTATTAGGATAGAGTTTATGTTCAATAAGTATTATTGAGAGCTACTGCTTCCTTTTTAAATGGTCTATACCAAAATATTTCTTCCCCATTTTAATACTCTACTTACATCTTTTTGCAAGTTGCATTAAAGTTTTGAGAAAAGTAAATTAGTTTCTAGAAGAACTGAAAACATGGACACTTGCCTTTTGGTTCCAATTTATTGTGAAATCCATCATACAGAAAATAATGTACATTTCTAATAACTAAACTTTAATGAAACATAGAAAATTGCAAATAAGTAAATTGAAAGAAATACAGTTTTAAAAATGTCACTCTAATGATGAGCATGAAATATTCATTCCAGCCCAAGTTATGAGAGTACTTTCTGGCATAGTTATATTTAGGTTAAAACAAATTCACTGTGAAATCATTTATGTAATCAATCTAAGTCTCCTTACCCTTATTACAAGACAGTATGCCACCTCTCATCAACAACTAATGCTATATTTAATCAAACAGAGAAAAGTCCTAAGATAGCTGAGGTATTAAAATTCTAGTGGACTAACACCCATTAAACAAAATATTTTTTAAAAGTTGAACTGAAGAGAATATAAAGCACACTTTATTAAAGGTAAAACAAATAAGACCTAAAGTAGAATATTAAGTTAGCCCAGAAAGGATTTTTGCAGTTTCTCTTTATTTTTATTTCTGGTTTTAAGGTTTAGAAATATGCTCATAGAGTTAACTTTTACATTTTATGCTTAGTCCTTTATTTCTTGGGTAAACAGTTCAGAACAGGGAGGCACCTGCTCCATTTTACTTGTAAAATTCAACGGATAATAAAGAAAAATCTCATAGTGCATACAAAACCTGCCTCCTCCAAAAAATGAAGGGGAAGGGGAAAAGGGAGCTAAAAAAAACAAAAACAAAACAAAAAAAACACCTACTAGTGCTTCTCCCTTGGATGTTTGAGTATACTCTCCCTGCTCAAAAGATAGAATTTCAGCTACAGAAGTGCATGGCGAATGAGAAAGGGAAGCCACATCAAAGTGCCTGGATTATACCAACACATTCTTGGATACCCATTGGTCTGTAAAAACAAAGCAGCCAGAACAAGTGGAATGATTCCTAAGCCTTCTCCACAAATCTACACTCAACATCTCAGGACTGAGATAATCTAAAGGAAAACAATTAAGGGAGAACAGAGAACCAGGGGTGCCTGCAAGACACCATCTCACTCCCAAGTCCTCCACAGTAGCACACACTGGGCCTAGTTTTTTTTTCCTTCATCTTTAGAAATGAAATACGTTCTACCGAAGAAAAAAATTATTAAACCTTTGAAGAATTCAGACTCTTAAAGGAAAAATATAATAAAGACAATCTATACCACTGAAGGCAAAATTAATCAAATAAACAGATAACATTTTTTTTAAGTTCAGGTTCATTGAAGTATAAATACACATACAGTAAAATTCTTACAGATACATATCAACTGTATCTAATATGGTTTGCCTTTGTGTCGCCACACAAATCTCATCTTGAATTCTAATCCCCAAGTACCCAGGGAAGAACCTGATGGGAGATGATTGGATCATGGGGGGTGGTTTCCCCCATGCTGTTCTCATGATAGTAAATGAGTTCTCATAAGATCTGATGGTTTTATAAGTGTTTGACAGTCCCTCCTTAACACACACACACTCTCTCCTGCTGCCTTGTGAAGAAGGTGTCTGCTTCCCCTTCTTCCATGATTGTAAGTTTCTTGAGGCTTCCGCAGCCTTGTGGAACTGTGAGCCAATTCAACTTCCTTTGTTTATAAATTACTCAATCTTGTGTAGTATCTTAGCAGAGTGAGAATGGACTAATACAGTATCAAAATCAAATGAAGAATAATTCCAACACCACGAAAAATTGCCTCAAAACACTTTGTCATCAGTCTCCTATCCCCATAAGTCCTTGAAAATTGCTAACCTGTTTCCATTCCTTTACTTTTGCTTTTTTCAAAATGTCTTATAAATAAACATCATATAATATGTAACCATTTGAATCTGACTTCTTTCATTTAGCATAATGCATTTGGAATCCATGCATATGTTTGCTTGTGTCAGAAATAGTTCGTTCTTTTGCATTTCTGAATAGCATTCCATTTTAAAGGATGTACTATGGTTTATTTACCTATTTATCTATTGAAAAATCGTTTGGGTTATTTCCAGATTTTGGTAATTATGAACAAAGATAGAACAAATATTGTATAGATTCTTCTTATGTGAACATGTTTTAAATTCTCTTGGGTAAATATCTAGAAGTAGGATTGCTGCATCTCAAGATAAATGACAATTTATTTTATTATAAAAAACTGGGAACTGTATTCTAAAGGGGCTGTGCTGTTTTGTAATTCTGCTATATTAGCCTCATCATCTAATTGTTTATTGCTCATACACAGAAATACAATCAATTTTTGAGCAATCATTGCAATTTATTTATCAATTGCTATCTGCCAATTATACCATATCCCATCAGCACTTCATACCATCACTTTTTAAAAGTGTAGTTATATTAAAAGGTGTTAGTAGTATTTTCTTTGTAAAATTTGTATTTATCTAGTGAATAGTGATGGTTAATATCTTTTCATCTATTTATTGGCCAAATGTCTATCTCCTTAGGTGAATGGGCCATCTTTTGCCCATTTTTTCTTACTGTTTTAAAAATTATTATTGCGGTTGAGTTTTAAGAAACTTTAAAATCTCAGCAGACTTGTATCAGATATATATTTAACAATATTTTTCTCAATCTGTAGCTTATGGTTTTATTTTTTAATATGGTCATTTGAGCATCAGCTGTTGATTTTGATATATTCCTATTGATCATTTTTTCTTTTATGAGTTGTGTTTTTGTGTACTACTTAAGAAAACATTTTCTAACCTAGAGTACCAAAGTTTTTCTTCTATGACATAGCCTAGAAATGTTACAGCTTTGGGTTTATTATTTAGGTTTAGGATCCATTTAAATTTTAAAATGCTGCAAGGTATGATTTGAAGTTCCTTTTTAAATATGGATGTCTAGTTGTTTCAGCACTCTGTTGAAAAGGTTATCATTTAGCATTGAATTGCCTTTGAGTCTTTGTCAAAAATCAATGAACTATATATATGCAAGTTCTGTTTTGCACTTTGTTCCATTGACCTATGTATCTATTCTTTCACCAATATTACACTTTTTAATAACTTTTATTTCAAGTTCGGGGGTACATGTGCAGATTTGTTACATAGGTAAACTTATGTCATGGGGTTTGTTGTATAAATTATTTCATCACCCAGGTATTGTGCCTAGTACCCATTAGTTATTTTTTCCTAATTCTCTTCCTCCTCCCATCCTTCACCTTTCAGTAGGCCCTGTTGTGTGTTGCTCCCTGCCATGGGCTCATGTATTCTATTTAGCTCCTACTTATAAGTAAGAATATGCAGTATTTGGTTTTCTGTTCCTGTGTTAGTTTGCTAAGGATAATGACCTCCAGCTCTGTCCATGTCTCTGCAAAGGACATGTTCTTGTTCTTTTTTATGGTTGCATAGTATTCCAAGGTATATATGGACCACATATTCTTTATCCAGTCTATTACTGATGGACATTTAGGTTGATTCCATGTCTTTGCTATTGTGAATATGCTGTCTTAATTACTGTAGGAAAGTCTTGACATCAGATAGTGTGCATACTTCAACTTTTTCACAATTGTTGTGGCCAATGAAAATTCCGTGATTTTCCTTATAAATTTTAGAATCAACATGATGGTTCATATGAAAAAAAACTGTTGAGATTTTCAGTGAATTATGATAAATTCATAGAACAATTTGGGGACAAGTAGTGTCTGAACAACACCGACTCTTGCCATCCAGGATCATGGTATATTTAGGTTGTCTTTGATTTCTCCTATCAGTGTTGTATAGTTTTCAGCAGAGAAAACTTAAAGTGGCTAAAAATCTCATGTTTTTGGTGTTATTTTAAATTAAACTTTTTATATTAGCCTCATCGTCTAATTGTTTATTGTTCATACACAGAAATACAATCAATTTTTGAATTTTTTGACTTTCTTAAGCCAACTTCTTAGTTTTATTAGATTTTTGATAGACTCTTCAGGATTTTCTGCAAAAAAATTATTTTACTTTTAAGTATTGATAGTTTTATTTTCCCTTTCTAAACTGTATGACTTTAATTTATTCCAATACAAGTTGAGTAGAAGTGGTGACAGCAATCAACCGAAAAATCTTCCCAGTCTTAGAAGAAAGCATAAAAGCTTTCACAGTTAATTATGGGGATATCCTTAGATTTTTCTTTTATGTGTGTTATCAGTGTCAGGGCATCTTTTAAAACTCATAGGCTTTTTACTATAATAGTTTTAGATTTACAAAAATGTGAGCCAATAGAAAATAGTACACAAAGTTGTCATACACCATTCCCCTATACAGTTTCCCCTGTTATTAATGTCTTGTATTAGTGTGGTACATTTGCTACAAATAATGGACCAATATCAATAGATTGTGATTATTAAAATTTTTGCATTAAGTTTCATTCTTTGTGTTATATTGTTTTATGGATTTTGACAAATGCATAAATCATGTATCAATTCATTACCATATCCTGTAGAATAGTTTCACTATTCTAAATATTCTTGTGTGTCACAATTCATCCCTCTTTTCTCCTCATAAACTCCTAGTAACCTTTTTACTGTGTCTATAGTTTTGTCTTTTCCAAAATGTTATGTGTTTGTAACAACACAGTACATAGACTTTTCAGACTAGTTTCTTTCACTTAATAATATGCGCTTAAGGTTTCTCTATGCCTTTTTGCATCTCGATAGTTTACTACTACTTCTCTCTTTTTTTTTTCTTTTTTCTTTTTTCTTTTTTTTCTTTTTTGAGACGGAGTCTCGCTCTGTCTCCCAGGCTGGAGTGCAGTGGTGCGATCTCGGCTCCCTGCAAGCTCCGCCTCCCAGGTTCGCGCCATTCTCCTGCCTCAGCCTCCCGAGTAGCTGGGACTATAGCCGCCCGCCATCACGCCCGGCTAATTTTTGGTATTTTTAATAGAAACGGGGTTTTACCATGTTAGCCAGAATGGTCTCGATCTCCTGACCTCGTGATCTGCCCGCCTCGGCCTCCCAAAGTGCTGGGATTACAGGCGTAAACCACTGCGCCCGGACGATAGTTTACTACTCTTTATAGCTGAATAACGTTTGATTATATGGCTGTACCATCATTTGTTCATCTATTCACCTATTGAAGGACATCTTTGTTACTTCCAGGTTTTGGCAATCATGAATAAAGCTACAATAAACATTCATGGAACCTAAGTTTTAAACTCAATTGGGTAAATAGGAGTGTGATTACTGGATCCTATGGTAAAAGTATGTTTAACTTTGTAAGAAACTGTCAAACTGTCTTCCAAAGTGTCTGTACCATTTGCATTTTTACCGGCAATAAATGAAATTTCCTAATGCTCCATATTCTTGCCAGCAAATGGTATTTTCAGGGTTTTTGGATTTTAGTCATTCTAGAAGGTTTGTATTGGTATGTCTTGTTTTAATTTGCAAGTCCTTAATGATGTACAATGCTGATTATCTTTTCTCATGCTTTTTGCCTTATGTATATCTTTTTGGTGAAATGTCTATTCACATATTTTGTCTAAATTTTTTTGCAAATATTTCCTCCAAGTCTGTGGCTTGCCTTTTAATTAACAATGTCTTTTGCAGAGAAATTTTTATTTTTAATAATGTCCAACTAATATATTGTTTTGTTGTTTTATCTAGAAATTCATCATCAAACTTAATATCAGCTAGATTATACCTATGGTTTTTCCTACAAGTTTTACAGTTTTGCATTTTGCATTTAGGTCTATGATTCATTTTGAGTTAATTTTTATAAAAGGTGTAAGGTCTATGTTTAGATTCATTTTTTGCAGATGTAGATGTCCAATTGGTCCAGCATCATTTGTTGAAAAATGACCATTTCGTTGCCTCTGCACCTTTGTCAGAGACAGGAAAATCGTTGAGCCCAGGAGTTCAAGACGAGCCTGGGCAAAAAGCAAGACTGCATCTCAATAATAAATAGATAAATAAAAAGAAAGATCAGTCAACTATATTTGTGTCCAAACTTTTCTAAGAAAGAATCTAATTTTATACACATGTTTTCTTTTTTATATGATTTTCAAATGTTTAAAAATGTGTTTCTTAATGTTTCTCATGCAATATATAAGTTGTACAAACAAGTATATTTTGCATATACTATCCAGTTTAGGAAATAAAGTATTTAAAGTCCTTTATGTATACTCCCTTTTTATAAAATCTGAGCTTATCAGTTTATTTATTTATTATTTTATTACATGAGTATATATCTAAGCAAATTATTTTACATATTTTAAAATGTTATATCTATAGTCGCATTTACACCTTTTGCAACTTGGGTTTTGCTCAATATTATGTAGCTGTAGCATGTTATTAAGATTCATCTATTGTGAAGCTGTAGTTAATTTTTTCACTGGGTTTTATTTTAAAAAAATATTGAGTTGCAAAAATATATATTCTGGACACAAAATAATTTTTGATATATATTATAGAATATTTTATACCAGTTTTCATATTGCTTTTGCTTTTTACTATCATTTTAAATACTAAAATTGTACTGTGGGATAATTTTAGAATTACTTAGAAGCTTCAAAGATTGTACAGAGTTCCCATATACCCCTCATCCAGTTTCTGCTATTGTGAACATCTTACATACATATGGTACACTTACCACAATTTATAAACCAACATTGTTATACTACTATAAATTAAAATCTGCGCTTTGTTTTTATTTCACCAATTTTCCCCCTAATATCCTTTCTCTGTTTTAGAATTAAATCCAGAATACCACATTGCATTGAGCATGTTATATTTTAATGAAGATACATTTTCTATTTTTTTTAATCAACTTTTATTTTAAGTTCTGGGGTACATGTGCAGGACGTGCAGGTTTGTTACATAGGTAAACATGTGCCATGTTGGCCGCATGAATGCCTTCTTTTGAGAAGTATCTGTTCATGTTCTTTGCCCAGTGGGATTGTTTGTTTTATTCCTGTAAATTTGTTTAAGTTCATTGTAGACTCAGGATATCACACCTTGTCAGATGGATAGATTGCAAATATTTTCTCCCATTCTGTAGGTTGTCTGTTCACTCTGGCGATAGCGTCTTTTGCAGTGCAGAAACTCTTTGGTTTTATTTGATACCATTTGTCAATTTTTGCTTTTGTTGCTATTGCTTTTATGCATTTAATTTTCTATTTTTTAATATTTATGTTGGAGAATTTTTCCTATAATTTGTATTTTTTGCAATGTAAAAGTTCTTCCCCACCTAAAATCATAACATAGCTTCCTACATTTTCCTGGAAGTTTTAAAGTTTTGTTTTTCACATTTATGGTTAATTAATCTTTATTTTGTTTTTGTAAGATGTAAGGAGGGTTTACTTTTTTTTTCCCATGTGGAAAACCAGTTGTACTAAGACCACTGGTTGAATAATTATTCTTTCCACACTATCTTAAATGTCTTCTTCGTCATATCCAGTTTCCATGTATATTTTTTTGGTGAATTTGCTGACATCTGGGTGATGTTATATGGCCATTTTCACACATGTCCCTTTTTTCTTCTTTTTAATTAGCAAATTTCATCCTTTGGTCCCCAAGATAATTTTTTTAAATTATTTTCTCAATTTCTACAAGAAGTTTCTATTGGAATTATATTTGAAAATGCTTTACATGAGTAAGTTATTTGGAGAGAACCGGCATTTTTGTGAAATAGCCAAATGTATTATAACAATTTTAATAAGTCAGATAATTCAATTGTGCAAAGTGTGGGTATTCCAGATTGAGTTCCTTGGTAAAATGACTCCAAGAAGAGTAGCATGCAGGAAGTTTATTTGACAATGCTCTCAGGATCAACATTTTTTGGGGGGCGAAATGAAGAAGCAGAAAGAAAAAAAGCAGGATTGTCTAGAGGGAAGTTAGACTGCAATCCAGTCACGGTAAGGTGGCAAACCCAGTGGGAGAGCTGATGGTAGGACTAGCTTTCAGAGTTGCCAAAGTTGGGCAAAAGAGGCCAGGCATCTATAGCTATGGGTAGACCAGCCACTGGAAAACAACTGGACATCCAGGTGTCTTAGCGAGTTTGGGCTAATATAACAAGGTATCATAGACTGTGTGGCTTATAAACAATGAAAATGTATTTCTCAAAGTTCTAGAAGCTAGAAGTCTAGGATCAGAGTGCCAACATGGTCTAGTTCTGGTAAGGGTCCTTTCCCAGGTTGCAGACTGCAGTCTTCTCATCGTATCCTGGCAGAAGGAGGCTAATACCACTCTCTCTAGGATAATGAGGACTCCACCTTCATGATCTAATTACCTCCCCAAGGCCTAATTACCTCATAACATCATATTGGGGTTTAGAATTTCAACATACGAGTTTTAGGAGGACACAAACATTCAGTCTATTGCATCAGGTTAGTTTTTTGTTTGTTTTGGCTGGTTTGTTTTTTAATCCAAGTTCAGTCTGGTCCTTGTCAAGGTTTGAAACAACCTAGCTATTGTCTATTCTAGTAAAAATCATTTGGTCCTGTAGCTTCAGGAGAGTTGCAGCTCGGAGTTGGGCTAGAAAATACTTAGTAGAGTGGCAACCACCTCTGACTTCCTGAGTTCTTAGCTGCACACTGTTTTCCCCATTCGCTTTTATTATTATTTTTATTTTTATCATAAAGTTTATTTAGATTATGAGTTCATATTTGGCTGATTCTAAACAGTGGAGATCACGAATGACCTGAGAGAAAGTATGGTCTCCCAGAAAATGATTCCTACAAGCTTTTCCTTTGGGCTCTGGTCCACTATGCACCATTAATTTGACTCCAGGCTTTTCTTAATGTTTCTGTTTGAAATTCCCCAAATTGGTTGCAAATTATATTGGGAAGGATACCTATTTCCAATTTCTACACATAGCTGACATAAAAGCTGACAGAATTCTCCTTATTTGACATACAATTCTCCTCATTGCTACTTTTGCTACTATAGGATGGTTCTTCTAACTCTTTCACTGATACTGTATTTCTTTGAGTCTTGACTCTGTGTGTGTGTGTGTGTGTGTGTGTGTGTGTGTGTGTGTGTGATCTCATTTCCAACTGTCTGCCTCATTTAGCCCCAAGGCTTTGTCTTCTATTCTCCACATGGATTTTAAAGCTTGGTATTTGTACAACACCCTAGGCCATTTACAGGTTCAGTGCTTACTGTATATATTAAGTTTCTTTTTTCTTTTTCTTTTTTTTTGTCGGGGGGGCACCCACAGATTTCCTTTCTATATTTTGAATATAAATAGATGTATATTTAAAAATATTATGATTATAATTTATCCAGAAATTTTAAATTTTTTAAGGTGAATGTTTGTCACATATTCATAAGCAATTTTGCCCATATTGTTCTTTGGAATATTTTTTTATTTTCTGTTTTTTCCTCTGTGTCTCGTCTGTCTACAATCAATACTTTTTTATAGTTATAGAAAATCTCCCTCACCGTTATCAAAGGGTAGAAACAAGAGCAAATAGAAGTTTAATCAATGGATAGAGGAGGAGCCAAGATGGCCGAATAGGAACAGCTCTGGTCTACAGCTCCCAGCGTGAGCGACGCAGAAGACGGGTGATTTCTGCATTTCCATCTGAGGTACCGGGTTCATCTCACTAGGGAGTGCCAGACAGTGGGCGCAGGCCAGTGTGTGTGCGCACCATGCGCGAGCCGAAGCAGGGCGAGGCATTGCCTCACCTGGGAAGCGCAAGGGGTCAGGGAGTTCCCTTTCCGAGTCAAAGAAAGGGGTGACGGACGCACCTGGAAAATCGGGTCACTCCCACCCGAATATTGCGCTTTTCAGACCGGCTTAAGAAACGGCGCACCACCAGACTATATCCCACACCTGGCTCAGAGGGTCCTACGCCCACCGAATCTCGCTGATTGCTAGCACAGCAGTCTGAGATCAAACTGCAAGGCGGCAACGAGGCTGGGGGAGGGGCGCCCGCCATTGCCCAGGCTTGCTTAGGTAAACAAAGCAGCCGGGAACCTGGAACTGGGTGGAGCCCACCACAGCTCAAGGAGGCCTGCCTGCCTCTGTAGGCTCCACCTCTGGGGGCAGGGCACAGACAAACAAAAAGACAGCAGTAACCTCTGCAGACTTAAGTGTCCCTGTCTGACAGCTTTGAAGAGAGCAGTGGTTCTCCCAGCACGCAGCTGGAGATCTGAGAACGGGCAGACTGCCTCCTCAAGTGGGTCCCTGACCCCTGACCCCTGAGCAGCCTAACTGGGAGGCACCCCCCAGCAGGGGCACACTGACACCTCACACAGCCGGGTATTCCAACAGACGTGCAGCTGAGGGTCCTGTCTGTTAGAAGGAAAACTAACAACCAGAAAGGACATCTACACCGAAAACCCATCTGTACATCACCATCATCAAAGACCAAAGTAGATAAAACCACAAAGATGGGGAAAAAACAGAACAGAAAAACTGGAAACTCTAAAACGCAGAGCGCCTCTCCTCCTCCAAAGGAACGCAGTTCCTCACCAGCAACAGAACAAAGCTGGATGGAGAATGATTTTGACGAGCTGAGAGAAGAAGGCTTCAGACGATCAAATTACTCTGAGCTACGGGAGGACATTCAAACCAAAGGCAAAGAAGTTGAAAACTTTGAAAAAAATTTAGAAGAATGTATAACTAGAATAACCAATACAGAGAAGTGCTTAAAGGAGCTGATGGAGCTGAAAACCAAGGCTCGAGAACTACATGAAGAATGCAGAAGCCTCAGGAGCCAATGCGATCAACTGGAAGAAAGGGTATCAGCAATGGAAGATGAAATGAATGAAATGAAGCGAGAAGGGAAGTTTAGAAAAAAAAGAATAAAAAGAAATGAGCAAAGCCTCCAAGAAATATGGGACTATGTGAAAAGACCAAATCTACGTCTGATTGGTGTACCTGAAAGTGATGTGGAGAATGGAACCAAGTTGGAAAACACTCTGCAGGATATTATCCAGGAGAACTTCCCCAATCTAGCAAGGCAGGCCAACGTTCAGATTCAGGAAATACAGAGAACGCCACAAAGATACTCCTCGAGAAGAGCAACTCCAAGACACATAATTGTCAGATTCACCAAAGTTGAAATGAAGGAAAAAATGTTAAGGGCAGCCAGAGAGAAAGGTCGGGTTACCCTCAAAGGAAAGCCCATCAGACTAACAGCGGATCTCTCGGCAGAAACCCTACAAGCCAGAAGAGAGTGGAGGCCAATATTCAACATTCTTAAAGAAAAGAATTTTCAACCCAGAATTTCATATCCAGCCAAACTAAGCTTCATAAGTGAAGGAGAAATAAAATACTTTATAGACAAGCAAATGCTGAGAGATTTTGTCACCACCAGGCCTGCCCTAAAAGAGCTCCTGAAGGAAGCGCTAAACATGGAAAGGAACAACCGGTACCAGCCGCTGCAAAATCATGCCAAAATGTAAAGACCATCGAGACTAGGAAGAAACTGCATCAACTAATGAGCAAAATCACCAGCTAACATCATAATGACAGGATCAAATTCACACATAACAATATTAACTTTAAATATAAATGGACTAAATTCTGCAATTAAAAGACACAGACTGGCAAGGTGGATAAAGAGTCAAGACCCATCAGTGTGCTGTATTCAGGAAACCCATCTCACGTGCAGAGACACACATAGGCTCAAAATAAAAGGATGGAGGAAGATCTACCAAGCCAATGGAAAACAAAAAAAGGCAGGGGTTGCAATTCTAGTCTCTGATAAAACAGACTTTAAACCAACAAAGATCAAAAGAGACAAAGAAGGCCATTACATAATGGTAAAGGGATCAATTCAACAAGAGGAGCTAACTATCCTAAATATTTATGCACCCAATACAGGAGCACCCAGATTCATAAAGCAAGTCCTCAGTGACCTACAAAGAGACTTAGACTCCTACACATTAATAATGGGAGACTTTAACACCCCACTGTCAACATTAGACAGATCAACGAGACAGAAAGTCAACAAGGATACCCAGGAATTGAACTCAGCTCTGCACCAAGCAGACCTAATAGACATCTACAGAACTCTCCACCCCAAATCAACAGAATATACATTTTTTTCAGCACCACACCACACCTATTCCAAAATTGACCACATAGTTGGAAGTAAAGCTCTCCTCAGCAAATGTAAAAGAACAGAAATTATAACAAACTATCTCTCAGACCACAGTGCAATCAAACTAGAACTCAGGATTAAGAATCTCACTCAAAGCCACTCAACTACATGGAAACTGAACAACCTGCTCCTGAATGACTACTGGGTACATAACGAAATGAAGGCAGAAATAAAGATGTTCTTTGAAACCAACGAGAACAAAGACACCACATACCAGAATCTCTGGGACGCATTCAAAGCAGTGTGTAGAGGGAAATTTATAGCACTAAATGCCTACAAGAGAAAGCAGGAAAGATCCAAAATTGACACCCTAACATCACAATTAAAAGAACTAGAAAAGCAAGAGCAAACACATTCAAAAGCTAGCAGAAGGCAAGAAATAACTAAAATCAGAGCAGAACTGAAGGAAATAGAGACACAAAAAACCCTTCAAAAAATCAATGAATCCAGGAGCTGGTTTTTTGAAAGGATCAACAAAATTGATAGACCGCTAGCAAGACTAATAAAGAAAAAAAGAGAGAAGAATCAAATAGACACAATAAAAAATGATAAAGGGGATATCACCACCGATCCCACAGAAATACAAACTACCATCAGAGAATACTACAAACACCTCTACGCAAATAAACTAGAAAATCTAGAAGAAATGGATACATTCCTCGACACATACACTCTCCCAAGACTAAACCAGGAAGAAGTTGAATCTCTGAATAGACCAATAACAGGCTCTGAAATTGTGGCAATAATCAATAGTTTACCAACCAAAAAGAGTCCAGGACCAGATGGATTCACAGCCGAATTCTACCAGAGGTACAAGGAGGAACTGGTACCATTCCTTCTGAAACTATTCCAATCAATAGAAAAAGAGGGAATCCTCCCTAACTCATTTTATGAGGCCAGCATCATTCTGATACCAAAGCTGGGCAGAGACACAACCAAAAAAGAGAATTTTAGACCAATATCCTTGATGAACATTGATGCAAAAATCCTCAATAAAATACTGGCAAACCGAATCCAGCAGCACATCAAAAAGCTTATCCACCATGATCAAGTGGGCTTCATCCCTGGGATGCAAGGCTGGTTCAATATACGCAAATCAATAAATGTAATCCAGCATATAAACAGAGCCAAAGACAAAAACTACATGATTATCTCAATAGATGCAGAAAAAGCCTTTGACAAAATTCAACAACCCTTCATGCTAAAAACTCTCAATAAATTAGGTATTGATGGGACGTATTTCAAAATAATAAGAGCTATCTATGACAAACCCACAGCCAATATCATACTGAATGGGCAAAAACTGGAAGCATTCCCTTTGAAAACTGGCACAAGACAGGGATGCCCTCTCTCACCGCTCCTATTCAACATAGTGTTGGAAGTTCTGGCCACGGCAATCAGGCAGGAGAAGGAAATAAAGGGTATTCAATTAGGAAAAGAGGAAGTCAAATTGTCCCTGTTTGCAGACGACATGATTGTATATCTAGAAAACCCCATCATCTCAGCCCAAAATCTCCTTAAGCTGATAAGCAACTTCAGCAAAGTCTCAGGATACAAAATCAATGTACAAAAATCACAAGCATTCTTATACACCAACAACAGACAAACAGAGAGCCAAATCATGGGTGAACTCCCATTCACAATTGCTTCAAAGAGAATAAAATACCTAGGAATCCAACTTACAAGGGATGTGAAGGACCTCTTCAAGGAGAACTACAAACCACTGCTCAAGGAAATAAAAGAGGACACAAACAAATGGAAGAACATTCCATGCTCATGGGTAGGAAGAATCAACATCGTGAAAATGGCCATACTGCCCAAGGTAATTTACAGATTCAATGCCATCCCCATCAAGCTACCAATGACTTTCTTCACAGAATTGGAAAAAACTACTTTAAAGTTCATATGGAACCAAAAAAGAGCCCGCATCACCAAGTCAATCCTAAGCCAAAAGAACAAAGCTGGAGGCATCACACTACCTGACTTCAAACTATACTACAAGGCTACAGTAACCAAAACAGCATGGTACTGGTACCAAAACAGAGATATAGATCAATGGAACAGAACAGAGCCCTCAGAAATAATGCCGCATATCTACAACTATCTGATCTTTGACAAACCTGAGAAAAACAAGCAATGGGGAAAGGATTCCCTATTTAATAAATGGTGCTGGGAAAACTGGCTAGCCATATGTAGAAAGCTGAAACTGGATCCCTTCCTTACACCTTATACAAAAATCAATTCAAGATGGATTAAAGATTTAAACGTTAGACCTAAAACCATAAAAACCCTAGAAGAAAACCTAGGCATTACCATTCAGGACATAGGCGTGGGCAAGGACTTCATGTCCAAAACACCAAAAGCAATGGCAACAAAAGCCAAAATTGACAAATGGGATCTAATTAAACTAAAGAGCTTCTGCACAGCAAAAGAAACTACCATCAGAGTGAACAGGCAACCTACAACATGGGAGAAAATTTTCGCAACCTACTCATCTGACAAAGGGCTAATATCCAGAATCTACAATGAACTCAAACAAATTTACAAGAAAAACACAAACAACCCCATCAAAAAGTGGGCGAAGGACATGAACAGACACTTCTCAAAAGAAGACATTTATGCAGCCAAAAAACACATGAAGAAATGCTCATCCTCACTGGCCATCAGAGAAATGCAAATCAAAACCACTATGAGATATCATCTCACACCAGTTAGAATGGCAATCATTAAAAAGTCAGGAAACAACAGGTGCTGGAGAGGATGTGGAGAAATAGGAACACTTTTACACTGTTGGTGGGACTGTAAACTAGTTCAACCATTGTGGAAGTCAGTGTGGCGATTCCTCAGGGATCTAGAACTAGAAATACCATTTGACCCAGCCATCCCATTACTGGGTATATACCCAAAGGACTATAAATCATGCTGCTATAAAGACACATGCACACGTATGTTTATTGCGGCACTATTCACAATAGCAAAGACTTGGAACCAACCCAAATGTCCAACAATGATAGACTGGATTAAGAAAATGTGGCACATATACACCATGGAATACTATGCAGCCATAAAAAATGATGAGTTCATATCCTTTGTAGGGACATGGATGAAATTGGAAACCATCATTCTCAGTAAACTATCGCAAGAACAAAAAACCAAACACCGCATATTCTCACTCATAGGTGGGAATTGAACAATGAGATCACATGGACACAGGAAGGGGAATATCACACTCTGGGGACTGTGGTGGGGTCGGGGGAGGGGGGAGGGATAGCATTGGGAGATATACCTAATGCTAGATGACACATTAGTGGGTGCAGCGCACCAGCATGGCACATGTATACGTATGTAACTAACCTGCACAATGTGCACATGTACCCTAAAACTTAGAGTATAATAATAAAAAAAAAAAAATTCTAATTAAAAACATAAAAAATAAAAAAATAAATAAAAAGAAAAGAAGTTTAATCAATGGATACTTACTATCATTCTAAATATAACCTTACAAATTTACTAACTTCAAAAAGTCTTAAACTCATGAAGATAAAATGATGCCCTGTTTCTCAAATTTGGGGCTAGTATGGGAATTGAAATAAAACAAAATACACTTGATTATAATAATTTTACTAGTTTATATATCATTATTATTATTATCCTTGAAATTTATACAACAGGATTATTTTGGAAAAACAAGTATGAATAAGTGTTGCATTTCACCAATAAGGAGAGAAGTATGTTTGTGTGTAGGCAGAAAGTTAGAATAGGTTTTCAGACTTGGTAAAGGAGACGTAAGAATGAATTAATAGAAACCGAAGGGTTTAAAATAAGCTAGGACAACAAGTGACAATACATAAACATTGGGACAGGAATAGAAAGAATACATAATCTGGTAGGTACTTGCATAGCCAATTTTATTGTCATGTTTACTAACATAAAAGAACACCTTTTGTAGAAATTTGTAATATATCTTAGATATTATATTTACTAACTTAGATATTCTTAGATATTATATTAATTATAATATCTAGGAATTACTTCCTTATTTATGGTACAGTAAATTTCTCAACTAAAGACTCTTGTTACATTAAATATAATTCAATCGTAACTTGAGGAACTAGTCAAGTTAGTTTGACTTGTTTCGTCAAATTCTGAATACATTTGCTCAGAAAATTCATAATGTTGATCTGTCTGCAGCTTGATGATTTGTTAAAGCTTACAACCAGTTTCTTTCTATAAAATCAGGGTCCTGGCTTTGCTGGCCAGGGGGCCACAATTTTAGGGCTCTATTCTTTTACTCTGTCTCATACTGGAAAAAGCCTTTTGTCACTAGGTTTTTTGTGAAGTTTATCACATATAAAGTTATTTTCTAGGGTCGGGAAGAGCTTTTTCTCAAAGTCAAGATGAGATTTTTAAATGTCTGCTAAAATCCATACACATCTGCCCTACCATCAGACCGCAACTAACCAAAACATCTCTGGCTGTTTAAACACTATGTCCAAACACACTTTCAAACTCGTAAACAATTCGGTAAACCCAATAAAAGTAATGTATAAATAGAACATATGTAGCAAGGCTTTCTGACATTTTAAAAAATCAATCCATGTCATTGAGCAAAATTTCCTTTAAACGTAGAGATAGTCAAGTAAGTGGATAGAAGGGTTTCCAAGTCCTAGCATCCCTGAAGTAAAAGAAGAGTAATTCAACTTTCTTATTATTAGTTTGACTGTACAACTGGCTGCAATTTTTGAACACCACTTCTAGAAAAATTCAGTTTAAAATAGCATCAGTAAGACTCATATCAAGATTTTTAAAAATTGGATAGTCTGTTAACCAAATTGCTCTGTAAATTCACTCAATAATATGCTTCTGTGTAGTAGTCCTTTGTTACTACACGTTCAATGAGAGTCCTTACTTTTTTTTATCACACACCCTTTTATTACTGGAGTTAATGGAAATGAATACGACAACTTTAATTACTTGTGATTTGTTGATACAATAGAAATCTCTTCAGGTAATGCAAGAGGGCCCATAATCTGATTTACTTAATGGGTCATGGAAAATGCTATGCAGTCAGGAGTTATTTAATGCTTATTCTATACCAGATAGCCTGCTAAGGACTGGGAAAAATGTATTAGGTGCCAGAAAGATTGAAGTTGACCTAATCTGATATTTCAATAACATGCTTTGGTAAACTATTAGTTGGATGTAAGTGTGCCAAACAATATGCTTATGACAGGAATGTGTGTTTTAATTTTATACTGTAAATGCAATTTTAAGATAAAAAGATTTAGTATATTTAATAGTAGTTTACTAATGTTAATATATAACTTATAACTTTCCAAAAATGGTAAGCCTTCTAAACAACTTTTTGCTTGTGTTATTCTCCCAGTGGCACTCTGATTTTTAAAATTGAGACTGAGGATATGCATATATAATTTATATATATTATGTGTGTCTGTGTGTGTGTATAGAGATATATGATTATATAGTCTGAATCTGAATTATACAAATATATATGTACACATATATTGTTATATGTGTGTGTGTGTGTGTGTGTGTGTGTGTATAAAACCTTAAAGTATAACTTATGCTGTTACCATGTGATACGGTTTGGGTCTTTGTCCCCGCCCAAATCTCATGTTGAGTTTTCATCCCCACTGTTGGAAGAAAGGCCCAATGGGAGGGGATTGGATCTTGAAAGCGGATTTTCCCCATGCTGTTCTTGTAATCATTTACACTCAAAAACGTTATGTTTAGAAAGAGGCCCAAGAGCCAAAGAGAAGTCAGCTGCCTCATTCCCCTTTATATGCAAATAAAATTCATTTTAAAAGTTTGCTTTTATAGAAGTATTTGGGGATCTGATTCTGCTCGAATCACTTGTAATGGTGAGTTCTCACGAGATCTGGTTGTTTATAAAAGTGTGTAGCACATCCCCCTTTGCTGTCTCTTCCTCTTGCTCAGGCCACGTAAGACGTCCCTCCTTCCCCTTAGCCTTCCACCAGGATTATAAGTTTCCTGAGGCCTCCCCAGTAATACTTCCTCTACAGCCTGTAGAACTGTGAGCCAATTAAACCTCTTCTCTTTATAAATTACCCAGTTTCCGGTAGTTTCTTACAGCAATGTGAGAACAGACTAATACACCATGTGACGTATGCTTGTCATTTAATCATATCATTTTGAAATTCAATGGGGGTCAATATATTCAGCTAGTATTTATCAGGAACTCTGGCAAATAGCCTATCATGAGGACAGCAATCTTATCTGTCAGATGACTGGACAGTAATGATTCTGGAGATTCTGAAGAATTTTCCTCCCATCCCAGCTTTTGAAAGATTTACCTTTACAGACTGAACTGCAATAGCGTCTCCCAGGATACACTCAGAATACTCCAAATGAGAAGGTGATAAAGGTCCTGTTCTTGGGAAATCTTAGCAACTTTTTGCTTTTTATCACCAAGGCCTTAAGGCCATCAACTTTAAGTGTCACAGAATTGTGGCTAGTATTTGTTTAATTTCTTTTACATCTGTGACTATATATCCTTCATCATTCTTAATCTTGTATATTTTTATTTTCCTATTAAGCTGCTATTTTGAAAGAAGCAGTTCTGGATTCATGCATTCTTCCTGCTAATTCTTAGATTTTTACTTCATTTCGGCTTGTATATTTATTAATATACAATTAATACATTACTTTCCTACATTTTGGGGGACATTTTGTTGTTCTTTTTCTTAAAATGAACTTCAGTTTAAATTTATTAACATGAGCGTTAAGGAACTTTCCTTCTTAATAATGACATTATGTGCTTTAAGTGCCTCTTTATTCCTCTGTGAAGAGTCTGCCATGTGTCTCACAGGTTTTAAAAACACACTTTAACAAAAGATTATACAATTTTAGTGGAGTTTTTTAGATGCGATGTTGCCTAAGAATTATTTCCTAATTTCTAAATAAAATTTTATTCTTGACCAACTTTTCAATTTTTTTCCTGTGCATTTTTAGATTGTGATTTCAGAATGTGTCCTTTTATATATTAAATTTACTGTGCTTATCTTCTCTACTAGCTCCGTCCAAATCTTAAAAGGGACTCATTGATGTTTCATAGTACATTTGTATTTATCTCATCTATTTCATCTTGCACACTTTTGCTTTCAAAACCAAAAGATTGACTTAAAATATTATTTTCATTGCTGTCACAATAATACAAACTCTGATTTTACACAAGTGAATTTTTTGATCCCATTTATTTTGTCATTTTACTATTTTCCTATATACACACACATATTGTGACTTGCTCAAAAGCATTTCTTCTCAATTTTATTTTCTCTCACGCTATGGTCTTTTTCTAGTTGATTTATTATTTGGCTTGAGTATTTGCTCCAGTATTTTGTTCAAATAGGCTTTGTGGGTGATATTTTATCTCAATCCTGTCGTATCCACACACATCTTTCATTTATCTATACAAGTGAATGACATCTTGGGTTGGTATAAAATAGATCCATCCAATTTAGTCTTTCTTCAACTCAAATAAATGTTCTTCTATTGTTTATTCATTGTTTCCTCTCTGCCATTTGTTTCTTTTTCTCCTTCTGTACCTCATAGCATTGATTAATCTATCCTAAGATGCTCATGATTTCTATTCTTTTGCATTTTTGCTCTATGATTTAAGAAATTCTTGTTTTCTTAAGCTACCAACTATGCACTGAGTATCCTTTCCTTTTTGTCTCATTTTAAAAAATTGCTCTTATTATTTAAGTTGCTCTGTCTGCTTCATTGGCTCTGTTTGGTTGAATCCTCTTCATATTCTGTTTCTCTTCCTGTCTCCCTTCAGGTGTTCTTTTAAATCTCTGTCTATTGTTTGAAGTTGAGGTGTAGGCATGCATTGTGAGTTTCAGTAGATCTGTGAGTGATGTTAGGAGAAGCATTCTCTGCCACATGTGTGGTTTGACTTAGCTGGCTTTCAGTCTACTATTACACCACCAGCAGAGGGCTGCCATTTTCCTGTACTCTTTAATTTGGAAGTAAGGCAGGTAGCCCACCTTCTTAGCTCCTTTTTGGATGTTTGGAGACCAGAGAAATCAGATGCACTTAAAGGGACTGATGTCAAGCTTCCCACTGAAAGGTCTACAGATATCAGTGAACTCAGTATTTCCCATAATGCTCTGGGTTCTGATTGACACATTTGGGCAGTCTGACCAAGTGCCTAGCCTCCCTGCTGACCAACCAAATAGGAATTCCATACCTCTCCCTCAGTCTGGTTGCATAGGCATCCCAGACCTCATTCACACCAAACCACTTGCTGACCCAGTATCTGGCCCAGAGAGGGACATTTGTTGGAGTTCAAAGTGGGGCAAAAACTAAACCATTTTTCTCTTTAAAGACAAATTTCCACCACAGCATCTCTTTCAAGTTCATTAGAAATAAGTTTCTTAAACAATCACAACTTAAATAACTTTAAAACAAGAAATGCATTAGCATCTTTATTACAAATGTAATTGGTTTTCTTTTATTTTTCTTCATGGAGATAGGGTCACTAGCTAAAATACACCACTGTAAAATCTGCAATTTAAATTTCATTTCATGCTGCATTGTAGAAATAGTTTACATAAATAGCATCCATTAATCATTTAAAACAAAGGTTAAATGTAAATTAGGATTCTGTTATTTATTTCTATGATTATTTATGGGTTTCTAGTAAAGTTTGGTTTTTCTGAGGGTGAAAGAATTAATGTTTTTGAAAGTAAAATATCTTTAAAGTTGATAACTTACAGAAATAAATTGACCAGGGAAGAATGCTATAACATCACAAACAGCATTTGAAGCTAAAGAGCATGCTAGCTTTCAATCACAATTTTAATTATGTGATGATTTTATTGTGAAATTTCTTTCTTTAGGATTTCTATCTGTTGATACTAAATAACTACATTGAACATAATTCTAGGAAAAATGATATCTTTCTGGTGGCTTCACTTTTTTGAAGAGGGTTAAAATATTGGTTTCATCATCAGTTTATTCAACAAAAGAAGATAGTAAAAAATATACATCAGTATATATTGGTGAAGACTAGTATTAAACTACACTGACAAAGAGAAAAAGTATCTGGATAAACGCTCTGTTTTAGTGGTTTGTATAAATCATTATTCATCCCTTTATTAGAAAATACCTGAGTAATTGATCAACTTTTTATTCATCATTCTAAACTATTGCTCTTGGATAATTACAGTTAAAGTATTTCTATTCTTCAATTCGTTTCTTATGGTTCACTCTTTTATCACAGCTTGTGACATGATACTAATATCAAGAATGACAGTCTGAACTTTAGGAAAGAAGTTAAAAAATTTGATATCATTTTACTAAAGTTCGGTGTGAAAGCATAAAATATGTTACCTAAATTAAAGATATGTAAAAGAAATTAGCATTTTGATGCGTAAGAACGCAGAAATATTTAAGGTCACAGTCATTTTAAAAAGTGAAGCAGCAAACAGAACAATCATGTTTATTTCAGCACTCACTAGCATCATATTTTATTGTGTTTCATTCTTTATGTAGGCTGTTAGGGGTATATTTAGCAGTGATATTTATGAAATGGTACCTTTTCTGAATACCTAAAATGAAAAATGTTATATTCTGATGAGCAAATATCATTGTGGTTAGGCGTCGCTACCTCTTATTTAGTTTTCTAGATATTTTTGAGCAACAAAGTCCTGAGAAATATTTGAAGTTACAATAGGAAGTGTTCTTTATTAATACAAGAGCATCTATAATGTTGAATAAAAAATTTTCAATATATTTATAATTATTTTAACAAATTATTATAATATCCATTCATAGAAAATTTAGTTTACTAGGATGTCAATTTTAAATATCTGAAGCAAAGTTCAAGTAATTTTTTCAATAAACTATTTTAATGGCTTTACATTCATATTATTTTAAGATTATGTTATCCAGGGTGTGTTATATGCAAATACAACAGTTTGTAGCTCATTGTCTCACTCAGAATCATACTTTAATTATGCTCTAAACATATTTTGTGTTTCTCTTTGCTAGTCGAAGAAAGCAATTACACTTTAACTGTTCCTTTTTGATTAAATAATAATCAGAATGTATTAACTTGTTTAAAAAGTTAGATTACTCAACCTAGTGTCATTTAGAGAGTGGAGATAAATGAGTCAGGTTCCAGAAATCATTTTCAGGGCTTAGATAACAGTAAAACTTCTTACAATGAAACCAATCAACAGAAGTTTCAGTTTGAAATCTAGGTCTCCATGACTACCTCTAAAGGCGGTATGACTCCAAAATGATCCTTTACAATTTAATCTTCAAAATGAGTAAGGTCTGTATTTTAATATCTCCTGTGAAAAAACAATATGTATAGCAAGCACACAAGGGGAAACTTTACAAATTAATTTATGTTTTAGAACAAATGTCACACAAAGTACATTTTTGATACTATCCTGAAAGGACAAACATCAGCCCTTGAACACCATATGTGGTCTGCATGATGGCTTCTTGGCACCAATCCATGATCTATTTCCAGCAGTCACCATTTCAAAAATTTATGAGGACCTGGAAAGCACAGAAGGGCTAAAGAAGCCACTTGAGTTCTGCTTATTAGCATACTCATTAAGCCTAATCAATAATTGATGAACCATTTGTGGAAAACATATGGATTAAATTATATCTTGGCTTATACCATTCTGAAAAGTCATAAGTATTTTGACCCACTGTTTGCTGTGTAAACGTGTTGTCAAAACTGATTCCATAATAGATAATTGAAAAAATTTGAGCTTTCATCTCCACAGGCCAAAGCTATAAATTATTATGCCATATTTTAACAAAATATTTTAAAAGAATATAATACAGAAGCTATTGGCATGTAAAATTATTAGGATATGATAGAAACTTTTGAAAAATTTTCAAATAATCCTTTAGTAGTGCTTGAGAGAGGGAAATAAAGGACACTCATGAGCAAGTTACAGTGAAGATTTAAAATGTTAGGCTACCCCCAATGTTAAAGATACTCTTATGACACTGATCTTGGGGTGGTTTTGAGCTAAAAAATTCACATATTTTGTGTGTGATTATAAGATTTTAGAATCAGAATATTTTTTTAAAAAATGTTGATTTTAGAATAGTATTCTATTTACAAAAACACTGCAAACACAGTACAGTTTCCACACACCCTACACTCAATTTCCCCTATTATTAACTTCTTAGATTAGTATAGGACATTTGCCATAATTAATGAGCTGATATTAATATATTATCATAAACTAAACTTCATACTTTATTGTGATTTTAATTCTACTTGTCTTCTTTCTTTTTCTAGGATTCCCTCCAGGATACCACATTATATTTAGATGTCATGCCTTATTAGGCACCTCTTGGCTGTGACAATTTCTCAGACTTTTCTCATTTTAGAAGACCTTGATAGTTTTGAGCAGCATTGCTATTTTATAGACTGATCTTCATTTTAGATTTTTCTCAAGATTAGACTGGGTTTGGGGAGGAAGACTATAGAACTAAAGTGCATTTCCAGTCCCATTATTCTCATCACACTGTATCAAGGGTACATACTATTCACATGACTTACTACTGTTGATATTAGCCTTGAGTACCTGATCAAAGTTTTGTATTTTATTGCATGTAGCTTCTGTACACATTATTAAGGAGTTATACCTAAGTGTTTTTCTTTGTTGGTGTTATTTTATTTGGTATTATTTTTTAAATTTTTAATTCCAATTGCTCATTGCTGATACACCAAAAAAACGACTCTTGGTAATTAATCCTCTGACCTTGCCTGACTAGTTTACAAATTTTAGGATTTTGTTGTTGTGGATTCTTTGAGATTTTCTACATGGACCATCATGTCAGCTATAAATGAAGACAGTTACATTTTTTCTTCTCCAACCAATATATCTTTAGTTTTATTTTCTTGTCTTATTATACCAGCTATGACTTTCAGTAGAATGTTGAATAGCAATGGGGAGAGAGGAATTCTTTGCTCTTAATATGATGATGCTAGCTGTAGAGTTTTTGCAAACATTACAATACCTTTCAAATTAAAATGTTGCAAAGCCTTTTCATCAAAATTCTGTTCCAGAAATTGTATCTAGTTTTCACATATTTCTCTAGCTTATTATTTGTTCACTGTCAGATTTTTTTTTTTTTTTTGAGACAGGGTCTTGCTCTGGCACCCAGTGAAGTGCATGGCACGATCACAGTTCACTGCAACCTGGAACTCCTGGGTTCAAGTGATATTCCTGCCTCAGCTTCCCAGGTAGTTGGGAGTACAGGTGTGCCATCATGACCAGCTAATTTATTTATTTAGGTAGAGATCAGGTCTCACTATGTTGCCCAGGCTGGTGTCCAACTCCTGGCATCAAGTGATCCTGCCTCAGCCTCCCAAAGTGCTGGAATTACAGGTGTGAGCCACTGTGCCTGGCTAGGAAAAATTTTCTAATTCTGTCTTGGAGAAACATAATTTAGCTTTAATTAGTAGTTGGTAGAGACACAGGTTTAAATTTAAACTCCACATAATTCTAAAAGACCAGGAAATAATTATAATAATAGAAGTGTGACTAGACCATTTTGTAAATATAAAATAAATTTTCATAAACATCCAAGGGAAAAAACTCAGAAAACTGACACAATAAATGAAATTACATAATATAGACCAAAAAAAGAATACTCAAGAAATATTTAGTGCCTGACATTTAGGTAGAGAAACTCAGACCATAGAAGACACCAAGACAGCAGATATTTGGTAATTTATATTTTCTTCTTATTCTATCTATGATAATAATTTTGAAACACCAGGCTTCAGATTATTTCAGATACTGTAGGTAAAGAACTAAAAATCAGATTTGACAAAAAAGACATGAAGAATATTTTTCTTTTTTTAAAATTATTATTATACTTTAAGTTTTAGGATACATGTGCACAACGTGCAGGTTTGTTACATATGTATACATGTGCCATATTGGTGTGCTGCACCCATTAACTCGTCATTTAGCATTAGGTATATCTCCTAATGCTATCCCTCCCCCGTCTCCCCACCCCACAACAGTCCCCAGTGTGTGATGTTCCCCTTCCTGTGTCCATGTGTTCTCATCAAAAAGCTTATCCACCATGATCAAGTGGGCTTCATCCCTGGGATGCAAGGCTGGTTCAACATACAAAAATCAATAAACGTAATCCAGCATATAAACAGAACCAAAGACAAAAACCACATGATTATCTCAATAGATGCAGAAAAGGCCTTTGACAAAATTCAACAACCCTTCATGCTAAAAACTCTCAATAAATTAGGTATTGATGGGATGTATCTCAAAATAATAAAAGCTATCTATGACAAATCCACAGCCAATATCATACTGAATGGGCAAAAACTGGAAGCATTCCCTTTGAAAACTGGCACAAGACAGGGATGCCCTCTCTCACCACTCCTATTCAACATAGTGTTGGAAGTTCTGGCCAGGGCAATCAGGCAGGAGAAGGAAATAAAGGGTATTCAATTAGGAAAAGAGGAAGTCAAATTATCTCTGTTTGCAGATGACATGACTGTATATCTTGAAAACCCCATTGTCTCAGCCCAAAATCTCCTTAAGCTGATAAGCAACTTCAGGAAAGTCTCACGATACAAAATCAATGTACAAAAATCACAAGCATTCCTATACACCAATAACAGACAAACAGAGAGCCAAATCATGAGTGTACTCCCATTCACAACTGCTTCAAAGAGAATAAAATACCTAGGAATCCAACTTACAAGGGATGTGAAGGACCTCTTCAAGGAGAATTACAAACCGCTGCTCAACGAAATAAAAGAAGACACAAACAAATGGAAGAACATTCCATGCTCATGGGTAGGAAGAATCAATATCGTGAAAATGGCCATACTGCCCAAGGTAATTTATAGATTCAATGCCATCCCCATCAAGCTACCAATGACTTTCTTCACAGAATTGGAAAAAACTAAAGTTCATATGGAACCAAAAAAGAGCCCGCATTGCCAAGACAATCCTAAGCCAAAAGAACAAAGCTGGAGGCATCATGCTACCTGACTTCAAACTATACTACAAGGCTACAGTAACCAAAACAGCATGGTACTGGTACCAAAACACAGATATAGACCAATGGAACAGAACAGAGCCCTCAGAAGTAATGCCGCATATCTACAACTATCAGATCTTTGACAAACCTGACAAAAATAAGCAATGGGGAAAGGATTCCCTATTTAATAAATGGTGCTGGGAAAACTGGCTAGCCATATGTAGAAAGCTGAAACTGGATCCCTTCCTTATACCTTATACAAAAATTAATTCAAGATGGATTAAAGACTTACATGTTAGACTTAAAACCATAAAAACCCTAGAAGAAAACCTAGGCAATACCATTTAGGACATAGGCATGGGCAAGGACCTCATGTCTAAAACACCAAAAGCAATGGCAACATAAGCCAAAATTGACAAATGGGATCTAATTAAACTAAAGAGCTTCTGCACAGCAAAAGAAACTACCATTAGAGTGAGCAGGCAACCTACAGAATGAGAGAAAATTTTTGCAACTTACTCATCTGACAAAGGGCTAATATCCAGAATCTACAATGAACTCAAACAAATTTACAAGAAAAAAACAACCCCATCAAAAAGTAGGCAAAGGATATGAACAGACACTTCTCAAAAGAAGACATTTATGCAGCCAAAAAACACAGGAAAAAATGCTCATCATCACTGGCCATCAGAGAAATGCAAATCAAAACCACAATGAGGTACCATCTCACACCAGTTACAATGGCGATCATTAAAAAGTCAGGAAACAACAGATGCTGGAGAGGATGTGGAGAAATAGGAACACTTTTACACTGTTGGTGGGACTGTAAACTAGTTCAACCATTGTGGAAGTCGGTGTGGCGATTCCTCAGGGATCTAGAACTAGAAATACCATTTGACCCAGCCATCCCATTACTGGATATATACCCAAAGGATTATAAATCATGCTGCTATAAAGACACATGCACACGTATGTTTACTGCAGCACTATTCACAATAGCAAAGACTTGGAACCAACCCAAATGTCCAACAATGATAGATTGGATTAAGAAAATGTGGCACATATACACCATGGAATACTATGCAGCCATAAAAAATGATGAGTTCCCCTCCTTTGTAGGGACATGGATGAAGCTGGAAACCATCATTCACAGCAAACTATCACAAGGACAAAAAGCCAAGCACTGCATGTTCTCACTCGTAGGTGGGAATTGAACCATGAAGAATATTTTTCTAACAAACAGAGATACTTTATACTGCCCTAGATTAAAAATATTCTCATAAAGCAGAGTTCCTTTTGTATGTTTACAGCAGTAACTCTTTATAAATACTTTTTGAAAATACTGTTCTCCATTAAATAAATTATGCTCGGGTTGACACTCTTAATGTTGAATCCTGCAGTATTTAAATGCAATAATTGTTGTTTAAGGATAGTAATCATAGACTCAATATCAAAAATTGAACTATTAAATAATTCTGCTGCTGAAGAGTAATTTTTAAAGAAAGTTAAAATCATGATTTCTATAAGGTATAAAATAAATATGACAATAATCAGATAACTCAGAACAAAGTGCTATAGGCAATATATAGTTTTCCATGAGACATAATTTTTTTCTCTACACTGTCATTTGTTGTTTAATGTATACAATTCCCATTGATAACTCACTCGTAATCTAGTTGTCTTCTTAAGCACTATTTAGTTATTAACTGGAAAAGCTGAATATTGACAATGTGTGAGTACCATCACATAGTTAGTAGTTGAAAGAAGAAAAATATAAACAATGTGTGCCATTATATAACAGTATAATGTAATGAAAACATTTACAATGTGCTAATGACTGTCCTGAGAAGAAATTCAAACTCTGTGAAAGTTGGGGAGGCTGAAGTTAGGGTATTGAATGATCAGCTAACTTTGAGAGATCAACAGAAAAGGGTAGAAATGAGATTTCTAGAAATAAGGACTAAAGCCATGAAATTGAGTTTATGACTGGATTACCTTGAGAGATTTTTGTATGATTGCAGAGAGGTAGGTGTAGAAAAGAGATCAGTAGGAGGATACTGGGAATATTAGTTAGGGAGCTGTTGGCAAATGACCTCACATATCAGGTTAAAAAGTTTCAACTATGTTTCCTGGCCTCCATGAGTTGTAGGATATTTTAGAGCAGAGATTGGCATGTCTTTACATAAGATAATTGAAGTGGAAATTATAATTACTGACAATGACCACCCTAAGTAGTAAACCACAAAATGACAAAAATACAAAACACCCAACCCATCAACTGAGAATACATTCATGCTAGAGGCTAAACAAGCCTAGAAAGACAGATTACTAGTTTGGTCGTCATTCAGTTTGGTCATCCAATAAGAAAAAAATGAATATGAATTTCCAGTAAGTAGAGAACAAAAGATTGAAACTGAAGTAATTAAGTGCTTGCTGTTTGCCCATTGACCAGATAGTCACTGGTCATAGAACTATCTGCATTCTTTATGCTGCGTCACTTATTTTTCTATTTTTAGCTAATGATGTTTCCTTTTTTTTTTTGGTAATGACAATTATAATTCTTTAAAATGCTTATTTAAATAATCTTTATAGTTAAAAGGAATGATAAAGTCAAGTTGATATTTTTAAAACGTTTATTCTTAATTCGCAGTAAAAATGTGCAGATGACAGATTAAAGAGCAGAAGGGAGAGACAATTGTTTCTCTTGCTTCAGAGAGAAAAAGGAGCATCTTCATATGTTAAATCAAGCAAATTTTCTTTTAAAGGGTCAACTTTTGTAATGCATCACCTCAAAAAGGAGAATTTAAGAAAACTTTAAAAACAGAATGTATTGCCACCATCATATTGTAATTCTATATATATCTGCTACCCAATTAATTACATATTCTAAGATCATATCATTAATTCTCATATATATCTTAGGTTTTTGGTATATAGATGCCTGATACACTAGGCCAGTGGTTGTGAACCTGCACACCTGAAGTTTAAGGACTATGGGCTGTGGTAGATTGCATTAATAACTCCATTTTTCCCCTCTGGAAACTGCATTCTCTGCCAATGGATTTTGTAGTTAATCTATTAAAGAGGCAGGGTCTATTTATCCACTTTTAAAATCCAAACTCAATCATGTAAATTGCTTGGTCAATTGAATATAATAGAAATATGGCTTGTCAATTCTGATCTTAGGTTTCAAGAGACATTGTTTCTGCATGTTTCTGCATTTTTACTTGGAATTCTGCCATCACCATGAGAAGGCACTGCCCTGCTAACCCTCTGCTTCCAGAAGAGGATGACAACTTCTGTTGAAGAAACAAGTTGAATCTGCTGACTCCAGGCAAGAGCAGCTACTCTATAATCTTGAGAAATGCATGCTAAATTACTTAACACCAAAGTTTTCTGATTGTTGAGCAGCATTATAGTGGTGGCATATAACTTACACATGGGTGTCTTTTTCTCAGAAGGCACTTGTGCATATATACATGAAATATTCATGTATTCTTGGGGAGCAAGTCTTATTTTTCAACTGTTAACTGAATATGAGAATAAAACTCCTAACCCCAGACCAAAACAAAGCAGACATTTCTAGGTTACTTGTGGTTTATTTCTATATAAAATATTTTTCAAAACCCAGTCTCCCTGGGATATTTGAAACATACCATGCCCTTTGGCAATTTTTTTTCCTGTAGACCAGTTTTTCTAATCATCTGTGTTCCAATGTTTTCACCACATTTTGAACGCTGACATTTGTTGAGGCTGTGTAATGATTCTTCACTTAGAAAGTCTTGGTATTTTTTTTTTTTTTTTAGATAAAACGTGCTACAAACACTTTCAACTCTTTTTATAGTCACAATAAGTAGTTATGTACTCATTTGTGTTCAGGCTAACTTCCATCTTCTATTCTAAGCAATATCGTTTATTCTAGTTACTACTTTTCTACTTACCTTAACCAATTTTTTTTAGCTTGCAAAACATTTTAAAAATAGCATACATAATGTTTATTCTAAAAATCAACTTTAATTCATAGCTCCAATAATTACTTCTAAATTATACTATTTCACATACTTACCTTTTACTGGACAAGGTAGAGTTACGGCTACTGGAGGTGACTTAGATATACTTCCTGATTTTACAATCTCCTAGAAATACAAGATGAAAACATATAGTACACAATACAGATATATTTATACCCATTTAAAAATGTAAGGTGCAGACTACATGCTGATTCAAAAAAAGCATAGGTATGTTGGGGTAACCAAAGAAAACCCTAGTAAAAATCTAGTTCAAAGTAAGTTACTAGACCCTTTCAAACATTATAGCATTACTTATTGGATGTTCCTCAGAGTTTGGGAAAAATACACATCTGTTCCCACAAATTTGGTTGTTTTGTGAATCCACTGAAGATTACTCTGGATATTCTTTTTTCTTTTTTTGAGACAGAGTTTCATTCTTGTCACCCAGGCTGGAGTGCAATGGTGCGATCTCAGCTCACTGCAACCTCCGTCTCCCGGGTTCAAGCGAGTCTCTTGCCTCAGCCTCCCAAGTAGCTAGGACTACATGACAGTGCCACTACGCCCGGCTAATTTTGTATTTTTAGTAGAGACAGGGTTTCACCATGTTGGCCAGGCTGATCTCGAACGCTTGACCTCAGGTGATCCACCTACCTCAGCCTCCCAAAGTGGTGGGATTACAGGCATGAGCCATCACGCCCGGCAGATATTCATTTTAAGTTTAGTTTGAATCTAGAACGTCTTATATAATTTTGAAGCTTCCTTTCAAACCAGTATTTGGTAGAATCCCAAAGGGACTTGACATCCATTTGAATTTTACTGAAAACACTCCAGGGAGATTTTCTTTTTCTTTTTTTTTTTTGAGACAGAGTCTCTCTCTGTCGCCCAGGCTGGATCGCAGTGGCGCGATCTCAGCTCACTGCAGGCTCCGCCTCCCAGGTTCACACCATTCTCCCGTCTCAGCCTCCCGAGTAGCTGGGGCTACAGGCGCCTGCCACCACGCCCGGCTAATTTTTTGTATTTTTTTTTTAATAGAGACGGGGTTTCACCATGTTAGCCAGGATGATCTCAATCTCCTGACCTCGTGATCTGCCCATCTCGGCCTCCCGAAGTGCTGGGATTACAGGCGTGAGCCACCTCGCCCGGCATCCAGGGAGATTTTCAAAGTCAGTCAAAATTCTCAGAGAAGAGCAATGATACAGTTCATTTACATAAGCAGAACTCAAAATGACTAAGAATTTTTTAAGTATTACATGAAGTAGAAGATAAACTTTATCTTATAAGCTATTGGAACTATAACTTTGTTTTATTTATTCATTGAACAAATATTTATGGTGCACTATTTTTTCTAGGTATTATCCTAGGTGTTTTCAGTTTTAGTGCATTTTTAATTTTAGTGCGTTGACCACATAGTTCAAATTCTAAGATTTAGCATGAAGTAATCAGAGAAACCATGAGAAATGTAAACACGAGGATGTTCCTTGCAACTTTGTTTATAACAAGAAAATCTGGAAACAACTTTAAAGAAATAGAGGACAGGTTAAATACGTTATAGCATACTGATTTGATGATACATTATGCAGCAATTGATATTGTGTTATATGAAACTTGAATGTTGAGAGGAAACGTTCATAATACATTGAGTGGGAAAAGTTAAATATATAATGATATATACATATATATATGACTCCTCTTATTTTATAATTTCTCATTTTTTGATGTATCATATTGCCTGAACTGAGATTACAAGAGACATTTTGAAATACAAAAGTTTCTGTCTTCTCAGTGGCAGGGGCTTGAATTATTCTTTGCATTAGTTTTCTTCTGCCTGAGGAAATTTCTTAAATGAACCCTTAAATTGTTCACATATAAGGCAAATACATACTCCCTATTTAGAAGGAAAAACCTGGAAGAAACCTGTAACTTGGATGCAAATATTGTTCTCAAATAATGTCCCAAATATTCTGTGGGGTATGCATTTTATTATGGTTCTTGTTTTAAATGAGAGAGTTCTCTCTGCAGAAATAGTGTCTTATAGAATTTTTCTTGTTCTAAATATGGAATTTGATGGTTCTGTGCTATGCACTTCAACTCACTTTTGTGAAGCTGTGTTCTTTTTTCAGTAGTTAATTGCGGGAGGTGCAGAGCAGAGGCACAAGTTGCTGAAGAAGGATGTATGGATCTCACTTTCATCTGACCCTGCAGGGGGTAAAGTGGAGGGGAAAATAGTGATCCAGGCAAAGCTCAGTCTGTACTGGGTTGTTATGGATGACTGTATCCATAATTTATTGCTACATTGCAAATCACTCTAAAACTCTGTGGCTTCAAACAATGCTAGTTTATTATGATTCACAAGTCTGCAGATGAGCTGGAGTTTGACTGATCTAGGCTGGGCTCTGCTAAATGTTTCTAATTCAAGAGGAAGTTGGGACAGCACCACTTCTCACAGCAGAACTGTAGATCATATGTCTTTTTCTCACTGTCCTTGAATATGTGAGCTAGGTGGAGCAGGTTTTTCCCGGCAATGACAGAGGTTCAAGAAGCACAAGTATCACATACAAACTTTTTAAGTTTAGTCTTTGAACCGGCATAGTCACCTTTTCCTTTCCAACATTGGCCACACAAGTTAGAAGGGATGCATAACGTTAAGGTGTGTGGGCATCCCCTGTACCTACAGTGAAGCCAACAATGCAACCTTTCACAATGTTGTGTAAGCATGAAATACCTTGACTACGGGAAATGCGCCAACATCGGGATAGTGTTTTCTGCTGTGACCCACTGAAGTCAGTGCAGGAAACTACACCCCTGAGTGTTGGTTCTTCTCTAGAGTATATAAACATCACCCACTGTTAATCATTCTTTAAAAAATCACAAATTCTGTGGTTCGGTTGTGGCATTCTTCTCCATGGGTCTTGTTCATGTTAAGCCTTTGTGATCAATCATATTCCATGGTTTTAGAGGTCTGTTCTCAAAAATGATATCAAATTGTACAACAAAGCAGCCATGTCCTAAGTTTTATGTACTAATTTAGGTTTCTTTGAAAAGTGTGGCCTTTACCTATAGTCTCTAATTTTTAATAGGATTTCCTTCGATCTTTCTTATCTAGAATAGCTAGCTCAGGGTTTAATCCTCATTCTTAAAAGCATGAATAGGCAGAAGATTATCGTGGTCATCATAAACTAAATACATTTGGTTCATTTACTTTTGTTATTTTTATATATTTAGGGGGTACAAATGCAGGTTTCCTACATGCTTATATTGGATAGTGGTAGAGCCTGGGCTTTTAGTGTACCCATCACTTAAAGAGAGTACATTGTATCCAGTAGGTAATTTTTCAACCCTCACCCCCATTCCGACTTCCCACTTTATGTAGTCTCCAATGTAGGAATAATAGCCATTTGTATCATTTAAATTAAAATTTTGTAACACTCAGCCTCTTAAAAGGCAGTTTATTTGGAGATATATTGGTAAATTAAACAAAATGATGTGGCATTTCCTTCACCATACCTCAGTTCAAGAGTAAGATAATTCTTACATGATGCCACATAGGGCTTGTGAGTCTATCACTGAAAGAAACAGTAGAGGCAGAAGTGAGCACTCTTATCCAGACTGATTCTTCATGCATAGTTATTGCTAAATCCCAACTTCTATATTGGAAAAGCATCCAGACCAGGGTTAGGAGTCACTTGATATCTCTCAGTTGTGCAGCAGCATTCATTACAATAGCTAGGCCCACTGATTCATCAGGATCTGTTTTACCTGGGACACTTAACTCCTGCTTCAACACTGGTACTGAAAAGAAGTAAAGCTAAATATATTTAGGGAATGTATCAATGCTTTATGGTAGTGACTGAGGATAATATTCTTTAGACAATTCCTCTGCCATTATCCACTTGATGATGACTCTTATTAGTATGTCTTTATTCTTTCTCCAAGAAGAACTTTAGAACATCTTTAATGCACATAATTAAATCAGCACAAAATTTTATAAGTTAATTTTTACCATGTCTTATATATATCCATCTTACATCAAACTTGCAAATATTTCTCTTATTTTTACATAAGATAATTATTTTCATACACTGTCCTGATATAGAACATTATAGACCACTGAGATTATTGTATCTGGTTAATGTTTCACCAACACTTCTTGTCACATATTCCAGAATGTAAAAAGATATGAGAATTACATAACAATCCCAGGATGTAAAAGACACCATTACATGGCATAGATCACATGAAGAGAAAAACATATCCAAAAAATGATGATTTTATTTTATGATATGCTATTAGGAAAGATAGAGGGGGGCATCCAAAGAGGCTAGGGTTGGAGAATCTGAAGTCCCACTGTGCAATAGATGGGACTTTAAAGTATTAAGATTTAGTTAGAGATATTAATATTACCTAATTTATACTTATATGTTTGTAAGTCCAATTATTTATAATAGGAATTAAGCACTCAAAGATGTCTTCAGTGATTATTTAAAATAACAGTAATAATAAACAATACTGTCCCTGTTAAAAATATAAATAGGAGCAGGTGTCCTTGAATTTCTGTGGTGAAAGGTAGAATCATTGAAGTGCTCCCTTCATGTTTTCTATGCCATCCCATAGTTCAAGGATATAAATCAAGAGTTCCCAGATCATGGAATTGGTTGTTGGGTATGAAGGTGGATGAGAACCACAATAGGATTCCTGGCCAATTGCCTTGATGATTTAGGCTTTGGTATCACATTGAATGTCACTAAATGGACATAGAAATTCTCACCTACCCATACCAATTTCAACTTATCAAAAAGATCATAAATTTAGGAAATAATATATGTAAATGGACCTTGAAGATCATTTTTTCTTTCCATTTGTCCTAATCTGGTCTGCTATAACAAAATGCTGTAGATTGGGTAGCTTGTAAACAACAGAAATTTATATCTCACAGTTCTGGAGGCTGAAAAATCCAAGATCAAGGAATATTTGATTTCTGGTGAGAGCCTATTTGTTGGTTCATGGATGGTGCCTTCCAGCTATGTCTATAAATGATAGATAGAAGGAACAAATAAGCTCCCTTGGACCTGTAAGAGTGTTAATCTGATTCATGAGGGGTCCTCCCTCATGATCTCCTATGATCATGATGGGACCTCCCAAAGGTCCCAACTCTACATACCATCACCTTGGAGGTTGGACTTTCAACAGGGAACACAACAAACATTCAAATCACAGTGCCATTTTTCTGTTTCTGTGCTGTGATGAGTACAGGTATAAATTGCAAATTATTCTAGAAAATTAGATCATTGATGTTTTATCAAGTGTAACAGAGAAAAGATAGAGATTAAAATAAGATTAAATATTACTAAACAAATAATAATGTCCTGCATTTTCTTTTTTGTTCCCAGCGACCAATCCACTCAATCCACCCTTACAAACTTCAAGAACAAGAAGTTCTGTAACATTTTCCAGCTTCAACTGAAGCTCATATTATAGTTTGTGAATGGTCTTTTGCTGCTTATTACAATACTGCAAATGGCTTTGAAAAGAAAACACAGATTTCAAATGCAGAATGAAATTTTCATGCATGAGACAAAATATCAAAGAATATTATTTAATATGATCTGGCTGTTATTCTGAAATTTCATTTGCACTGAATTATTAGCGTGAAGGAATGAAATGTTTTTGAAAAATGATTTAATAATCCCAAGAGTTATTGGTTCATATCTGAAAAAGAATAGTTGGTTTCTTGATGATTAATTAGAATGTGATGAATAGTGTCAGATAAAGGAGTAATACTAGGCACATATTAATGATAATAGAACTTAGGTATCTGTTCCACATTACAAAAACCAGTGACATCTTAACAAAAAAAAATAATGTAAATGCATGCTATAAATCTTGTTTATGATACATTTATATGTGAGGATTTGCCTTGTGTATAGGTATTAAAATATTTTTAAAAGTTACTTAGGGTAGGCTCATTTGCCATTATTTTTGGCAAAAATTTTTTGTTCATTCGGTTTTTTCTTCCACTATTCATGTACTTTTGCCTAATGCCTTAAATTATAAATAGAAACCCAAGCACATGCACTGGAAGTTTCAACAACTGGACTGAAATAACTCTTAAATATCAAATGTTGAGGAAAAGAAACTTCTAAATAATTTTTAGAACACCAAAGTCTGTAAAAAAAAAAAAGGCCATTAAGAGGTTCTTAGATGTATTCTTATATATGAAGAATAGTATTTTCTTTTTTTAAAATTTTACTTTAAGTTCCAGGATACATGTGCAGAATGTGCAGGTTTGTTACATAGGTATACATGTGCCATGGTGGTTTGCTGCACCTATGAACCCATCATCCAGGTTTTAGGTCCTGTATGCATTAGGTATTTGTCCTAACATTCTCCTTCCCCTTGCTCCCCAACCCCCAACAGGCTCTGGTGTGTGTTGTTCTGATGAAGCTGGAAACCATCATCCTCAGCAAACTAACACAGGAACAGAAAACCAAACACTGCATGTTCTCACTCATAAGTGGAAGTTGAACAATAAGAACACATGGACACAGGGAGGGGAACAAGAATAATATTTTCTAATTACAAATTGGATGCTTGCCAGGGATATATTGTAATACATTTTTTCCCTCAAAGACAAATGGTATATAATTTGAGATTGGCTCAAATCATTTTTAAATATAATGTTAATTATATTATTGTAATATTGATTATAGCTAGTCATTTTCTAGAAAATATAAATTCTATAAAATACCAATTCTACAAAAATGAAGCTCAAATTTATTGTCAAAATGTCTGATTAAAAGGATAATATTTATAATTACTCTGAAACTCATCATTAGGAGATAATCAGAGTTTCTATTATTCAATTTACTTGATACATTTTTGTTGCATTCCAAAAGTTCATTTGGAATTTAATAATTAATTCATTCAGCAAATATTTACTGGTTGAACACTGTGTCCCAAACACTGTGCTAAGAGCTGGGATAAATCACTGAACAGTACAGACATTGTTCATAACCTCATTGTGCTGACAGTGTATTTGGAGAAACGTATATAGAAAAATGTAACAATTAAAAGTAAAGCACTTTGGGACGCCAAGGCAGATGGGTCATTTGAGGTCAGGAGTTCAAGACCAGCCTGACCAACATGGTGAAACCTGTCTCTACTAAAAATACAAAATAATTAGCCAGGCATGGTGGTGCATGCCTGTAATCCCGGCTACCTGGGAGGCTGAGTGAGGCAGGAGAATCTCTCGAACCCAGGAGGCGGAGGTTGCAGTGAGCTGAGATCGTGCCAGAGTGAGACAACTCCATCTCAAAAATAAATAAACAAATAAATAAATGTAAACAGTGTGGCGAAAGAAAATACATACTACTTTGGAAGTGGGTATAGGAAAAACAAATGGCTTATAAAGTAAAACAAAAATAAAAAATGCCACACACACACAAGCAAAAACAAGATGCTTAAGCTATGACTCGAAAAATGAATGTAACTCAGATCATAAAGAGAGGTTGGGGGAAGAGTCAGGATGAAGTGTTGGGGAGGGCAGAGTCTGGGAAGTGTGAGATCATTCTAGGAACTAACAAAAACTTCTAATAGGGGAGATTCAGGGTTCATCTCAGGGACTGGATGGAGGAACATACGACTGAAAGATAAAAACTGAAGCAGAATATGTCATGTGATGTTTAGGTGAGAGTGTAGGTCAGGACTTTATAGACCATATTTTGAAATGTTGTCCTTATGAGCAATGGGCATCTACCAAAATTATTTTAAGAAGGAAGTGAGCTGATAGATTTGAATGTCTGAATGATCTCTCAGAGATTGAATTAGAGTGTGGCTGCGGTAGTTGTTGCAAAAGGACGGCCATTGCAGTCATCAAAGTAAGAGATAATGGCTTCAAGTGAAATGGCAGTGGTAGAATGCAAAAAATAAAAAATGTTTGCAAAATAGTCAAGGTGCAGAAGTTATGTCAGTTAATGAATGTTTATGTGTAGGGGTTAAATGAAAAAAATGTGTCAAAAATAATCTCCAGGTATCTGATTTGAAGAGCCCAATGGATGGTGGTGCAGTAAAACGTAACAGAAGAACCACATTTGAATTTGGGAAAAATGGTTTCAGTTACAGACATATCGCATGTGAGTTATTTGCAAATTATCCAGGTAAAAATCAAGTCAACAGTTGTATATACAGGAGATAAGAACATAATTCAAACACTGTGTTATCACAGTACATTCAGTCATTCAACAATGATAGCAAAATTAGGAGCCTATTATCCTAGGCACTATTTTTCCATTTGGCATTTAGAAGTGAAGTATCTGTCCAACACATCAAAATTTTGGGGGTTTTATTAGGAGACAGGAGGGATAGGCAGTCAGCAAAAAATAAAAATAAGTATATTCATATGATCCAACCTGAACTGAATTTAATGTTTAAATTATGAAAAAATTGTGATTAGCTATTAAAATGAGATTTTCTTTAAAAATATTACCACAGACCACATGAAAGTACACCAACAGAAACATATGCATACTGTTTATCAGTATTATTTTCAAAATATTAGTAGCTATAATTTGGTCTGTTCTACAGAAAGCACAATGAGAACAGCTTTCTGCTAACTGTACCACCAGGAAAACTGCAAATAAACTTAATGGAAAATTTGAGTTACAGTAAATTTTATACACTGTGAGTCTACTTTGAGGGCTGGTGTGGATAAATGGGTGGCAGAATGCTGAGATTAAAAACTCGTGTCTGTTACTCCCTTGTCTTTAAACTTCAGAATGTTAACCTTAAGTATCCAGATGAATGAGAAGTATAGGAAATATAAGTTAAAGAAATTTGAGAAGGATGGAACTATTATAAATGTAGTATATATTCTTTCAGGACATTCCCAATATATGCGATTAATGACAAAGTAGGCACATCACAAAATAATTGATTATATGAAATACATCAGAATATTTTTCAAATTTTACTGGTGTATAGTTTAAGCCATTATGATTTGCAGTTTAGCATTTTAAGTCCCATTAATTGTAGAATAAAGTCATGCTTCATTTTTGACAATTAAATACAATTTTACTAGAAGGGAGAAAGAACTCCGAATTGGACTCAAAGGAGAAATCTTCTTTAAAGGTCACCCTTATTAAATGGCATGACAATTTGATTATGCCAATCATGTTTAATACCCCAGACTATTCTCAACAAAGTGGCTGGAGTGACACTTTAAAAAATTAAAGTAAGATCATGTTATTCCTCTACTCAACATCCTACCAAGTTTCTACATGTCCCTCTGAATAAAAGCCAAAGGCAGTACAATAACATATCAGACCTTATAGGATTAATTTGCCCATTGCCCACCTGTCTAACATATCCTATCACTATTCCCCTTGGCCACTGTACATAGCAGCCACACTGGTCTCCTTGCTCTCTCAAGAATACCAAGCTTGTCCGTCTAGGAGCCTCTTGTACTTACTATTTTTACCTCCTGGAAATGCTGTTTCTCCACAGGGTGATATCAACAGGATGAGCTTCACCTTATCAAGTCTCTGACCAAATTGTATCTTCTCAATGAAACTTTTCTTGACCACCTCATTTAAAATGAAAGTCATTACCTAATGGCACTACTTATCTCCCTTTTCTTCTTTATTTTATTACTTTTTGCAGTAGCATTTAACAATCTTTAAAATAGCATAAAATTTATGTGCATATTATTGATTTTTTTGCCCTCCTCACTCCATAAAGAAAGCCAGCTACAAGATCCTATTGATATTTCTCTCTTTTACTTACTTCAGCCTCCCGAATAGCACCTCACAGATAGAAAGTGCTCATTAAAATTTGATGAATGAATGGATGCTTGTTATATACTATCCTTACAGAAGCATATTAAAATCTTTTTGTGAGTAAACATTCAGAAGAAAACTGGTATACTTCAGGTTTCTACTAGGGATGTAAATCTAAGGAAAAACAAGTCCCTCAGAAAAGAGACAGATAGCACGCAGGCACTTTCTTAACTGAGACCAATCCAGTTGGATATACCTAAAAAAAGAATTCAGCTAAAATTGTTAAAAATTCATAAAGGCTGAGTGTGGGCTACCGAGAACCAAATCTGACAGCACATTCATTTTGGACCTCCCAACTTCCAGAACTGTCAGAAATAAATGTCTGTTGTTTAAGCCACCCAACTATGGTATTCTGCTATAGCAGCTTGAGCTAAGATGCCATTTAAATACAAAGACATGGATAGGTTAAAATGAAAGGATAGGAAAAAGAATACTACGCAAACACTATTCAAAAGTAAGTTGGAGTAGCTGTCCTTCTATAAGACAAAGTAGACTTCAGAATGAGAATATCACCAAAGAAAAGGGAGGGTTTAGATAATAATAATGAATCCATTTTCCAAGAAGTCATAGTAATTATAAATGTATATTCATGAACATCAGAACTTCAAAACATCGAAGCTAATATTTATGAATTATTATATGCAAATTATGTATGAAACTAAGAATTCATATTTTCAGTTAGAGGACTATAAGGGAAAATAAATAAATTCCTATTTCCAGTTAGAGACTTCACCACTTCCCTCTCAGCAAATGGTTTCTCACAAGTAAACAGATATTAGTAAGGATTTAGAAGATCTGAACAATACCATTAACCGATGCGACTTAGTTGGCATTTAGAGAACCCTTCACTCAAAAATAGCAGGAATATAATGTACCAGTGCACATGGAGCTTTCACCAAGATATGCCATATTCTGAGCACTACACATTTTTAACACATTTTAACACATTTAAAAGTTTATCATATGAAATATGTTTTATGGACCATGACAAAATTAAACCAAAAATTATTAACAGAAAGATATCTGGAAGGACTCAAATATTAAGTCAAAGAAGTCAGTTGAAAGAGAAGGCCCAAAGAAAATTAAAACCATTGACTGAATGGAATTTTAAATATATCAGAATTGGACAGATAGAGTTAAACAGTAGTAAGTAGGACATTTATATAATTAATTGATTATATTAGAAATAAAGATATTTAATAAGAAGCCTGATCTTCTCCTTTAGAAAACTGGAAAAATCAGAGCAAATTGAACCCATATCAATCAGAAACATGGAAATAAGAGCAATTTAATTCTTCTGAACGTGAATGTCTGCTTTCCCAACTTGACTTATTGAAGACTGTCATTTCCCCAGTGTGTATTCTTGGAACTCTTGTCAAAGATCAGTTGATTGTTTATTCTTTGGTTTATTTTGGCTCTTTATTCTGATCCACTGGTCTATACGCCTATCTTTAGTAACATACAGATTTGATTGCTGTAGTTTTGTAATATAGTTAGAAGTCAGGAAGTATGTGATAACTTCCACTTTGTTCTGCCTCAAAATTGCAGTGGCTCACACCTGTAATCCCAACACTTTGGGAGGCTGAGGTGAGCAGATCGCTTGAGGTCAGGAGTTCGTGACCAGCCTGGCCAACATGGTGAAACACCGTCTCTACTAAAAATACAAAAATTAGCCAGGTGTGGTAGTGTGAGCCTGTAATCCAGGCTACTCGGGAGGCTGAGGGAAGCTGAGGCAGAAGAATCGCTTGAACCAGGTGGTGGAGGTTGCAGTGAGCCGAGATTGCGCCACTGCACTCCAGCCTGGGCGACAGAGCAAGACTCCATCTCAAATAAATAAATTAATAAATGAATAAATAAATAAATAAAATTGCTTTGGCTGCTCCTGGCCTTTTTTTGTTCCATATGAATTTTAGAATTTTTTTCTATTTCTTGGCAGGACACCACTAATTTTTGATAGGAATTCAACTGAACTTGTACATCTCTTTGTGTAGTGTGGACATTTTAACAATATTTTTCCAATGTATAAACATGAGATGTCTTTCCACTTATTTCTGTCTTTTTAAATTTTTTTTATCAGTGTCTTACAGATTTCAGTGTACATGTCTTTTACCTCAATTGTTTATTTTTAAGTATTTAATTATTATCGATGCTATTGTAAACATAATTGTTTTCTTAAACATTTTTTGAATAGTTCACTGTTGTTGTATAGAAATGCAACTGATTTTTGTATGTTGATTTTATATCCAGTTAATTTACTGAGTTCATTTATTAGTTCTAATGGTGTTTTATGGTGGTGGGGGGGGTGAGGTCTCTAGGGTTTCCTGCATGTAAGATTATGTCCTCTACAAGCAGAGATAATTTAATTTGTACTTCTAATTTGGATACATTTTATTGCCCAATTTATCTAGCTAGAACTTCCAATATTATACTGAATAGAAGTGGCAAGCATCAACATTCTTGCCTTGTTCCAAATCTTACAGGAAAAGCTTTCAGTTTTTCACCATTGAGTATGGTGTTAGCTATTGGCTTATCATATATGTCTTATATTGCATTGAAGTAAATTTCTTCTACACTCAATCTGTTGGAGACTTTTTACCATGAAAGGGAATTAAATTTTATCAAATGTTTTACCTGTAACTATGAAGATGATCATGTGATTTTTATCCTTCATTCTGCCAATGTGGTGTATGACTTGGACTGAACTTACATATGTTGAAGCACTATTGCATCCACAGAATAAATCCCACTTGGTCATGGTGTATGCTCCTTTTGATGGCTGTTAAATTTAATTTGCTCATATTTTGTGGAGGAATTATATATCCATCTTAATTAGTAATACTGACCTGGAGTTTTCTGTTCTTTGCCTTAGTATCTTTGCCTGGCTTTGGTATTCTGGTGATGTTGGTGTCATATGAAAAAGTTTGAAAATGTTCCCTCATCTCTTATTTGTTGGAAGGGCTTAAGAAGGATTGGTATTCATTATTCTTTAAATGTTTGGTAGAATTCACCTGTGATGTCATCTCGTCCTAGGCTTTTCTTTGTTGGGGGCTTTTCATTACTGATTCAATCACCTTAGTTTCTATTTGTTTTTGATTCTTCCTTGGTATAATGTATATTTTTAGTAATTTATTCAGTTCCATTTAGAGCCTTATCTTACACCATATACAAAACTTAATTCAAAATGGATTAAAAATTTAAACACAAGACGTGAGGCCATAAAGCTGAAAATACAGAAAAAAATTCTTGACATTGTTGTTGCCAATGATTTTTTGGATATAACACCAAAAGCACAGGCAACTAAAAGGAAATTAGATAAGTAACAAGTAAGACTGCATCAAACTAATAGGCTTCTGCACAGCAAAACAAACAAACAAAAACAATAAAATGAAAAAGCAACCTACAGAACAGAAGAAAATATTTGCAAACTATATATCTGATAAAGGACTAATTTCTGAAATACATAAGGAATTTCTACAAAACAATAACAAAAAACAAATGAACCAATTAAGAAATTAAGAACTGGGCAACATAACTGAATAGGTATTTTTCCAAAGAAGACATACAAGTGGCTGACAGATATATGAATATGCACTCAACATCACTAAACATCAGGGAACTACAAATAAAAAACACAATAAAATATTACCTCATTCTAGTTAGGATGGCTATTACTAAAATAAAAACAATATAACAATTGTTGAGGAGGATGTGGAGAAAGGGGAACACTTGTATACTGCTGGCAAGAATGCAAAATGGCATGGCTGCTTTTGGAAAAAAGCATGAAGTTTCCTCAAAAAGTGAAAAGTAGAATTACTATATGATGCAGCAATCCTGCTTAGGGGTATTTCTCCAAATGAACTGAAATCAAGATCTCAACCAGCTATCTGCAGTCCCATGTTTATTGCAGCATTAGTTGCAGTTGCCAAGACATGGAGGCAACACAAAAGTCCATTGATGGATGGATTTAAATTTTTTTACAGAAACATACAATGGAATATTATTAAGCATTAAAAAAAGAATGAAATACTGCCATTTGAGACCAAATGGATGAGACTGAAAGACATTATGCTAAGTGAAATAAGCCAGACACTGAAGGACAAATATTACATGATACCACTATATGAGGAATCTGAAATAATCAATTTCATAGAAATAGAGAGTAGAATGGTAGTTGCCAGGGACTGGGAGAAGGAGGAACAGGGAGGCATTTGTCAAAGGTTACAAAGTTTTAGTTATGCTGGATGAATAAGTCCTGGAGATCTACTGTACAGCAGAGTAACTATCTTTAACAATACTGTATTGTAGACCTAAAAATGTGCTCGTAGGGTAGACCTTATGTTAAGTGTTCTTATTACCAAAAAAAAAAAGAAGGTGAGAAGAAACTTTGGAAATGATGGGTATGTTTATGGTATAAATTGTAATGATAGGTTCATGGATATATGCTTATCTCCAAACTCATGTTATATACATTAAATATGTACAGATTTTTAAAATGTCAATTATACCTCAATAAAGTGGTTTTTAAAAGATAAGGTCTTCCAAGCTTGAAAGACAAAAAAATAAAAAAATAAATTTAAGTGCAGAGATTGGTGAAATTAAAAATTGTAAACCAATAGAGAAAGTCAATGAAATCTAAAGCTGATTCTTTGAAAAGAGCCATATAACTAACAGACAACTACCAGATTGACCAGCCAATGAGAGAGGGAAAGAATTAGTGAATATACAAATTGCCAATACCAGGATGAAAGAAAGAACATCACTAAAAACACAGAGTCATTTACAAACTAATAAAGCAATATTATAATCCACCCTCTGCTCATAAATTCAACAATTTAAATGAAATTACTCAAAAGGTAGAAACTCCCTACTCGTACTCAAAAACAAATAGGTAACATAAATAGTCAAGCATGTATTACAGAAATCAAAATTATGGTTAAGCATCCTCCAACAAAGGAAAGTCCAAGTCCAGATTGTTCCACAATACCTAGCAGTAAAGGCAGTCCTAGGACTTATGAGAATATTCCCTCCCTTTCAGACTGAACTTACAGAAACTGATCTGACACCTCAGTTAAAGCATAGAGGAGATTAATTGTTGGAAATTGAATGCTTCAGTGAATGAGTGCACAGCCTTATGGAACATCAGGTAAATTTACAGAACATAATTATATCTAAAAAACAGGCTAGAGACTGGGGTTTGAGCAATCTTCATAGATGTCTAATATCTTGAGAAATTATAACCATTCTTGGGATTGGAAAAAAATATTGTAGATTTACTTAACCTTCTTTAGGATCATTAATTCACTCATTGAAAAGAGTATTCCTTAAAAATTGGAACTGATACTGAGGGAGCAAGGTAACTAATACCAGTTAGATTACTGGAAGCATTAACTGACGTTATGTGTGGGAAAAAAAGAATCAGGGAGACAAGAATTTTGATTGTCTTATTTTTAACATACAACTAGAATCCTTCAGGGACTATGCAGGGCATGGAGAAGAAGTGACAGCAACTAAGAGAAAATCCACAAATTCCTTCATGTCTGTGGCAGAATGTGTGGCAACATTTGAAAGAGAATTTTGTAATCTGGGTAAATGTATATGAATATGTCAAATTTTTGACCACATATAAGGAGAAAAGCTGTCTTTGAGTTGGCAGTGTATCCATATAATTACTTTGAGCAGTATTTGATTAAGACAAATTAAATCAAGATTTTTATAAATAACACCATGTTGAAATTAAGCAGAAGTAAATAACATAAAACCAAAGCATCCGACAAAATTAAGGTACTTAATTTGAAGGTCACCAATATCAAGCCTCTGATAATATGTAGTTTACATACCAGTAATGTAAACACATCTTCTGGTCATTTTGTCATATAACGACTATGCTTCACTGGGCTGTTTTGACCTATTTCCACCAGCCACTCTCTTTAATTTAGTGCTTGTTTCCGTTGGCTGTCTGCAAGATATTTTCTAAGTGACTCAGCCCTTTCTCATTTGTCACTTCATTTTTTGACATATGACATTTCTTGACAATTCTGCTTGTATCAGGTTATTTTTCTATCAAATGGAAAATGCCAATACAGGGTTGTATTTAATAAAAGAAAGAGAAACAAGTTTAAACAGCTAAAAAAATGAGAATTTCAGAGGACTATCAACAATTACATAGGTGAGGAATTGGTGTTTACATTACTCCACATTCCTTTCACAGGTATTTATTTAAGGATTTGCCTGATAGAAGGTTATTTTTAAATTGTGTTTCTCAATTTCATATTTGATGGAATTTATGAATTACATAGAAGTTTTGATATTTAGCTATTACTCTAACATTAGAAACATTTATTAGCAGTATTTAACATTTTAAATTGTAATGAACTTGTTTTACTACCACTTTTCATTTGGCTCTACAGTTTTTTTCCATTTTTAATCTGCTGTTGTTTTCTGAAACTAATGCACATTCACTTACTGATTTTGAGAGATGCTAATAAAAATAAATGCATGTGGAAGAGTTAATTGCTAATTATAGTTATATGTAAATTAGATCCTATATTGATCCCATTTTTGCTATGGTAATAAGTGTAAATAAATTAAAAATATAAAATGCTATAACATTAGTTATATCAAAAACCATGTGTGATATACATATATACACATACAGTTAATTATATCAAAAATTACACTCCTGTATATACACAGACATATATAGCTTGAAAATTATTTATACTATAGATATGAGTATAGACATTAAATATAGATAAATAACAGCTAGCTAACTAGTCATATAAATACAGATAATATAGACAGATATAGTTGATATAAATATATATAAACGTGGAGGGAACATCATGGAGACATTCTGTCTTATCAAGTGCTTTTTCTTTTTTATTTAAATAGAAGTTCATTTTAATCACAAATTTCACACAATGCTTATTTACTTCCCTAGCTTTATGCTCTGCAGAACACAGAGATAAATATTTTTGGCTATGGATGAACTAAAGCTCTGATTTTAGTTTACAGTAGTTGGTCCTGAAATTTTCTAACCACTTTCAGTTACATTAATGGATAGTATTGATCAATATATCCTAGGAATCTTAGTAATATTTTCTTTTTATTTATTGAAAATTAGAATACTTTAAAAATTATCCTTTTTATTTCTAAGATGCTAATTAATTGAAACTAAACTTTAATAAGAAGTGCAAAATTTACAGCACACTTTAATTACTATATTAAGTTTCGTTCAGTATTTTGGCCTTACCTCTTTATGCATTACCTTCAGGTGAAAGAATGAATTCAATTTTAGTAACATTGCCACCACTGTGGGTTTTAGCAACATCAACAGATTAAAATATAACAATTCCAGGGATGTAGCACCTTGAAATCATTCATATTTATGTAAGATATTATGTATAATACTTTATTTAAAATATGTAAACTACGGTACCAAATGAAGTAAAATATATCAGTAGTCCAAAAAACAATTAAGAATTCAAGCAATAGGGATTATCTTGTATTCGTTTGATGGCAAAGTTCCATTCGTTTCCTATCATTAGGCTAAGCAAAGACAAAACTAATAGGATGGCCAGTGATTTTATTCATTTGGTAGAACCACATACTTAGTGGTGGTCAGTTAGGAGCTCATGTTACTCAAGCACCTCTGTGTTATTCTCTCAGCACCCTGTGTTATCCTATTGTGGTTGATAGCAAAGTTTAGTTTAGGTTGACAGCAGATGTTTTTTTCCTCAGGTATCCTCAGCCACATTGAAAGCTCCATGATGACCTGTTCTGTCAGTTTTGGTCACTCTTGTGTCCCTGGAGCCTAGAACTGCATCAGAAATACAGCAGGCATTCAATTAGCTTTTGTTAAATAACTGAATAAATACATCCATAGGCTTAATTTTTCATTTATTGCCATCAGACACGTGATGAAAACACAACCTTAACAATTTTTTAGTTTATTATCATTATAAGATATCCATATGTTTTCTCATATTCTCCCAGTAAGATTATTTCTGAGACCAATTCTTCTTAATAGTTCTTCAGATTAACTATCAAATGTAATGAGAAACTTCAATTTTTAAAGGTGCCAATGAATTTTGAAACAATCACTTTATTACAAAAAATGCCTTTAATATATTAGTTATAAAGTAGACACTAATAGAAATTTAGTTATAATTTTTAATATCACAACTACAAAGTATCTAAAGAAACATTGTTTTTATAAGTTAAATCTATTTGAACAAAGAGTAGAATTAAATATCCTGATAAATCGGTGGTGGAATATCTAAAATTAAAGTTCAATGGAGAATTATTGTAATTTTAAGATTACTTTGTGTCAAAGTGTATTTAGAAGTATGTTGTTCTTTTCAACTTTTATTTCTTCTTTCCTGAGAAACTCTTTCCCTGTATCTTACATATTTCTTTAGTAAAATGTAAATCCTGAAAGAATTTAGAACCGGTAATTTAGAGGCTGTAAAAGAATGTGGTGAGGAAAGTAGATTATAGAATCTCAAAAACGCAACAAAGAGAGAAATTGATGAGAATACTTTTAAATTCAAAGAAATGTGAACATTTAACTTTTGACTAAACCACAAATCTCAAAGTATATAAAATAGCTATTAATCCTGACTTCAAGCAAAAACAATTATTTTCAAAATAACTTCACCTAAATATACAAATGAACTACATATCATTCAATAACTCTCACCAAGATACACAATAACTAGTATGCATTTCCAACTACTAAAAAGCAAATGTCCCTGTAATTCTGGAGGAAAACACCCAGACCTCAGCTGGCACTAAAAAGAAGTGACAGCATAGTTTGTCATCGCAAGAATGTTGCTATATTCTGTTCATTATGCCTTACTCTCCATTATTGAACAGAACTGGGTGATCTTTATTTCATTTACTTTAATAGAAGACTCTTCTAAAATGCTTCTGGTTAATATTTGGTTTGAATGAAGCACTTTATTAAAAATGCTGGATGTTTCCACTTAACATAGCCTGAATAGCTGAAAGGGAAATAATGGCACAAGCATAAAATGGCATAATAAATCAAAGGACACCCTTTTCCTTCTAAACATGTCCAAGGTTAGTTTTCGTCTTAATAGAATTGCTGATCTGTCAACTGATCAACTGTAGATATGCTTGTGACTTGTTTCAATGGAAAGACGGATGCCAAAAATAATGAGAAATAATCCTCTGAGTCTTCTCTAAAAGCATTTTTGTTTTGCTGAAAATGCTTTGTATGCATTGAAAAATCTCTTCCCTTCCTCAGAGTAAAATTTCAATTGATTAAAAATAAAAAGACTTGGCTGGTTCATATTTGTAAGTGGCATGGAACAACAGATCATTATGGCATAATATTATTTTCAGGATTGACTTTAAGTTATAATGGTGGTAACAGTACTTGAACAGAAATATCCAACTCTATCAGGGATAAAAAGGTGTTATCACCATTTGAAAGATTAGGAAATTATGTAATCTGAAATAAGAACAACCTTCTCCTTGCATCAACAATAATTAGAGACCTCAAGATCAATGCTATCTCCTTTCCAAAATAAGAGAGAGAGAGAGAGACCTTTTCTTCAGCCATATATACATACCCTTCACCCCACCCTCCCCATATAGTGGACTACCAGTTACACTATCACAGATAACAAAAATTTTGAAATCCCTTCACACACTTACAGTGAAAGTTACATGAAAACTCTCATTTAATCTCTGGAAAAGATAAAGAGTCTCTGAAGAGACAAAAAGCCTTGGTTGTGCCATATCACATCAACCACAATAAAGCTTTTAGTCAGGAAGATGGCACAATGTAGAGGTATTTTAAGCAGTTTTGAAATTAGATGTGCACAAAGGAAGCAGAGAAAATATCTATATTGTTCACCCTTTAGGTGAAGATCTAGTAGCCTCATGTAAAAGGTCAGGTTGGGCTAAGTGGCTCTACCATGTCAGGCTAAGCGTTCAAGTCTTGCTGATACAGTATGCTCCTATATTAAAATATCTCAGTTCAAATCATCTGTCTAAGCTTCTTTATGTAGAAACCAAGTCTTACTCATGATGGAATCCCAGTGTCTAGTGCACAGTAAGCATTCCATAAATCCTTGTTGAGCCCCTGCAGAGGCGTACATTTCATTTTATTAGCCATCAAATTTCAAGGTCCTCCCAGGGATGGTCTAAACAGGATTTTGCTCGAGTTCTAATCAAGGACTATACATAGAGGAGCAGAGACTCCTAATGCTTCAAAGGGCAATTAGCACCGCTTTAACTCATTCACAAATCCTTAAAAATTCGAGCACATACTTTTACACTGGACATACTTTTACACTGGAGGATGGCCCTTTCAATAAAGGCAAATCATTTAGAAGTCTAATACAATATTTCATTTGGATAGATGTCCTGGTGCTGTTCAAGCACAGTGAAGAATACTGTAAAACTTTAATTTGGTAGAGCACAAAGGTATCTTTTAAATTCCTTTATTTTAAGTTATTAGTCAAATTATTTTAACCTGAGCTTTCAAAAAAGTATTCTCAGGAGAAAATCAGAGAAAATGATGCATTTAATATATGTCAAGATCAAGAAAACACACACACGCATACACCCCCCACCAGACAATCGTCAAAATACTTACTACAATCTTTTGGCCCATCAGCTTAAGAAAAATAGCTGTAACATCCTTTTTTTGTGACTCAGGAGGAACATAGTCAAATGAAATAAGATAATTCAAAGAGGTCTTCACTTTTCATTTACTTCTATTACTGATGCGATTCTGATATTTTCAGGACATTTCACTTTCATTTTAATCTTCTGATGGCACAGTTTGCATCTGTATTGCTAAATTCAGCTTCTCAGATTTCATTACTGCATTTTACCAAAAAACAAATACAAAAAACTTTTCTTCATATGAATTATTGAATAAATGTAAGCAATGGAAGTGCAAAGGTGAAGTGAACAGATAAAAGAAAAAAATACAAGAGAGAGACTAATTTCATTAAGTAGTATTTTAAGTGTGCTTTCATTGCATGTGACTTTGAGATTTATAACATTTATTTTAAAATTCAGGATGCAGTAGAAAATATATCAATAGATTAATGTATTTATGATTAACCACTGTGTGCAGCTTGATAGATTTCATAGTATAAACAAAGAAAAAAGAAGTAAAATTACTAAAAAATCAAAAATAGTAAAAAATGATGTGTACCCTAAGAAGACTTTTTTCCTCTGAAGAATATTTCTTGAAATTATACCTTTTCAAGACTACAACTATAAAAGATAAGAGGAAGTTAAAATTCTACTTCTGAAAATGCAGCACAACTTGCTGAAAATAATGGTTCAGTGACAGAAATAAATGCATCTAAGAGTATGTGAGTATAATTATGTACTACAGGTAGTAAATGTCATGTTGTTTCAATGATTTTATGGATATCAAACTCATCTGTATGCTATTTCTAATAGCAATTTTATGACTAAACTAATAAATATAGGAAACTGTTCTGATTTTAATAATTCATGGTTTCTTATGGTAGTAGTTTATTTTGGCTAATGTAAAATGATAAATCTGAAGGCTAAGGTTAAAGCAGGCCTTGAAAAATAGCCCAAAATATTATATGCAATCCTTGTCCTAGATCTTCCTAAAGTCATTATTGCATTTTCTGGAAGTATACTGTAGGGGCTTCTTTTCCACTTCAAAGTTAAAGCCATTAAACTTACTGTTCCATGTAATAAATTAATAAACAAGAATAGATTAACCAAATGATATGGAGCATTACCTTCTTCCAGTTCCTCTCATTCTCATCTAGTTCGTTGTTGTTTCTCTCTTGGGAAGTGGGGAAAACTTCTATTTAAATTTAGATTGAATAAAGTGCTTGGTAAGATATTTCAGAATCCCAGAAGTGTGGTATGTGGTGGAGAGAGGAAAATGGCTTTTTTTTTTTTTTTTTCCTGGAGCTTTTGAATACGTTGGCCTGTGAGCAGGTCTGTTGAGCATGGCTGCCAAAATATACTGGCAGTCATTTAGGCTCCCACCAGAGCTGAGAAAGCAACCCAGAAACAATTTCCCTAAATACCAACTGTCTTATGTGGCTTCATGAACTATAATATTGACCTTCTTTATGAGCGTTTGTCTTCAACTTGTAAAAATACCACAGGCTTCGCTATGCCAAGGAGAGAAAGATCAACAGCAGCAACCACTAAGCAGCCTTTCTTTTTGATTAAAGATCTTCTTGGGCATTTATTCTCACTGTCACTTCCACCAAGAGGGACCTTATCATAATTAGGAAGGCCACCCACACTATCTATGGCTGGGGTGAGGTGTAATTTAGCAAACTGGAGCAATGTTGGTAATGAAAAAGGGTCCAATTAACCACGACACTAGGACAATAGTATAAATTATGACTGTCCCAGGCAACCAAGACAGGCTACTCGTTTATGATCACTCATCTATGACACACAGCAGCTTGACAGTTTTTCAGCTTTTCATATTGGCAAAACGTTTCCATCACTTTGAAAAAAAAATCTGATCATGCCACTTTGTTCTGTATAAGCAGGTGTGGTCTGTGAACTAGTGGAATTTTGACAATCTGTTGAGGCTAGACGCATTTGGTTTATGTTAATATAATGCTTCAAATTCTTTAATTTAAAATAAATTTTATAGAATGCCCTTTAATTGATTATAATTATCTCATACAATTCAAACTTGTAAATTTGTGTAAGTTCTTTATAGATTCTGGATATTAGACCTTCGTCAGATGCATTTCCCCCACTTCTCTAGGTTGTCTATTTACTCTGTTGATAGTTTCTTTTGCTGTGCAGAAGCTCTTTAGTTTAATTAGCCCCCATTTGTGAATTTTTGATTTTGTTGTAATTGCTTTTGGCGTCTTCATCATGAAATCTTTGCTCGTTTCTGTGTCCGGCATGGCATTGCTTAGGTGGTCTTCCAAAGTTTTTATAGTTTTGGGTTTTACATGTAAGTCATTAATACATACAGGATTAATTTTTGTACATGGTACAAGGAAGGAGTCCGCATATGGCTAGCCAGTTATCCCAGTATCATTTATTGAATAAGTAGTCCTTTCCCTATTGCTTGTTTTTGTCAAGTTTGTCAAAGATCAGATAGTTGTAGGTGTGCATTCTTATTTCTGGGCTCTCTATTCTGTTCCATTGGTCTATGTGTCTGTCATTGTACCAGTACCATGCTGTTTGGTTACTGCAGCCCCGTAGTATAAAGTTGGATAGCGTGATGCCTCCAGCTGTGTTCTTTTTGCTTAGGATTGCCTTGACTATTTGGGCTCTGTTTTGGTTCCATATGAATTTTAAAATAGCTATTCCTAGTTCTGTGAAAAATGTACTTGGTAGTTGGATAGGAATAGTATTGAATCTATAAATTGCTTTGGATGGTATGGCCATTTTAATAATATTGATTCTGTCTATCCATGAGCATGAAATGTTTTTCCATTTGTCTGTGTCCTCTCCAACTTCTTTGAGCAGTGTTTTATAGCTCTCTTTGTAGAGATCTTTCACCTTGCTGGTTAGCTGTATTTCTAGGTGTTTTATTCTTTTTATGGCAATTATGAATGGGATTGTGTTCCTGACTTGGCTCTCAGCTTGACTGTATGTATGTCTCAGCTTGGTGTATAAAAATGCGAGGTATTTTTGTACATTGATTTTGTATCCTGAGACTATGCTGAAGTTGTTTATCAGCTTCAGGAGCTTTTGGGCCAAGACTATGGGGTTTTCTAAATATAGGATCATACCATCTGCAAACAGGGATAGTTTGACTTCCTCTCTTTCCATCTGGTTGCCCTTTATTTCCTTCTCTTCCCTGATTGCTCTGGCCATGATTTCCAGTACTATGTTGAATAGGAGTGGTGAGAGAAGGCATCCTAATCTTGTGCCAGTTTTCAAACAACCCCATTAAAAAGTGGACAAAGGATATGAAGAGACACCTTTTAAAAGAAGACACACATGCAGTCAACAAACATATGAAAAAAATTTCAACATCACTGATCATTAAAGAATGCAAATCAAAATCACAATGAGATACCATTTCACACCAGTCAGAATAGCTATAATTAAAAAGTTAAAAAATAGCAGATACTGGCAAGGTTGTGGAGAAAAAGGAATGCTTAAACACTGTTGGTGGGAATATAAATCAGTTCAACCATTGTGGAAAACAGTATAGTGATTCCTCTAAGACCTAAAAATAGAAATACCATTTGACCCAGCAATCCCAGTACTGGGTGTATACCCAAAGGAATATGAATCATTCTATCAAAAAGACACATGCATGCCTATGTTCATTGCACCATTATTCACAATAGCAATGACATGGAATCAACTTAAATGCCTATCAATAGACATTTAGTGGTACATATGTATGATGGAATACCATGCAGCCATAAAAAAGAATGAGATCATGTCCTTTGCAGGATCATGGACGGAGGTGGAGGCCATTATCCTTAGCAAAGTAAGGCAGGAAGAGACAACCAAATACCACATATTCTCACTTATAAGTGGGACCTAAGTAATGTGAATGCATGGATACATAGAGGAGAACAACAGACACTAGGGTCGATCAGAGGGTAAAGGATGGGAGGAGGGAGAGGATCTGGAAAAATGACTAATTGTTACTACTAGGCTTAAAACCTGGGTGAAAAACTAATCTGTACAACGAACCCCCATGACCCAAGTATACCTGTACAACAAATCTGCAAATGTATCTGTGAACTTAAAAGTTAAAAAAGCCACACAATTCAAACTGCCATCTCTATTTTATATACCTTCAATTAGATTCTTCTTTCATACTTCTAAATCCACTTCAATGAACACTCAAACTCCCCTAAACCCATATTTCCTCTCCTTTTTGAGAATCACTGGACTTATGTCATATCTAAGGGATAAATTTATACTAATGTATAGAGAAAAGCAAAGTTCAAATATCGAACATTGATTATGTTGTTGTCATGAAAGAAATGTATTCTTTTTAGTAAACAAAAATGCTAAATCTGCTTGTATTTTACAAATATATTTTGAAAAATAATCATTTAATGATGTAAAAAGTTCTTGCTTGCGTCATTACACGCAAAGGCAGAATCTTATTTTTTAATTTTCTTCAAAAAGCTCTCTGTCTTGATAAGACATCTGCCTATGATGGATAGCCTAAAGGGCCAGGCGCAGTGACTCATGCCTCTAATCAGCACTTTGGGAGGCCGAGACGGGCAGATCACTTCAGGCTAGGAGTTCAAGACCAGCCTGGCCAACATAGTGAAACCCCAACTCTACTAAAAATATAAAAATTAGCTGGGCATGGTGGCGAGCACCTGTAGTCCCCACTACTTGGGAGGCCAAGACAGAATCACTTGAGCCTGGGAGCCAGAAGGTGCAGTGAGCCAAGATCATGCCACTGCACTTCAGCCTGCCTGGGTGACAGAGTGAGACTCTGTCTAAAAGAAAGAAGGAAAGAAAGAAAGAAAGAAAGAAAGAAAGAAAGAAAGAAAGAAAGAAAGAAAGAAAGAAAGAAAGGAAGGAAGGAAGGAAGGAAGGAAGGAAGGAAGGAAGGAAGGAAGGAAGAAAGGAAAGAAAGAGAGAGAGAGAAAGAAAGGAAGAAAGAAAGAGAAAGACAAAGAAAGAAAGAAAGAAAAAGAAAGAAGGAAGAAAGAAAGGGAAGGAAGGAAGGAGAAAGAAAGAAAGAAAGAAGAAAGAAAGAAGGAAAGAAAGAAAGCCTAAGAAGAGGTGATTTTACTTACTTACCTTTGCTAGTGATTTTAAAATAATGCTTGTTGATAGTCTCAGGTTCACTTACTCAACAAATGTTTTTTGAGCACCTACAATAAAAAGGCATCCTTTTAAGCACTGGCAGGAAAAGTACTGAAGAAGTTGTATAGGGTTTCTGCTTCGGGACATTTATGTTTGAGATTAGAGTGGAAAGACAGAAAAGAAATTAATAAATCAACCAAAAATACCAGTAGTGACAAATTATAATAAGATAAACAGGGTAATGTGACAGCAAATGTCTAAGTCAGGGAAGGCTTTGCTAGAGAGTGGTCATTTAAGAGTAGAGTTAAACTTGGCTAGAAAAATGAATCTAATGCTGTCCTCAAAATAATTATGCCGCCTTCTTATTTTCTTTTCTATCTTCTTAATATCTCAGTATCATCTAGTTTCTACCCATTGATTAAGGATTCAATCAACGAAACTTACACATTTTTTGAATTTGGTAACACTCCATAAATGTCTTGTCCTGTATATAAGCACTTCTAGGATGGCAGGCTATAAGGTGAGAAAATCTATTAACCCAACATCTTAAAGGTTAACAAAATAAAGATGAAAGTACTTATTTATTTAATGGGTTTGGAATTTGTTAAAAATGACAATTAAAATTAATCCTGACAAATAGACCAGTAGAATAGAGAATCCAACAAGTGACCCAGATATATGAGGTTCCATGAATTATAACTAAGGTGACACTAAAGTAGAGAGGGGGAGAAGATGGTCTTTTTGCTAAACAGTTCTGGGTCTAGGTCAGTTGGCTAAACATATGAAGCAAAAAAGTTACCTTGATTCCTACCTTGTACCATGTATAAAAACATTTCCAAGTGAATCATACATAAATGTGAATGGTAAATTGACAAAGCTTTTGGGAAAAAAAGTAGGCAAATATCTTCAGGATTATGAAGATACAAAAGGTGCTAACTCCAAATGAAATCATTGATTATAAGATTACAGTTTTAACTTTAAAAATCTGTTTATTCACAGACACCATTAAGAGAAAAGGCAAACCACAGAGCAGGAGAAAATAGTTGCAACACATAGATCCAATAAATCCAGAATGTACAAATGACTCCTACCAATTTAGAAAAAGTCATACAAGTCAATGCAAAGTTGTCAAAAACCTTCTATAGGACTTTTATAACAAAGAAAACTAAAATGACAAATAAATATAAGAAAAATGGCTCAAGGTCCAGGCACGGTGGCTCAAGCCTGTAATCCCAGCACTTTGGGAGGCAGAGGCGGGCAGATCACCTGAGATCAGAAGTTCAAGACCAGCCTGGCCAACATGGTGAAACCCTGTCTCTACTAAACATACAAAATTAGCCAGATGTGGTGGCGGGCACCTGTAGTCCCACGTACTTGGGAGGCTAAGGCAGGAGAATCTCCTGAACCTGGGAGGCAGAGGTTGCAGTGAGCTGAGAAGCCAAGATTGCTCCACTGCCCTCCAGCATGGGTGACAGAGCAAGACTGTATCTCAAAAAAAAAAAAGAAAAAAAAGAAAAGAAAAAAAGAAAGAAAGGGGGCCCAACTTCCTAACTCATTATGAAAATAAATAGTAAGACGGCACATGATACCACTGCACACATATCAGCTTGGATAAAATTTTAAAATAAAATGACACATAATCCCAATTGTTAGCAATGATGTGGAATAATTGCAACAATCAAGCACTGAGTATAGGCGTGTGACTTGGTATAATCGCTTTGGAAAGCAATTGGCAATATGCACTAAAGCAGAACACACATATTGCTTATGACTAGCAATTCTATTCTTATGTGGTTCCTCCTAAATAGTGGACATATGAGCTCACCAAAAGCAGGTATAAGACTTCTTATAGTTGTACTGCTCTCTATAAGCAAAAATTGGGAGCACGTGTCCATCCACAGTAGAACAGATAAATAAACTGTGGTATATTAATATAATTGAATACTATTCAGCAGAGGTTGGCAACTCTGACCTATGAGCCAGTTCTAGTGTGAGGCCTGGTTTTTTTTATGACTTGCACACTAAGAATAACTATTATATTTTTAAAGTACTGTAAAACGCACAGACACACACCCACAGAAGAATATGACACACATCTGTATGTGTCCCGCAAAGCCTGAAATACCTTATATCTGTCTCTTTAAAGAAGATATCCACTGATGCCTGTTATACACTAATGAGAATAAATAGATACACCTATGCACAACAACATGGATGAACAGCAGACATAATGTTAAGAGAAAGGTGCTAGACATAAAAGAAAATACAAAGTACACTTCATTTTTAAAAGTCCAAAAGCTAGCAAGACCTACATATGATGTCAAACGTAAAGATAGTGGTTCCTTTGGAGGGTGGGTAACCCCTGGGAAAGGGTACAAGAGGTCTTCTGGATTTGGGATAGTGTCTTTTTTAAAAAAACAGTAAACTAGTTATACAGCTGTGTTTAGTGGTAGAAATTCCCTGAGCTGTACACATATAATAATGTGCACTTTTCTATGTGTATGTTACATTTATACTTTAATAGAATTTAGAAAAAATAACTCCCCACAATAATTGACAAGAATGCACATCACAACATTATTTGAAGTAGATAAAAACTAGAATAAATCAAATTGTCCAAGAACAAATCTGGTTAAATAAATTATACTTTACCCATACAATGGAATTCTATGCAACCACAAAACAATAAACTTATAAAATATTTGTTTATACTGAAAGATGAAAACAATAGAATTTTAAATGACTTTAAAAACTATATGCTGAATAAATATTTTGCAAAAACACAAACACATACAAAGATCTCAGCCTAGAAGAATATGCCTAAGGAATGGATCATACCTTCCTCTGGATGTGAGATTAAAGATGCTTTCACTTTATTGTTTTTTTGTTTGTCTATTAGTACTTTCTGATAATTTTTAAATAAAATATTTTTGCAAAAAAAAAAACTACCCTAAAATGTATACCATTTTAAGTACTTCTGGAAAAGTTTGCAATTGATACTATAATTTGAAAGCTAGAGGAGCTGCTCTGGCCAATGTCACTCTGAAAGGGTTTGAAGATATGTAGAAAAATGTATTAGTATCCGCAGCTGCAGGAGAGCTCTATAAATACACAGCTTCTAGTTAGGTCTCTCAGTATAAGATCCCAACCTCAAACAGATCTAAGGGTTTACAGTATCAAAAGTGTCACGCTGACATTTCCATCACCATTCATTTATAAGCATCATAAACCCCTGGGGGTGATAGATGACTTCCCTCTCTTGCTGATAAAGAGAAGCTGACATTGCTTTATTATCTCTTCAAGGTTAAAAATCAATGGTTTACTTGTGAAAACATCTGTTTGTAAGCTTGTCTTTGCTTCTCTCAGGGGCCATATTTACATGCTGGGTTTTAAGCATGCCAAAATGTGAAGCTTAAGTTTCATTTGGCTCATTTTCTTTTTAAACATGCCAGCCTGGCTCTCTACGAGAGAAAAGAAAGAAAAAACCCCCAGCAGTGTAAGCTTATACTTATCCATTTGTAATGAGAACAAGTTAGATTTTACCTGTTAAAAATTAATGAATAACATCTCTGAGCAGGTGACTAGAGACATGAGTATTGATTTTAGATCAAGTGATGGATGTAGAATAAATGTCAGCCAAGGGAATTCAAATAAGGATAACTATACAGTTGTTGCTGTTGTTGTCAGAGAAGCCTATGGAAAATGGATTACATTATATATAGAGAGACCGAGGAATTTTTCACATTTAATTGACTCATCTTCATTTTTTAAAAATCTCATAAAATAGTCTACAGGACAGCTAAGGACTTCCCATTCAAACATCTTTGACACAAGAGACAAGAATTTGAATTTTAGGAAAACACTGTCATCAGCATCCTACAGTCTGCAAGAGTCAGTTCATGGGTGTTTTTAAGAATAGTTTTCCAGATTTTCTCAGTACTCTATACATAGCATCTCAAATTCAACATAGCCAAAAAAGAAACAGAGCACCTCTATCAAACCCCAAATCAACTTTTCTCTAGAACCTTCATATCTCTTCTCTTATTTCTATTCTCATCTCTAGTTTTGGGCAGCTTCACCTTCCCAGTTTGCTCAGGCCCCAAACCTCCATGTCATCCTTGACTCCTATTTCCCTCAAACCCCATATCCACTGTCAGCAAGTCCTGTGAGATTTAATTACAAAATATGTCCAGAAATCTACATACTCCCTTCACTCTGCTGCTGCTACCCTGATCTAAAGCACCTCCTCTCTCATGTGGATTACTGTAGTCTTCCAACTCATCTTCTGCCTCTGCCCTTGGTCCTTTGTAAATCTACTACCAACCTAAGGCCCACAGACATTCTACTAAAAAGCAAGTGAACTGATCTCATACTTTTGCTCATATTTTTCCAGTGGATCCCCAACTTGCTGAAAGAAAAAAGTTCTTGCACTGACCCTCAAGACCATATCAAAATATGACCTTTCACTCCTTTGCAGTATTTCTTGACCAGGCAAAAATTCATGTATTCTAAGTTCCATTTAAATGTTACTTTCTGTTCTTTGTGGTTTTGTACATCATCTAAAATAGTAACTTCTTTTCTATTCTGATAAGTCATCTCTTAATTTTGGAGCTTACCTGTGTAACAGCTAGTAGATTATATTTAGTGAATTCATCAAGTTTAAAGATAATTTTCTCATAAATGATGCTATATCATATAGAAGAGTCATATATACATACAAAGCTTAACAGATAAAATTTAATGCACATATTTGCTTTAAAAATCTGTGATCTTAGAGCTAATATATTTCTAAAGAGTAATACAACATCCATAAGCTCCAAAAGATGAATACAGTTATATAATTGATGCTATTAAACTGAAGGCAGTCATGAATGCTTCAGGATCATTTCAATTTTGGATAAGAAGGAGAGGCCAAAAGTTGCATATGCAATTTTTAGAAGATAATTAAATAATCCTGGTTATACAGATTAATCAAATCAAAGCAGAGACTTGGAGAGAACATTTCCGAGGTAAAATCTTAATCTCAAAAAAGAGACTATTAATCTTACATCTAGAGCCTGAGACTCCTAACTTCAGTTTCCCAGGACTTTATGGCTTTGCAAACAAATAAGAGAAAGATTTGATTCATCGTTTACATTGTTTATTTCTCACGCAGATTGCCTATGAAACCAATGATGTGTTCTCAGACTCACTAGTATTTATCCGTATATTTTAAGAACATTGGTAGAATCATGTATGGTTTACCTTCAGCTTCCGCCTGGAAATAAAACTACTTTAATCATTCAGAGCATGATGTTTGGGACTGCAGCCTCTCAGACAGATCAACTGGGTTGTAAGCCCATCTCTAACACTTGCAGACTCTAACCTAAGGCAAGTTATTTAACCTTTCATTCTGTCTTTGCTTTTTCCTTGAACTTGCTGGTAACAAAAATAGCTCCAATTTAGGACAGATGTTGTGAGGAGTTAGTACATATGAAACATATATTTTCTAAGAATGCAATAAACATTATTTGTTACCATCTTTTTACTAGCAGCTGCTACTCCTACTCTAATCTACAATTTTAAATAAATTAGACAAGCAGATAGTGAGCTTATTTTTTATTAGACTTTCTTTAAAGAGATGTAAATTCGAATATTTGTGAGTTCTGTAATGATTCAGTAAAGCTAAAGATAAACTCAGCAGCACTAAATCATGCATGTCTGTAATCAGTACCTTTACCAAAATGTTAATGTGATTTGAAGGAAGGACAATGGGTAGGTCTTTGTTTAGAATCTCCCAGAGGCAGACTTTATTCCAAGGATTTAGACACAGGTAGTTTATTTGGAAGTGACACCAAAAAACCTCAGGTAAAGAGTATAAAAGCAGGAAAAGGAGGCTATGGAAGCCAAAAAAGAAAATAGTTCCATCAGTGAAATCTGGGTGCCCATGTAGAACACCAATTTCAGTTATTCAGGCTAAAAAGTAGTGAGGGAGCAGGAGTACTTATTCACCAATACCCAGTAGTCATTGGTTAAGTGCTACTCCAGGGTGGTAGAAATGCCTTGGCACTTCCAGCCTGACTGATGGAGCCAGAGATCATCCTCAGACAGAATCACAGATTCTAGCATTAGAAATACCATTTCCATGCATATTGGTGTTACCTAAGTGCCAATGGCTACGGGCAGGACACTAGCAGCATCTGCTACATAGAGTAAATAGAGAAGGAAGAAAGGTCAGAATCAGAACAGCATTTATAAATGTCTGTACAAGGAAAACCTAAGTAGAACGGGTAGGTATTCTGTTTTTGAAAGAGAAAGATAATCTTAAAATTTAGTCCTGGAATAGTTTTAGAAAAAAAAAAAAGGAGATTTGGGAGTAGTTTAGATTTTAAAATCCCCCTAAGAAATGCCTAAAGAATTCATTACAATGTTAGAATGGAATAGAAACAGGAAGAGCAAAAGAATAATATGAGTTTCCAAAGACATTTACTGCTATCCCAGTTCCTCATATAATGATAAATTTTATTACACTGTAATTCTTATTTATTAAAATTTTTGTGTTTCAACAGCTCCAATGAGATGCAACTTTTTGTTTTTATGTTGGTCCAGGGAGCATTAGAGGACACAATACTCATATAACATATTAAGCACGTCATCAGTTGCACATCAAACTCTAATAAATTCCTGCATCTTGTGATTGAAAATGAATGCAAGGTCCTGAAAAGTTAGAACACATTGCAGTCTTAAATTTTCAAGTGTGAAACCCTGTTTCTGTACAACTTGTAAAGAGTTTGAACATCAAGTTTTAAGTAGGATTGCTTGAGAAAGCATTTATTCATGCTAACTTCTTGTTGATTTTTGTCTTTTTTGACCCCTGCAAGAAGAACGTGGATTTATCAGTAAAAATACGTCTAGCAATTGTCAGGTGGGGGACAATGTTAAAGAAAAATAATAGAGGCCGGGCGCGATGGCTCACGCCTGTAATCCCAGCACTTTGGGAAGCCTAGGTGGGCGGATCACGAGGTCAGGAGATCCAGACCATCCTGGCTAACACGGTGAAACCCCGTCTCTACTAAACATACAAAAAATTAGCCGGCCTTGGTGGCGGGAGCCTGTAGTCCCAGCTACTCGGAGAGGCTGAGGCAGCAGAATGGCTTGAACCCGGGAGGCGGAGCTTGCAGTGAGCCGAGATCACGCCACTGCACTCCAGCCTGGGCGACAGAGGAGGACTCCGTCTCAAAAAAAATAAAAATAAAAATAAATAAATAAATAATAATAATAATAATAGAATGTTTGTCATAACAGGAAGGCAAATCAGTTATGAGTCCCAGCTTTGAAGTTAGGACAGTTGCTTTTCTGGTATGAAGAGCTAGGTTAGGTGAAAATGACTAAAATACTAGATAAATACATATTTTTCATTAACATTAAAGCATAGAAGAGCTGAAGAGATAACAGAATACTGCCTACCCAAATAAGGATAGATAAAATCTACACCCAGAGCAGCAAGGGATACATCATATACCTAAACTGTTTTGGCCCTGCGTGTACCAATCTACCAATCTGACAAACTTGGGCTTTGGTCTCTGGCCTCATTAAGCCACTCTAGGTGAGCAATCATAGAGAAGATGTCACCACCACATTAAGTGAATCTCAAAAATTAACACTATCAGAAGAAAAGTGAGCCAGAACTGGTATCCCCCACAACTACCAAAACCGTGGTGCATTGCAGGTAGGGCCATTTGACTTGGCTCTGAAAAACTATGCATAACCCAAGGAAATGAAAACAAACAAAGCCTTTTCTTGATGAACTCCCAGTAGAGTGCACTACAGAAGAACATGCTGCCAAGATACAACTCAGTGGGCCAATGAAGCACAAGCCTTGAACTTGCTTTAAGGAGGTTTCTAACTTGTAGTGCTCCCAGATTTCTGGAAAGTGTAAATCTTCCCTGAGACAGGACTTTCATCTCGTGCTTTAGTGAATCTCCACAAACATCTTCCCAATGGCAATTATTAGTACACTTAAACCATTTACCCAAGGCACCATGAGCAAGAATAAACACAAAAATAGACATATTAGGAACAGACTCATCCAAACTTCAAATGTTGGTATTGTCAGACATTCTAAAACAATCCATCTTATCCTGTTTAAAGAAATAGATGGCAAGACTGAAATTATCTACAGGTAACGGAAACGCTAAAACAAATGACAACTGTCTTTAAAAAAAAGGACTTCTAGAAATAAAAGAACAACCAATATTAAAAACATGTTGGACATAGATGGCAGCAAACTGAAAATATAGAGAAGTAGTGAACTAGGAACTAGTTCAGAAGAAATTAATCACAATATAGTATAGCAAAAAAAAAAAGATGGAACTATAAAACAGAGTAAGAGACATGGAAAATATAGTAAAAAGTCCTAATGCATACATAACTGAATTTTTAAAAAAGGAAAAAATGGGTCTGAAGCAGTATTTCAAGGGATGATGGCTAAGAAGTCTAGAAATAATTAAATATACCAACCCACAGATTCATAGAATCAGTCAGACCAACCACTTCCTTTTATTAGTTCTGTCGTCTTCTGCATGTTGCTTGTTTGTGTGAATGTGTGTGTGATTATTGCTATCATTTCTTTTTTAAAAATCAGATTTATTGAGGTATAATTGTATACAAAAAATTGTATGTTTGATGTATACAATTTGATGAGTTTGGACATCTTCATTTATCCAAGATATCATCATCACAATCAAGATGATAAATATATCCATTATCTCCAAAAGTTTTCTGACATTCTTTTGTGTTTTTTGTTTACTTTTGTGGTAGGAACACTTACCAAGAGATGTCCTCTCTCATTTTTTTTTTTTTTTTTTTTTTTGAGACAGGATCTAACTCTGTTGCCCAGGCTGGAGTGCAGTGGTGAATCACAACCCACCGCAACCTCAAATTCCTGGGCTACAGGAGCATGCCACCACACCCAGCTAATTTTTTAAAGTTTTTTGTAGAGCCAGGGTATCACTATGTTGCCCAGCTTGGTCTTGCATTCCAGGGCTCAAGCAATCCTCCTGCCCAAGCCTCCCAAAGTGCCGGATTACAGGTGTGAGCCACCACCCACAGCCCCTCTTAAATTTTTTAGTGCACAATACTGCATTGTTAACTATTGGCACTGCCTTTTATAGTGAATCTCTAGAAATGATTCTTCTTGCATAATTGAAAATTCATACATATTGAGCAAAAATTAGCACGTACTCCTTTCCCAAACCCCTGACAACCAACATTCTATTCTGTACTTCTTTAAATTTGACTATTTTAGATACCTCATACAAGTGGAATCATTCAGTATCTGTCCTTCTGTGACTGGCTTATTTCACTCAGCATAATGTCCTCCAGGTTCATCCATGCTGTTGCAAATAGAATGATTTCTATTTTTTAAATATTGATCAATACTAAATTGTATTAGACAACATATTTTCTTTTTCCATTCATCCATTGATGAACAATTGGATTCTTTCAACATCTTGGCTATTGTAAATCATGCTGCAATGAACATGAGAATGCAGATATTTCTCTGAGATACTGATTTCAATTTTTAATATATACCCATAAGTGGGATCGCTGGATTGTATACTAACCCTGTTTTTATTTTTTGAAGAGACTCCACACTGTTTTCCATAGTGACTGCATCTACTTACATTTGCACCAACAGTATACAATAGTTCTAATATCTCTACATTCTCAACACTTGTTTTTATATTTATATTTATATATACAGATATAAATTATATATATGCATATATGTATATGTGTGTGTGTGTATATATATAAAACGGCCATCCTGATAGGTGTGAGGTGATATCTCATTGTGATTTTGATTTGCATTTCTCTGATGATTAGCGATGCTGAGCATTTTTTCATATATCTGGTGACCATTTGTGTGTGTTTTCTTTGGGGAAATGTATGTTCAGGACTTTTGCCTATTCTTAAAATCTCTCTCTCTCTCTCTCTCCCTCTGTGTGTGTGTGTGTGTGTGTGTGTGTGTGTGTGTATTTGCTACTGAGTTACAGGACTGTCTTATATATTTTGTATATTAACCCTTTATCAGATAAATTTCACTCTGTTAATTGTTTCCTTTGCATAGCAGATGCTTTTGAGTTTGATAATAAGTCCCTGGTCTATTTTTGCTTTAGTTGCCTGTGCTTTTGGTGTCAGATCAAAGAAATAATTTCCAAGACCATTGTCAAGATTTCCCCCTAAATTTTTTTCTAAGAGTTTCAAAGACTCAGATGTTACATTTCAGTCTTTACCCCCATTTGGAGTTGATTTTTGTGTCTGGTGTCAGATAGGGATCCAATTACATTCTTTTGGATGTGGCTATCTAGTATTCCCAGCCCAATTTGTTGAAGAAACAGTCGTTTCCCTATTGTGTATTCTTGGCATCTTTTCTGAAGATCAGTTGACTCTATATGTGTAGATTTATTTCTGGGCTTTCTATTATGTTCCATGGCCAATAAGTCTGTCTTTATAGGATACAAGGATGGCTCAACATATGCAAATCAATAAATGTGATATACCACTTTAACAGAATGAAGGATAAAAGACATATGATCATCTCAATAGATGTACACAATAAATTTGATAAAATTTAACACTCTTCCATGACAAAACATTCAACAAACAGGTAAAAAAAAGAATGTGCCTGAACATAATAAAGGCCATATTTCACAAGTCCATAGCTAACAATGAACTCAATGGTGAAAAAGTGAAATAGAAAAAATAATACACAAATATAATATTGCAAACACAATTTGTAATAGAGAAGCTATCACTATAAACTTCAGCATCATATTTGGCATTGATATAGTCTTACATCTCGTTTTCATCTCAAGTCAAACCAATACATATTAACTAAACACTAGTTCAGACAAGTGCAAGATGGGATTCCTTTCTTCAAAGAAATTTTAAGGGTAAAACGTTCTATAATTTTGTGTATTTTTATGGTGCCCGACATAGTAACAAGTAATAAAACGTATATGAAATAAATATCAATGACTTGCTTGATTAGAGACTTAAAGAAAATTTAAGATGGGAGATGAAAAATAAGGTATCTCTCCAAAGAGAGGAATGTATTTTAGAAGTAGAGACAGCACAGAGCGTGTGAAAACTAATGAGTATTAAAGACAATTCTGGCGGGGGGGTGGGAGTTAAAGAAGGACATTGTCTCTTGGTAAATATTATTTGTAGACAGTACTCATTTATTTTATGACCCCAGTGAGAGAGTGTGCACAACCTTCAAAACTTATTTTTCAAGACTTCTAAGTGTCGCCTGAATTAGTTACCCACTAAGAAGACAAAGACGAGGAGTATCTGTGTTCTTAATTATAAGCTTAATTATTTCATTTTATTAGCTTCTATTTTTAGAAAGAGAACATTAAATCCTATTTTTGACATTTAATATAAGTATATTAATCAGACCCTGACTATAGGCGACATCAAGTTCTGATTATAATCTCACACTTACATAAAGATTTTTAAACTTCAAGTATTCTGTGTAATTATGCCGCCCACATAAGGATGAAAAAAAATGCCCTTGGATACAAATGGCAGGCTATTTATAATAAGAAGAAACAAAAGAATCCAAAAATACTCTCAGATTTACGAAATCTATCTGTTTTTGCAATTTGATTTACATTTCCAAGTTACCACAGTTTGTGCTTTTCTTACAAGTTATTTTTAAATTCCTTTGAGATCAACCAGGCATCTTAATATGTAAAGTTTACTTAGGAAAAAAAAGCCCATAATTAACTAGTTCAAAACCCCTAGTGAGGTAATTAAAGTTGTCTTCATCAACTGTGTTTGATGTTTATCTAGTCACCTTCCTGTGTCATTGATAACTCTCAGAGACCAACTGTGCAATAAATGTTGTCATCCCTTGGACAAGGGGGGAGAGGTACTAAAATCTTGTCATTTCCTATGATAGAAACCAGGATAAGCATGTATTCTGCATAAATCCTGAGACATTTGGTACACAAATATTGTTTAAATTTATTTAGTCTATGTTGCAAACCTTCTTGTAATACAACCTCAATTTCTACATTTCTAATAATTTTAGCATTTCTGCTCACTTTATCTCCACAAGTTGGAAAATCTTTTTTTTTTTTTTTTTTTTTTTTGGTGACAGTCTCACTCTGTCGCCCAGGCTGGAGAGCAGTGGCGCGATCTCGGCTCACTGCAAGCTCCACCTCCTGGGTTCACGCCATTCTCCTGCCTCAGCCTCTGGAGTAGCTGGGACTACAGGCACCCGCCACCACGCCCGGCTAATATTTTGTATTTTTAGTAGAGACGGGGTTTCACCGTGTTAGCCAGGATGGTCTCAATCTCCTGACCTCGTGATCCGCCGGCCTCGGCCTCCCAAAGTGCTAGGATTACAGGCGTGAGTCACCGCGCCCGGCCGTTAAATCTTTCTTGGGGCTTAATCTATTCAATTCTTAAGGCACTTACTTAATTAGTTAAGACAGGAATATAATTTATATACAATAATGGTAAGAAATATTTTTCAACAGTGATGTCCAAGCTGTATTTTACAAATAGGCAGCTATAAACAGGAGGAGCTCTTTAATACCTACTCTGTTTCAACTTAAAGCAGTTAAGTTTTTCATTTTCTCTCTTAGGGAATTTTTTTAGCATTTTCTGAGAAGGTGAAGTAGGGGAGTGAAAAATGGCTTGCCTCCATGGAACCCTTCTAGGTTCCATGGCTGGGCTACAAATTAAATTGACATTAGATAGATTAACAGGAAAAAACCCATACTTAATTACATATGTTTGCATGAGAATCCCACAAAATATGAGACTCAAAGAAGAGTCAGATGATTGAAGCTTATATAGCATCATGAGCTACAAAAAGAAATAGGGGCTTGGGGGTTCAATGGGTGGTAGCAACACAAAGTATGGAAGAGGAAGGGAAGGAAATGTATGGTGAATAAAGATTGTCTTTTTGAGCAGATAAAAAATATCTTCGATAATAAAAATTGTCTTGGAGAAGCCCTCAGAAGAATAGGGATAGTCTGTTTGAGCGTGTTGTCAACCTTCAGTCCTCTCTTGTGATCCTAGTTAACCTTCCCTGGTTGATAAGATTCCTGGGAAAGAGATTCATGACAATTGAGTTCTTTTTGGAAGAGTCATCTTTAGGGAGAAAAGGGGAGCTCAGGGAAAGCCTCTGCCTACATCTGCTGTTGCCCAAGTGTTCTCGGTTCAAAGTAATCAGCATATCAAAGCATCATATTTTGGGGTGGTATTTTTTTAACTCTTTCAGTGTTTTACTGCAATTTTGAAAGAAAATATAAATAACAACAATGTAGCACATTATAGTTACAAAGTACTTTCACATACATTAGCTCATGATTTCACAAAACAACCCATGAGGCCCAGCCCAGTGGCTCACGCCTTTACCCCAACACTTTGGGAGGCCAAGACAGGTGGATCGCTTGAGCTCAGGAGTTTGAGACTAGACTGTGGTGGCGTGTGCCTGTAGTCCAAATTACTTGGCAGGCTGAGATAGGAGGATGGCTTGAGCCCGGGAGGTCAAGGCTGCAGTGAGGTATTTCATGCCACTGCACTCCAACTTGAACAACAGAGGAAGACCCTGCCTCAAAACAAAAAGAAAAAGAAAAAAGAAAAACAAACAAACGGACAAAAACAACCTATGAGTTTAACAGAGCAGGTATTGGGATTATTATTTTCCTGTGTTTTTTTTTTCAAACAGAAGAGGTTCATATAGGTTAGGTAATTTGCCCAGTATCTCACAACTAATAAATAGTGAGTAAACTTGAACATATGTATGCTGAGTGCAAGAACTACTTTCCCAGTCCCTACCAAAGTTCTTTGGCACACAATTGGTGCTCAATACCAGGCCTAGAGGCATTACTTACATTACCTGTAAGTTATATGCTGTGTTTTTGGTAAATCTTTGAAAAATATCAAAAGGCCTATATGAGCAAAACTCTCTCACAGGACTCCCAGTGAAGCCTGAAAAATGACTTGACTAAGAAAATCCCTTTAAGAAACTAATTCCTCCTAAAATTGAAAAAATACTTTTATTGTAGTGATTTATTTAACCCATGACAATGTTACACAGCTTCTTACAACTTAACATTGATATATGTAGAGTCTATTTTTTTAGTCTATTTCTTAAAAGCTTATTCTTGATACCAAAATTTCACTGGAACACATGTTTGGCCAAAACTGGATTTAGAGAAGAATGTAAGGAACGGAGACTAGGACACAAGGCTTTTATCCTTGGAGACTGGAAACCCTAACCACTTCCAATGCTAATTTGAGAGTAGATCTGAAGCTGAAGTAGTGTTTGAGTCAGAAACCAAGAAACAGAATGCTGGGAAGGGCTTCCTATGGGAGAACACCAAGGATCAGTATCTGGACCAGAGGAATAATCTCAACATACGTATACATGGATAATTGTTGGGTAGGCTTCCCCTTGCTTGCATAGGATACAATCTGCTGATACTTTCAGATCTTGAACGATAAACTCCGTGCCATGGTAGAACTAGAATCATAAATATGCCTGTGCTAAGGTCATCCTTTCCAAGAATGAGAATACACCCCCAAATCACTCAGGACTCTCGTAATCTCTGACTATTTTCTGGTCAACTAACAGGGCAGGACACAATGTAAATTACCTATAGGAAAAATCTGCAATTGGGAATAAAAGTGGAGAGTGGAAAACATCAGATGCCCTTGTTATGAATATAAATGTAAAGAGGCTGGGAAGAGTAGGGAAAAGACAGGGATGGGGAGAGGTTCTTCAACAGGTACAAAGTTCCAGTTAGATAGGAGCAATACCTCTGGAGGGCTATTGCACAGTAGGGTGACTATAATTAACAGTAATGTATTATGGTTCAAAACAGTTAGAAGAGAGGCTTTTGAATGCTCTCATCACAAAGAAATGACAAGTGTTTGAGGTGATAGATGTGCTAGTTACCCTGGTTTCATTATTACACATTGTATACATTTACTGAAAAATCACACTATACCCCATAAATGTGTACAGTCATTATATGTCAATTAAAAACAAAATAAAACTCAAACTGAAATGTATATTTTTAAAGAAAATTTTGCAATAGTGGTGTTAGTAAAATTGTTAAATAATAAAAAATAAATGTAAAGGACTGTAAGCTTCTCAAGGTCAGGGATGTGTTTTCATCTCAGTTATAATTCCAGCACCTAGAGTAATGCCAGGCACTTCATTGTACACAGATTTTATTGTTGAAGATTATTTCACAGATCCATGGGAAAATTCAGCCAGCTGAAAGCAAATCAGAATTGGCAATGAAAGACAATCAATTGGAGTGAGGACATTGAATTGTCCTTAAGAGAACATTCTGTAAAGGTATGGAAAGGAAATTAAGATAAATATCTATGGACCTATCAATCCCTTACCAATTGACAGACCCACATATGTGTACATTTATGAGCTAAAGTAAATTATAGGTGATGGCAATTATGAAAAGGAAAAATGCTAGTATCAAGTATGATAGGTAATTTACGATTCAAGGAAATGTACAGCATTACAAGACAAGGATGTTCGCTTTCACCTTTCCTATTCAATATAGTCCTGGAAGTCCTAGCCAGAGGGGCCAGATAAGAGAACAAAATAAAAGGTATCCAGATTGGAAAAGGGGAAGTCAAATTATCCCTGTTTGCTGATGACATGATCTTATGTCTAGAAAAACCTAAGGACTCCACCAAAGGATTCCTAGATTTGATAAATAAGTTTAGTAAAATTGCATGCCACAAAATCAACATAAAAAATCAGTGGCATTTTTGGCTGGGCGCGGTGGCTCACGCCTGTAATCCCAGCACTTTGGGAAGCCGAGGCCGGCGGATTACAAGGTCAGGAGATCGAGACCATCCTAGGTAACACGGTGAAACCCCGTCTCTCTAAAAATACAAAAAATTAGCCAGGTGCTGTGGTGGGTGCCTGTAGTCCCAGCTACTCAGGAGGCTGAGGCAGGAGAATGGCATGAACCCGAGAGGCAGAGCTTTCAGTGAGCCGAGATTGCATCACTGCACTCCAGCCTGGGCAACAGAGCAAGACTCCATCTCAAAAAATAAGAATAAATAAATAAATAAAAATAATTAGTGATATTTTTATACATCAACAACGAGCTAGCTGAGAAAAAAATCCAGAAGCCAATCCCATTTACAATGGCTACAGAAAATAAATAAAATATCTGGGAATAAATTTAACTAAAGAACTGAAAGGTCTCTACAAGGAGAACTGCAAAACACTGATGAAAGAAATTGTAGATAAACAAGTGGAAAAACATCCCAAACTCACGGATTAGAAGGCTCAATGTCATTAAAATGACCATATTGTCCAAAGCACTCTGCAGATTCAAGGCAATGCCTATCAAAATGCCAACGTCATTTTTCACAGAATTAGAAAAAAAAACCATTCTAAAATTCATATGGAACCAAAAAAGAGCCCGAATAGGAAAAGCAATCCTAAGCAAAAAGAACAAAGCGGGAGGCATAATATTACCTGACTTCAAATTATATTACAAAGCTCTAGTAACCAAAATAGCATGGTACTGGTATAAAAATAGACACATAGATCAATGGAAAAGACTAGAGAACTGAGAAATAAAGCTATATATTTACAGCCAGCTGATGTTTGACAAAGCTGAAAAGAACATACATTGGGGAAAGGACACCTTTTTCAATAAATGATGATGGGGAAATTGGATTGTTATATGCAGAGTAATGAAACCGGATCCCTATCTCTCACCATATACAAATATCTACTCAAGATAGATTAAAGGCTTAAATGTAAGACCCCAAAGTATAACAACTCTAAAGAAGAAAAACTAGGGAAAATTCACCAGGACATAGAACTAGGCTAAGAATTTATGACAAAGACTTCAAAAGCACAAGTAACAAAAACAAAAATAGGTCGATGAAACTTAATTAAACTAAAAACTTCTGCACAGCAAAACAAACAAACAAACAAAAACAGAGTGAACAACACCTGCAGAATGGGAGAAGATCATTTCAAACTGTTCATCCTACATGGAAGTATCCAAAATATGCAAAAAAAAACATTGAATAGTCTTATTAAAAATTGGGCAATTACTTTGGGTGTCTGAGACAGGCAGATCACCAGAGGCCAGGAGTTCGAGACTAGCCTGACCAACATGGTGAAATCCCGTCTCTACTAAAAATACAAAAATTAGCTGGACCTGTGGCAGGTGCCTGTAATCCCAGCTAGTTGGGAGGCTGATGCAGAAGAATTGCTTGAACCTGGGAGGCGGAGGCTGCAGTGATCTTAGATCATGCCATTGCACTCCAGCCTGAGCAACAAGAGTGAAATGATTGGATAAAGAAAATATCTTATACAAATACAATGGAATACTATTTTGTCATCAAAAAGAATGAAATCATGTCTTTTGCAGGAACATGGACAGAACTGGAGGTCATTATCTCAAGTGAAACAAGCCAGACAAAGGAAGTCAAATATCCCATATTCCCACTCATTAGTGGGTGCTAAAAAATGGGTATACATGAATATAGAGAACAGAATGATAGACAATGAAGACTTAGAAGGATACAGGGGTGGGAGAGAGGTCGATGATGAGAAATTACTTAATCGCTTGAAATGTAAGTTATTTGGGCGATGGATACCCTAAAGCCCTGACCCGATCACTATGTAATCTATGCATGTCATACAATTCCACTTGAACCGCATAAATTTATACAAATAAAAAATAAATTAAAAATAAGAACATTGACTCAAGCAAAAAGCCAAAGTGGTGAAATGCATTTTCAAATATCATATTTGAGCTTGAGATTTGTATTCAGTTGCGTTAAAATAAAATTTAAATAGAATCATTATAGGAATCATTATGGATACAAGAGAAGTATAAATACATTGCCTTTTAGGAAAGCGAATGAAATTCTTAACAAGAAATAATTAGGAAAGGGTGGCAAAAGGTATGATGCAGACTGTACTTATCAAAGAAAAGAGGAAAATTAAGGTGGATCTAGAAACATTCATTAGGAAGAAATTTAAATTAAAATATTATTGTTGTCTCTCATTTTCCCAATAAACAGAACATAATTAAACACTATGTATTTGTATTTAGATTTAATAGATGTTGATATTTCCCATATATGTTTCAGAAACTTCTTTTCCCCAAATAAATAGAGTTGGTACATTATTACCATGGAAATCTTATAGCTACCTATGTAAATATATGATATCAGGAATCTTTAGAAAAATACAACATTTTTAGTTAAACATAGGAGAAGCCAAATATGTTTATTTAAAGTTTTGAGGCATTCTGTGAAGAATAAAAGATAAATACAGATAGAGATACAGATGATATGGATCTGTATAGTACTTCTTACTGAGCAGGGGCTTCCTCCTGGATGTTTGTAGCTTTGTAGACAAGAATCTTTCCAAAATGTTTTCTTGAAGCCCAGAACTTAAACTATAAATAAAGATGCTTCAGTTACATAAATTGTCATACTTTGAGTAGTACCAAAATAGTCTTAAAGAGGAATCCTGATCATTTTGGCAAAATGTCATGTGTTATTAAAATAATTTTTAAAACTATTAAACTTGATAGAACAAACTGCACAGTTAATGTCTACTTCAGGAGAGACCCTTACTGAGCATACAAAATTCCCTCATATTTTTTGAAGATTCCTTTATGGCTGAGATAAGAAGTCATTTGTTTTGCATCAAGGTTGAAAGGTAGACACACATAAGAGTGAACTCTGAATAAAAGCCATTTCCCAGGTGAAACATTAAATATGACAAGAATGTTAACAGCCAATAATAAAAAAGAGATCTTGTCATGCCACAGTTCAATAAAATGTTTGACACAGTTATTAGATCTAATCAAATATTGCAAGAAAAGAAATATGATTATGGTTTCAAGCAGGTATTGACATTGAGTCCTCCTTATCAATTTTTCTTAATTACAAAGAACATCAAGCTAGCAAACCAAACTGTTATACTCTGTTAATACAGCAAATTAGTCTTTCACCAGAAGGAAAAGACACTTCCACAAGAAATTTCACGTTGTTAGGTAAAAAATAAAAGAAATTGTGTGTCAAAACAGAGGAATTTTCTACATATTTCCTGGTGCAGAAGAGACACTAAGAATTAATCATTGCATTCAAAACAATATAACAAAAGTGACCCTAATGGAAACTCTTGTGGCTTTCATTTTCTTGTAATAAAATGTGATTACTCCTAACATTACTTCTTCTAACATATTTCACTCCATTTGTTTTGTTTTGAATTTTATTTTGATTTACTATTATTTTATGTAACTGAGGTATAGAAAGAAGTATTGCATCATAATTCAAATCATTCAGAGAGCCGAATAATATTTTTGTCCCCACTATCAATTAACTTCTTAACCTTGGCCATGTCACTTAACTTTAATGCACCTCAGTTTCCTAATATGTATATGCTATGAGGTTATGTTATAACATAATAATAATACTTTCTAGTACTATCAGTTTACATTTCAGTATTCTGCATTGATACTGTAAAAGTTCCCCGTATGAGATTCCAAGTTCTGTATTTCCAAAGATAATTTCTTTTATCTTCTGCCTGCTTAAATAGACAAGTGTTTTCTGAGAATTTTTAAACAGGGTTAAGAGAAAATAAGAATTAAAGATTACCTAGAAAAGTCAAAGTATTATATGTACAAACTAGTCTTTTGTCCCCCAAATTCATTAGGTAATTTACAATTCCATATTGCTTATTGTAAGCCCTACATCTTAGTCGCCTGCAAAATAATTCAAGTCTTCAGCACATTCAGAAAGCTATATATGCTTCATGCTGATTATGTCTATACTAGCAAAGTGAAAAATCAAAGCATTTATTTGTCCAATGAATTCTGTAAGCAATTAATATAGATAATATGAACAAAAAATTTAAAAGATTTCTTCTTCATTGAATGATTTTTGCTACTTTTAACAAATTATATGTTGAGATAAGCATTCATAATTTTCTCCAGTAGGGAGTATTTTGTAGTGTTTAAGGGTTTGAGTTTTGGAGTCAAACAAACTACTTTCAATTCCTGAAGTTCTGATTAGGTGTTGAAATTCTGGGAAGTTACTTTAAACTCTTTTTTTTCTTTTTTTTTGAGACAGCATCTTGCTTTGTCGCCCAGGTTGGAGTGCAGTGGTGCGATATCGGTTCACTGCAACCTCCACCTCTTGGGTTCAAGCGATTCTTCTGCCTCAGCCTCCCAAGTAGCTGGGACTACAGGCACACACCACCATGACTGGCTAATTTTTGTATTTTTAGTAGAGATGGGATTTCACCATATTGGCCAAGCTGGTCTCGAACTCTTGACCTTGTGATCTACCTGCCTCAGCCTCCCAGAGAGCTGGGATTACAGGCGTGAGCCACCGCACCCAGCCTGACTTTAAACTCTTGTGTTTCAGTTTCCTTAAGAATAAAATAACATTTAGATTCAATGGTTTAATCCATATAAACATCTTAAAACCAGGCCAAGCAGATGGAAAGCATTCAATAAACATCTATCATTATTGCTTCAAATTATTATATACTGTATTATAATAAAGGTAATATGATATCAAAAAAGTTATAACATAGAAACATATTATCTTTTATAATATTGTAAGAAACTTTTTTCAAATGTAAGAAGAGGTTGTATATGCAAGTTTAATGTCATTATAATCCTCTAGAATTTCTGTTCAAAATGAAAATCTGTTTGTAAAATAACTATTAAAAATGTTGGGCAACTGTTGTATTTGTATGTATCGTCTCTCAAAACTGATGGCTTATTTTTGCCTTCATATATGACATCCAAACTACCAGGAAAAAAAATTAGTCCATAATAAACCAGAAAGAAAAAGTATTCAAAATGAAATAAAGAGATAACAGCCTCTTAAGCATTCCTCGAAGCAAAAATAGCAATTTTTTTTAAAAAATTTATTTTTATTTTAAGTTCTAGGGTACATGTGGAGGATGTGCAGTTTTGTTACATAGGTAAACATGTGGCATGGTGGTTTACCGCACCTATCAATCTATCACCTAGGTATTAAGTTCAGCATGCATTAGCTATTTGTCCTAATGCTCTCCCTCGCCCTACCCCACACCATGACAGATGCCGGCGGGTGATGTTCCCCTTCCTATGTCCATATGTTCTCATTGTTCAACTCCCACTTATAAGTGAGGACATGCAGTGTTTGGTTTTCTGTTCCTGCATTGGTTTGCTGAGTATAACGGCTTCCAGCTCCATCCGTGTCACTGCAAAGGACATGATCTCCTTTCTTTTTTATGGCTGCATGGTATTGCATGGTGTATATGTACCACATTTTCTTTATCCAGTCTATCTCTGATGGGCATTTGGGTTGATTCCATGTCTTTGCTATTGTGAATAGTGCTGCAATGAACATATGCATGCATGTATCATCATAATAGAATGATTTATATTCCTTTGGGTATATACCCAGTAATGAGACTGCTAGGTTAAATGGTATTTCTGGTTTTAGATATTGGAGGAATCACCACACTGTCTTCCACAATTTACAATCCCACCAACAGTGTAAAAGTGTTCCTATTTCTCCATAACCTCACCAGCATTCGTTGTTTCTTCACTTTTTAATAATTGCCATTCTGACTGACATGAGATGGTATCTCATCATGGTTTTGACTAAAACAGCAACAATTTTTAATCAATGTTGTGTCAGTTCCTATCAAGGAAAACTATAGCTGCTACTCCTTCTACTTTCTGACATAAAGTTTTCACCTGTAAGAAGTGAAATGTAAAACTTCACCTTAACATCCAAATTCAACAATCAGAAGGTAGTTCACTGAAAATATAATTTTCAAAAAAGCAAAACAAAATTTTAAAAGGTTTCAAGTAGAAAAGATTTATGGTCTTAATATAAGGACACAGTTATCCAGGATTTCAACCTTTGATGAGAGAGACTTTCATGAATCTGAAAGAGTTTCTGTAGTATAAAGGATTTATGTCTGAATAGTTGCTATCTTCTCAAACCTCACTAACTATTGTTCTATGTTTTAATCATATTATCCTGGGTGAGATATGGTGAGGACAGAGGCAGATCAAGAAAAAGAAAGTGGAGTTTTACAGTTTTGTTACTTATGGTTCCCTGGGGAGAAAACATCATAAAGCACAGGCTTACCCAGGGGAAGCACCTGAGTTTGTCATGAGGCAAAGGAAAGTGCAAAATTGTGGGAGGAATGGGGTGAAGCAGGATAAACAGGCTTAGGATCGGCTAGTTATATTTGAGAGCATGATCCTGTGAAATGCCTAAGCACTGTTACTGTTACAGTACATGGTTTGGTGATATCTAACGTCTCCAGAGGTTTTGGAAGGAGCCAGTGTTTATATGGGAACAGTTTGTGGCCATTTTCTAGATATTAATACATCAGTTCATAGAAATTAAAAGTACAAATAATTCACTATGGGAGTAAATGTTACTCATTCATTGTTTACAGAGAAGTCCTAAATGACTAACTCAGAACAAAATTTATGAGGCACTTTTTTCCATATCCCACACCTCCCTATCAGTCATGTCTCTATTTCTTCCATAGGTCACTGATCACTACCTCAGGATATATAATTTTTGTTGCTGTTCCTTCTCCTCCTGGAAGATGTCAATAGAACAAGTAAATTAGATCAAAATAAGAGTAACTTGTTACCTTTCCCGAGGAAGATTTAATTCTACAAGAGGGTGTAAGACAGGAGTTCTCAAATTTGGCTGCACTGTCGAATCACCTGTAGAGCTAGAAAAATGACTTAGAGGGTGGCACTTCTGGAAACTGATTTAATTTGTCACAGAAGTAGCCTGAGTGCTGGGATTTTTAAAAACCTCCCTGGATGATACCAATGTATAGTGGAGGTTAAGAACCGTTAGTCTAAAGCAATAATGTCCATGCTATTGCTTATACTTATTTTTGTTAATTGATGTCCCATTTTGATTAATACATAAACTGATCTCACAGAAGTTTGTGATATACCATTTTGAGGATCAATGGACAAGGGAAAGGACGGTGTTTTACAGAAATAATATTTTACCACTGGATGTGTTTTTGGCACTGCTGAGAAAATTTTTTTACTCCTGATAGTGCCCTTTAGATCATACCAGAGAAGTCACAGATGAGATTAATTCAAATTAGTTTTGTTTTGGCAAGAAGATAAATGGTGTACTAGCACTCCTTTCTACAGTGAGGCTTGTGAAACTCATTGTAGCAGATTTATGTTGAATCTGTTTCCACACAAATTTGTGAAATAGATTTGTGAAATACAAAGTGAGCAGATTTGAGTGGAATCTGTTTTGCTGCCTTGAAGATCTGCCTTTGCAGTTCAGCCATATGTAGAAAGGGTTGTTTATTCCTCTCTCACTCAACTAGAACTTTACAGTGGCACCTTCAGTCATTTCCTATTGTTGTCTGTCTTAGAGGATTTTTTTAAAAAGCTATAAGGATAGCCCCTTCCCTTCCAGAATTTACAACCAACTGGATAAGGATGATACATATTAATAAGGTTGTTAAGTAGTAACATGTGGATATAAATAAATGTGCCAAAATGAGTAATTCAGAAAATCTGTGTCTTAAATCAGAGTATTTTTGTCTTGGTTAACAAAATCCAGAGATATACAATTGAGGAAGAAGGAACTAAAATAAACAAAAACCTCACTCTAGCACAATCATTAGCAAACTACAGCCAGAGGACCAAATGTGGCCAGCTACTTGTTTTGGTATGGCCTTTAAAACAAGGATGATATTTACATTTTTAAATAATTTTAAACAGAAAAGAAAAATAAAATTTCACATTAAAATTATCCAAAGTTCAGGCCAGGCACGGTGGCTCACGCCTGTAATCCCAGCACTTTGGGAGGCCGAGGCAGGTGGATCACGATGTTGTCAGGAGATCGAGACCATCCTGGCTAACACGGTGAAACCCCATCTCTATTAAAAATACAAAAACTTAGCTGGGTGTATTGGCACGCACCTATAGTCCCAGCTACTCATGAGGCTGAGGCAGGAGAATCACTTGAACCCGGGAGGCGGAGGTTGCAGTGAGCTGAGATCACGTCACTGTACTCCAGCCTGGGCAACAAGAGTGAGACTCCATCTCAAAAAAAAAAAAAAAAAAAATCTGAAATTCAAATTTAAGTATTCACCAAAAATTGTACTGGAAGACAGACACACACATTTTTGCATTTCAAGAATTAAGCAGTTGTGACTGAGACCATGTGGCTCAGAAAGCCTACAATATTTACTGCTCTTTACAGAAAAAAAAAAATCCTGCCTTCTTTTTCTTTAGAATTTTTAAACCTGTAAAATTGTATAAGTAAAGTGAAAGGTTGCCCAGTTTGTGAAGTTGGGGTGATAGTAAAGACAAAACTTGGAGGCTGGGAAGAAAGGAACCTGGCTACAGTGAAGTTGGTTTGTTTTAAGTTTTGGTTTGCATGAAAGCTAAGGTAGTATACATTCATTTAACAACAATTTTTCAAATGCTTAGTCTGCTTACACAATATGCTGAATTGTGAAAGTTTAAAGAAAACATACATGCCCACATGGAATTCGTATAATCTTGAAGGAAAGATATATGTGCACACAACTAATTAAATAAATATTAGTTTAATTTATGCTGAAAACACAGTTTAAAAATTGGAAGCTAGCACCTACTGATATCTGACACATGCCTTGGCATACATTCTTTTGTCTTTATTTTCAAGCTTAGGAACATTTATTCTCTGACATTGTTAATTTCCATAACACTAGCCTCACTGCTTTGATTCACATGACACTCCTTTTAAAATCTGCCAGTGAGAGCCATTCTCATCTCACGGGTAATATACAAAGGATTATATCAAGGCATTCTGTATTTGTTTTAATATTAAAATATTTTATGTTTCTTTTTAGATTAATGTAAAATACTAGAGTTTGAATTCTTTATTACGTCTGTATTCCTCATGTGATATTTATGTAAGTGTTAAGTACATGTCACTGTGATGCATTCTGGAAAATAATTTAAGTGGTATACTTGTTAAAATATCAAAAGCATCTAGATCAATCTGGGAAGCTTTTATAGAGGAAATTAATGGATAATGAAAATCAGAGGAGTTCACCAGATGGAGATATGGGAACTGAAATAGAGTAAAAGCTTTTCCATTCTATCTTTCTTGATAAAAGTTCCCTTTCCTTATTATGAAAGTAGGTGAACTGAATTAAGAGAAATCAGAAATAATATTATAATATGGAAAAGGACGTAGGCCACATAGGCTTCTGGAAATTCTTACATGATTGCAGAGAGATTGAGACATTTTGGTTTTGCTTCCTTGATAACAGTTGGCATTTCATATAAAAGAAAACCTTTTAGGAATCCACAGGTTAAATCGACCTTTGTCTTCATCAAATGAAGCCCCAGATGTTCATATATATGGGAATATGGGAGAGGGACATGGTAGCAGAAAATCATGAAGTCACAGATGTGGTTCCAAATAGAGAGTAATCACCTTTGTTTATCAGGGTATAGTGTGGAGCAGTTGGGAAATGTTTTACAGGAGAAAAGAAGCCTGATCACCCTGCTTATTACAGTTTATCCTTGAGAAAATTAATGTATCTAACACTTTGTTCTTTCACTATATATCATGATAAAATTAACTAATTCACAGATACATTGTAGGAAAGATAGTATGATAAGTAGACAAAAAGATATAAGGGGAAAATCAATAGATGTAGTGCTTGGATATATGTCATGATAGAGTGCAAACAGCCAAAGAGGACTGGACATTTGAACCTGGGATAAAGGGAGAATGGTGGTGCAATTAATGAAGCTTTTTGAGCTCATTTAAAGAGATTAACTCTCTCCATTAAGGCCATATATACTGCATTGCTCTGTATGCTGCCATGAATTCATGCCATGCCACATAATATGAGGTTGTTTTTCAGTGAATCACAGTGTAAATCATTTTCTGCCCTTATTACATTGATAACTTCACTTCATCTCATGTACAACAGCTCCTTAGAAACCTGCTGTTACTTTGTTGAAGCTGAAACCAGTACAGTCAACTTATGCTGTACCTCTTTTCAATATCAGTACAATGGCTACATTCTAGGACTTTGTTGGTGTTGCTTTTCATCTTTGATCTCTTGATTCTTAGGAGGAGATCATAGGTGGCATTGATATCAGAAACTGAGACATGATCTCCATAGCAAGTCCACTGTTGTGGCTTAGGGAGCTTCAGTGCTTCATAGGATTTTTAATTTGTTTTAAAGCTACACGTCACAGTGACACATTACTCTCTCAGTCTGCTGAAGGACATATCGGACACACTCTTATTTATTTCTCACTTCTTTTCTGACTATGGTTAATAAGGAACAATTCTAATTGAGCACAGCTCTTTGATCCCTTGCAGCATATTGCTTTGAAAGAGTTTATTACAGCTGTTAAAAAGGAGCCATAAAAATACAGATCCTAATAAAATATCTTATTTGATTAAACATTAGGGCAGGAATTGTTCAATAGCTGTTCATACTTGTTTTTCCCATAAAGTCATTCTTGGATCTCAGATTTCACAGGATGTAGCCAATTTAATAAAAAAGAAATTATGGGTAGGGAGGCATTGGACACTATTATTGTGATTAGGATCAGCAAAGAATGAAATGCTCCAGCTGCAAATGCTGATAATGAATGTTTATATTCAATGCCCAAAAACATAGCCAGTTTTAATTTTATTCAAATAGTTCAAAATGGGGTAGAACTCAGTAAAATAGCAAATTGTTGCAATGGGCAAATAGAACAGGTGTTCAAGGTGTTTAAACTGGATGCAAGCAGCCAGTAGGTATTTTGGAGGAATATGTGCTGGTGGCTAGGTGTCTGTCACTGGACTGGTTTTTCTATTGTTATTATTATACTTTAAGTTTTAGGGTACATGTGCACAACATGCAGGTTTGTTACATATGTATACATGTGCCATGTTGGTGTGCTGCACCAAAGAAATACCATTTTGACCCAGCCATCCCATTACTGGGGATATACCCGAAGGATTATAGAACATGAGCTGTAAAGACACATGCACCCGTATGTTTATTGTGGCACTATTCGCAATAGCAAAGACTTGGAACCAACCCAAATGGACTGGTTGTTAAGGAAAGACATATAGCCCTCAGGGAAGGAATAGAAAACTGCTAATGTAAGTAAGGGACTGTGGTACTAGATAGCTTGAAATTCATAAATAGTGATTTAGAAATATCAGGAGCATAAATGGAAGAGAAAATAATCTGTTTAGGAACCTGGGAAAGGGACCAATGTGAAAGAAATAGGGCAAATGGGAATTGCAATATTATCTCCCTGGGAGATATCATTTACTCTAATGATTGAGGCTACCACGTCTATCAAGATTGGAAAACAAAATGACATTTTCTCCAACATTCTCAATATTGCAGACATCAAAAATAAATCATGTGCTTTTTCCTATTTATCCTAGACCCAGCACCATAATTCTGCACACATTATTCCAGATAACTGTCACAAATAACTTTGGTTTACAAGTGAAGCTTTCTTAATATTTCTGATATGTACATATGTACATATAATAAAGGTAGGTAAATAGATAATCAGATAGATAGATAGATAGATAGATAGATAGATAGATGGATAGATAGATGAAAGAAAAATGCACATACACATGTATATATACTTCCACAAAACTACAACTAGTTGAAATTTAGATTTTTGAAAAAACATAAGCAAATTATATTTTATATTTCCTTTCAAGATTAACTATCATTTTTCCCTAACAAAACAACGAAATAACTACAGACACATCCTTAACTCATATTTCTCCTTATTTCACAATTCCATCACTAACCAAATTCTGCTGATTCTCTTTTAGAATGCTATTACTCCCTGCATCTGAATTATTATAAGAGCTGCTGATCTTGCACTCTTCCAAACAGGTTTTACCTGCTTCTCAGCATCCTAAGTGTTATCAGTCAATGTTACTTACATGTCCATTTTAAGCAGGCTCTGCCTATCTTTAAAGCATTCATTGACTCATAATTTTAAAATGGATAAAATCTAAACTCAGTATCATAAAACCATAATTTAACCTTCAACCTACCTTTCTGCCTAACCAAAATCTCTCTCTCTTTCTCTCTCTCTCTCTCTCTATATATATATATATACACACACACATATGTATATATATGCACACATATATACATATGCTTATTAAGCTGATAAACAACTTTAGCAAAGTCTCAGGATACAAAATCAATGTGCAGAAATCACAAGCATTCCTATACACCAAAAACAGACAAGCAAAACCCAAATCATAAATGAACTACTATTCACAATTGCCACAAAGAGAGTAAAATACCTAGTAACACAGCTAACAAGGGAAGTGAAGGACGTCTTCAAGGAGAACCACAAACCACTGCTCAAGGAAATCAGAGAGGACACAATCAGATCGAAAAACCTTCCGTGCTCATGGATAGGAAGAATCAATATTGTGAAAACGGCCATACTGCCCAAAGCAATTTACAGATTCAATGCTAATCTCATTAAACTGCCATTTTTCTAACTATTGACAGAATTAGCAAAAAATATTTTAAAATTCATATGAAACCAAAAAAGAGCTCACATAGACATGACAATCCTAAGCAAAAAGAACAAAGCTGGAGGCATTAGGCTATCCGACTTCAAACTATACTACAAGTCCACAGTAACCAAAACAGCATGGCACTGGTACAAAAACAGGCACATAGACCAGTGGAACAGAATAGAGAATTCAGAAATAAAACCACACTTCTACATTCATCTGATCTCTGGCAAATATGATGAAAACAAGCAATGGGGAAAGGATTCCCTATTCAATAAATGGTGCTGGGAGAACTGGCTAGCCATAGGCAGAAAATTGAATCTGGATCCCTTCCTTACACCTTATACAAAAATTAACTCAAGATAGATTAAAGAGTTAAATGTAAAACCCAAAACTATAAAAACCCTAGAAGAAAGTCTAGGCAATACCATTCAGGACATAGGCATGGGCAAAGACTTTATGATGAATTCGCCAAAAGTAATTGCAACAAAAGCAAAAATTGACAAATGGGATCTAATTGAACTAAAGTGCCTCTGCATAGCCAACGAAACTATTATCAGAGTGAGAGTGGGAGAAAATTTTTGCAATCTATCTATCTGACAAAAGTCTACTATCCAGAATCTACAAGGAACTTAAGCCGATTTACAAGAAAAAAACAACCCCATTATAAAGATGGCAAAGAATATGAACAGACACTTCTCAAAAACAGTCAAAAGTCTTATAATAAACTTCCATAAGATTTGCATGTCAATCCCAAGAAGTATTTCACACATGTACACCTCTCAATATACTTTGAAAACATATATGAATATAGTATTCCTATTTCTCATTTACCAAGATACCTACTAGAAGCATTCCCAATTAAATCAAAATAAGAGGAAAGTTATCAGCATTGAAGCTAAGCTGTGCTATCCAGGTCTTAATTATTTTCTTCAGGGCAAAAATGCAGGCAAAAAAAATTACCTGCCATCTGATACAATGACCCAAATCATAAGGTGTGTGTATTTTCTTTTTTGCATGACCATATACATTTAAAACTTTTTTTTTTTTTTTTAAAGATAGAGTCATGCTATGGTTGCCTAGACTGGAGTGCAGTGCTAATTCACAGGTGAGATCACAGCACACTGCAGCCTCATCTCCTGGCAGCAAGAGATCCTCACACCTCAGCCTTCAGAGTAGCTAGGACTGCAAGTGGGCACCACCATGCCTGGGTTTACATTTATATATTACACAAAATGACCAAAGCAGGAAGCTGTCCTTAGCAGACCCTCTCACCATGCCTCTCTCTCTCTCTCTGACATCATTATAGCACCACATTTTTACTGGGAGATAGCACACTGACAACAATCCCTTCTACATTTTTCTTTTTCCGTTCTCTTCTGTTTGCCATTTCTTTTACAAATAGTTTTTTAGGTTTCTATATTTAATGTACTCTACTCTCCTGTGACCAAAGTATGTGATAGAAGAAGAAATAGTTCATAAAAGAAAAAAACAGTTTGAACATACCACACATCATTTTAATTTATTTTTTTAAAATCTCATTACTAGAAATGTAGTTTCACCCACCCCTTAAGTCAACATTCACCATCTATGGTCACTACTACCTAGAGGTCACTGGTCCAGGGACTCTAACTGTGTGCCTAAACACCTAATAATACATATTATCCTAACAGATAATATATATCCTGAAATTTTTAGCCCCTGTTTACACAGAGAAGTTATAATCACTATGTGACAGTTAAGGTATTATGTCCTAGACAGATTTTCCCCAGATGTACTGCATGAAATTGACATTTTGAAGTTTTTTCAGCAGGATATAAAGATTTTCTATAAATGGAAATTTTCCATTTCATAAATGACATTCTAAATGTTATAATTGGCTTATATAGGTACCAGATGAGAACTTTTTCATTCTAATGTGAGAAATAAGGAAATATGTTAAAATAAAATCTCTAATTTTGATGGGTGGTTTTCTTATTCATTAACATTGTTTTCCACTAATGAAATATAAAAGTATTTTATATTTGTATAAAAAAGTATTACAATTTATAAATATTATTCTTTTTCTATACTATCCCTTATCTCCAACCATCAGAAAAATGTAACAAATTAAATTCATTGGAAGAGGCCTTTTCACTTGTGTATATAAGAAACAACAGTAGAGAAGAAAGTTCAGGTAATGATTTGGTAAAAATGCACAGGCTTTTATCTATAGTATTTAGTAGGTGTCCCTAATTCTTTTACAAATCCTACTGAGAAGAAATTTAGCTCAAAATTAGTAATAGTAGTCTCTTTTTTTTCTTGTATGGTTTAGCTGACGTATCGCTGAATGTTTGACTCTCAACAATTCCCCTTCTTAGGGAAGCCTTGATTTACAAGGTTTGCTTATGCCAGTGGATCCGCCCCTCTAAATGCCATTGCTGATTGATGCGAGAATAGATGTCTGACCCAAGCTAGGACAATAACATACATTTTCTTGGATATTTGAATCTTGAAGAAAAGAGAAAAAAACTGAAGGTAATAGGATCTAGGCACATTAAAGACAGCATAATGGAAATTGTGTCCATATGATTCTTGTTGCTGAGATAAACAGGGTTATGCTAATACCTACACTGCATACATCTTGATTGTTCAGTTCTTTCCACTTTCTATGCCACGGCTCCCAGCACCCATTCAATATTTGTTTTACTCTGTTGTTTAACATAATGAGACTAATTTTTCTTTATTAACACAGTGACACTAAATTTCCACTTCTAGTTACCAAAAAGAAAAAGTAGTCATATTTTTAACATCAAGGATAAAAACTTTTTTATAATTGCTATTTGTTTTGCTTTACAGGGTGAATATTGGTAAAAATCTGTCTATATAAAGAAATAAACCCCTGAGGATGTCCAAGTATCACTTTGTAAGATCTCCTAGAATCATGTAATATTTATTTTAATAACACTCTATCTTATAAATAAGATAGCATTTTTTCAGGCCTTTAAATCCAAAACATATTTCTCTGTGGACCTATTGAATTTTTGTTTTTTACAACATAACTTGACATATATTCTAGACAACTTCAAATCAGAAATCCATACCATTATTATTTTACATAAATTTTCTACTATAATTATTTTCACGGTGCGTGCTGAGCTGAAATTATTTCCTTTCATCACGATTTCTGGAAATAATTAAATTATGTCTTGCTATAGTAACAGCAATACATTTACTTAATGTAAACATACTATTATTTAAATTATTGATACATGAAACCAGCAATACCCCTTTCTGCATATTGCCATGCTTAAAACTTTTAGCGTGTTTTATGTTGCTGATGCTCAATCCTTCTCCCTCTTTCTTTCTCTCTCTCTCTCAACTCCTTAATCTGTTTTATTTCTTAGGAAGAATTTTACTATTGCCAAACAAGATCATTCTCTCTCTTTTCACAGATTTCCAGTTCCATATCTTTTTATCAGCCAGTTTCTCCTCCAGAGTTCTTCAAAGGCTTATCTTGTGCATTAAACCTTCAGACAACTTTCATTATACCATCTCTCACAATGCCTAATTGTAGAATTCAGGTTTAATTAATTTTTAAATAGTATTGGAGCATGCAAGTGATAGATGATGACTGTAAAACATCTAAAAAGTAGAGAGACAGTAAAATGAATAAGTGGACAAAGTCTAAGTAAATCATAGAGAAAATGAAACTCTCACAAGCACATCCCACCAGAGATAAGAACTGTTAATAGTTTGGTATAATTTCTATTCACAGTAACTCACTAACTTTCCATGCCTCTTGAAGCTTGGTGGATCCGTGTGACACAATTCTAATCAAATGGGTGGGAGCAAATGTTTTTCTTCTTGTGCATTACCCAGAAAATGAGTGAGTACCTCCTCCCCTGATTTTTTTCCTACTTCCCCCATCAAGGAATCAGTGAGAACTGTTTCACAACTTTGACTCTCAAAATGGAAACTTCATGGTAAATATGGAAACGTTACTCTAAAAGCTCTGAATTATCTACCTCTGGACTGTTTTAGAAAGAAAAGAAAATCTATCTATCTATCTATCTTGCATAAACTGTTATATTTAAGGTCTCTTTATTATAAAAGATTGGACTATATCCTATCCAAACCAGAAATTTGTACTGGAAGTAGCCTGCTGTTCTCACAAAACCCTAAAATATATGGCACTGGCTTAGCAGTAATCAGGAGGACACTGTAATTATGGGTTGGAAGTTGCTTGTGATAACTTGAGAAGCAGACTGTGCCAACAAACAAATAATAACAGACCAAGCCTGGGTTTTCATATAGACAAAAAAAAAGCACAGTAAAATGCTGGAGAAAGGAAAAGCCGAGCACAAAGACCACTAAATAAGTGAAAGACTTTAAGTTGAAGAACTATATCCAGACATAATTTGCATCGATGACTCCTTACCATGGAAATGAAAGAGAAAGCAAATTGAATGCATCTACTAAGTTATCGAGGAATTTTTGCTGCCACTGAAAGCACAAACTAGCCTGAAATGCACGTAATTGTTCAACTCCTCAAGCAGCTTCTATGTCCCCAAACTGAACAAGCTGTGCAGCCCTCAGGAGAACACATTTTCCAACACACTTCAGATATGGTCACAGAAGAAAATGGCAAAAGACACCAGAGACGAAAATGCACAAAGGGCTTTCTCTAGAGACAAGAACAAGAACTAACCAAGGACATTTTGCCCTGCCAACGCTTGCTCACAGGATTTCGTTATTGCTGTGGGCAAGTGACTGCTCTGTATTTCCCTTTATTCTCTTTTCTGAATGATATTTTAATTGAAGTTATCCCTGTCTTTCTCCATTACCGTTAAGTGTGTGTGGGGAGGAAGCAAGTAATTTTTCTATTAGTTTATAGGTCACCAAAACACCAGTAAATCCAGACTGACTTAATGGAGAGAACCAATCACCATTCAGAGGTCTGGCACTTTCAGCTAAACGACACTACTGGATGTGGCTTTGGTTGCCATCTATGGATGTGATTATGTGGGTTCTATGTGTGGAAAAAGGGATACAGATGGATATTAGGGTTGCCACAGAAATGGATTAAGGAATAGACTAATAGTCGTCCCCTCATACGTATTCATCCCTTCTTTAATGACAGAACTCCTCAGTTTTAGCTAGTGACATCTGCACACAGCTACGGTTTCCACTTCCAGACTTCCTTGAGGTTTTGTGTGGACACGTGACAAAATTTTAACCAACAAAGAATGAGCAGAAGTGATAACGCCACTTCCCAGTTATACTTCTAAAATGTTGTACAGACTCTTCTGGCTCATTTTCCTTTCAGCTGACTGAGATGATGTATATAGTAGCAACCACCCGACAGTCTGAGATCCAAGTATCATGTTAAGAATGGTAAGACACCGAATCAGCTCCAAATCACTTACCTTCGAGCAGTATCATGACAGAGAAATAGATTTTAGGCTTTTCTCTCTTGCTTAGAACATATGAACCTGTAATCCAATACAGCAGTCTTCTCCAAGTTTTTATCATCAATTTCCTAAACCAACATACAAAATTAATCTTAATGCTAGGGTAACATATGAGTTTTCCCCATTAGAAAATAGATGAGTATAAAAGGTTGGAATGTTTATAGACTTTGGTTGTTGTTCTTGTCACGTACACAATTAATGTTATGCTAACATATAGGTTTACACTCATTATTTAACTTTACAGTCTTCCAAGTTATTAATGAAATATTTCTGGCACCTTATTCTGCATATCCAATAAAAAACAGAAAAGTGGAAGTCATTGAATGGAGATTGGCTTTTGTGGAAATATTTTCTTGGTCATGAGATGATAACAGTACAGATCACTGGTTGGTCATTTATGGAGTCTTTGGAGCCAAGGGACAAACAATATGGGAGAGGAAGGACATGTCTTCTTACAGGAAATTAACCTTGCTATTTCTTGAGGCAAAGCATGGAAATTAGCAATCTCTTTCACCTTTTCTTTTGAAATTATAGTTAATAAAATTTCTTCTGAAACTGATTGCCCTGTAACCCCAGTGTGTTATGTGGTGAGTTTTTATTTTTCTTCTTCTTCGAGTCCATGTATTTTAATGGGAAATTGGGAGCTATAAGTTTGTTTGTCTTCCTTGCTGTAAAAGGAGATTAACTGAGGAGAAAGTTTTTATTCGCCTTGTTTTAGCACTGTCTTCTTATCCAAGAACAGAACCTGACATAGAGTAAGTCCTCAATAAATACTTCCTCACTGAAAAAAATTGAATGAATGAATGAATCAGTCAGGCAATCAATCAATTACATAGTTTAAGAACTATTCTACTATCTACTAAGGTGGATATCACTTTAAATTCTAGAGAGTCCTTCTTTATATTTTAATTTTGAGTTGCCATCATATACACTGTAAACAAAGTTAAATAAGTAATATGAATTATTCAGAAAATCAGAGTGTGGAAAGAAGGTATTTTCACTATAACAAAAATAAAGGCAATTTTATCTGAAATTCCAAAAGAACTTTCCACATTGACCAAATTTAATGTACAGTTGCTCATCATCATGTATCCCTTTACTGATCTTCCACTAAACATTTTTAAAGTGAATATTAGATAACAATATTCTTACCTTGCAAATAACATAATTTTATAGGTAAGATCTGAGGTTTGTTATATTAGGTTTTTTTCCTTTCCTTATGCTATAGTGAAAAACCTTGAACACAACCTCACAACTACCTTACACAAGTTCATATTGAATGCAGACAGTACAACCCAATATTAAGCACTTCTAACCTAACTTGGTCTCCATCTGTCCTGTAAGTCATCTCCACAGCCAGAAGTATGAGTAAACAAACAGCCCTTTAAGGAATGCTCTCCAATTTCATTGATTTTGGCTTTATCAGCCGGACAAATGGAGGTAAGTTTAAAGCTAATGGATCTTCAAAGAAATATTTCCCATTCCACTGTTCCTTAGATGCCAACATTCAAAACACTGGAGGGAAAGGCAGCCTAAGGCTCAGGTTGGAGGGCAGCATTTGTTACCAGAGAAAGGAAGTAGTAGGAGATGTTCCTTAATGATTATCTCCTTAACTAAAATCTTTTATCCATGTCCAGCTTGAGTCATTTGCTCATAAGACATTGTGATAATGCACCCTTCTGATCCACACTAAATATTGAAACAGGTCAATCTGTCCACATTAATCACAGTCTTTTGGTTTCAACTTCTCGAAATTTTGGCATTTTGTCATCAACTGTGTCTACGAAATATTAAAACAGTTATGTACTCATACAAATTAAAAGACAAACTAATACACATTTACAATTATTAAAGATCAAAAGTATTAAACCTTGGATTGAATTAAAGAATTGGGATTTACGATTGCCAGACTTGAGGTCAGGAACGTCTCATTTAATTTAATGGTATCCAGTAACTTTCATTTTTATATAGACCACAGAGACCTTTCAAGCATCACATTGGTGTAAGTAGAGAAATATACTCTTTAACTACAGTATTCTCTATAACCTTTTGTTCCTTCCTATGGACAGCTCTCAGTGGTGTCTGCAGGTTTTCATTCAGCACTGACCTCAGGACAAATCACTGTTAGCCGAGTTTGTCTGCGGCACCTCAGCATTCTCTCTTTGCCCTCTTTTTATTTTCCCTTTAGCCTTAGGCCCTCAGAATGTGCAGTTTGTCTATCAAAACCTGTTCTTAAGAAATGATCAGAAGCATATTCACATTAAAGAATATCTAACCAATAGCCATTTCAAATACGATGTATTTCCAAGTAACTTTGAATTTAACTGTACCAAAGTGAAAAACAGCAAGTTTGTACGAAAGCCCCTACAGTGGAATCTCAGTTCTCAGCAAATTTCATTCATATCCTTTCAGATCCTCTATCCCTTGCCCTTTCATCTGGTGGAAGAGATAGCCAAGTGTTTGTTTGGAGTGTGTGAGGGCATGGTTTGTCTATGTACTCATGTGTATGTGTGTTTGGAGGATGTGATGTATAAAGATTGTGTGTGTGTGTGTGTGTGTGTGTTGGGGGTATCTGCTTTTGCAGAGTGTGGGGCATGAGGGTGGTGTGTGTATGTGAGTGTATGCATGTGTGCACATGTGTATTTAATGTTACTGCTAACACGAAGGTAGGGCTTCTTGGACATTTGCAATCACACCATGTAGAGTCACCACATTTATACATAAAGCTACTTCTGTTTTTATCTACATCCTGAAAAAATAGTGAAGAGAATATTTGAGCAACATTCTACATTAGGAAAGATATTGAAAGATGATGAGCAAGTGCACACAATTCTTGAAGGTTGAACTCCTTCTTCAACTTATCCTACCATTTATACTTTCTGATTTTCTTATTTTATGTTATCAGGTCAAAATCTTGTGTAAGAAAAAAAATACAACTTTGTTACCTTATATTTTCACTGTCATTGAAACTCACTTCTTTTAGTAACAGATTCTTGGGAATACTCGATTGCTCCACACAGTTCAGGTGAAAAAATTTGCCCCCACTTCTCTAAAACTACATTTGAACGATCCAGTTCATCTGTGAAGTAGTGGAGCAATCTGCAGGACACTTTCCTCCCAGTCCGGACTTTCTTTACAAAGGAATCCCCTAGTGAATGTGTCACCAAGTTATTTCTAGTTGGTGTGTGTGTGTTCTGGGGGCTTTATCAGCACAAGCAGCAGCAGAAATGCTGATACAACTGTCAGAGAGGAGGGGAATGTTGCAGGAATTGTGAGAAGTTAAATGAGAGACTGGCAGCTCTGTCGGCTCAGCGTTCATCTCAGAAATGAGAGGAGGCTTAATCTGCAGGCATGTTTATGATTTTCTTATTAGGTGTCACAGGCAACTCAATCCCTTCCAGAATATAGGAACAATATGGAGAGGTAGGTATTAAAATTTTAACCAGTAACAGCTGAGATAAAAAATATAGACAGATGACAGAGAAGGAAGAGCACAGTAGAAAGTGCTTTAAAATAAACCTGAATTTAAATCTGTGGTTGTCCACTTGCAAACCTGAATTTAAATCTGTGGTCTTCCAGTTACAGGATGAGAAACCTTGGGCAAATTATTAACATCTATTATAATAGGCTCAGTTTTTTTTAAATCTGGAAAATGGGCATAAATTTTTTTATTTTATATAGCTATTATGAGACATATACGATGTAATATGTATAAAGAACAAACCCAGGCATTTGTTCTTACAAGGCTTTTGATAAATGGTTGGAAATTGATATTTGAATACCACAAGTTAGCTTTGAATATCCTACTTAATTGCTCTCCACAGTGCTTGTTTTTACTTCTATTATCAGAATAATTATTAGCCTTTGTTCATTTTTGTATGTTTTTTGTCTGTTCCTCAAATTCTATGACTTACTTATGTTTGTAACTGTAACCAGGCTCTACTGTAATATTCTGAGTATGGTAATACAAATAACAGACAAATTTTAGCGGATGTTTCTTATTTGCCAGACATTCTTCTAAATATTTTAAATTAAAGGTTTTAATTCTCACAAGATTTTTATAAGTTAGTTACTATTGTTATCTTTATTTTGCTGAATAGATGCTATCTAGGTTGTCTATTGTCAGAGAATTAATATATTTCAGAGCCAGCATTCCAAACATGGGTATCGGAGTTTAGACCTCAGCTATTGACTACAATGCAGTTATATTAAAGAAAAGAGAACAGGAGGGAGAAAAGATCCAAATAAGGTGGCAGGGTGCCACCCAGTGATAAAGCCTTAGAATAGCAGTGGATTAACCAGAAGTCTGGAGAGAGGCAAGTAAATCATATGACGAACCCCAGGAAAATGCTCTAGTGCAAGAGGTAGAATTGCATTTGGTGTCACTGAGACACTGAACCATCAATGGAGGTTATAAAAATTTGAGGAATACCTGGTTTATTTCACTCGCTTATTGAGAATTTATACCTGGAGCACTGATCAAAACTAACTGATGAAAAAATAATTAAAAATAAATTGAAAAGATAAACATTTTACATCCAAAATACTTTCAACATTAACAAAAATGCATTTTAAAAAGCTGACAAATACATGTTCCCGGCATCTGACTTGAATGAACTACTGCACTACAAAGCTTCATTATCTCTGAGCTTTATGGCTGTAGGAAACATTTTGGGTAATATATGTAATTCTTCATAAAAATCTGTATTAATATTCTTTAGCATTGAACTCTGAGAAGAATTTAATATGTATTTAATAACAATGGAGAAAAGTATGTGTCAATGAGAATGAGACCTCTGTAACAGTAAAGTGATCAAACACTAAAATCCTGAGCTGCCACTGTAATTAGGGAAGTATTTAGTAGTTTTACACATTTGACTGTTCATCAGGAAGTTATTTTTTGCTCAGGTACAATCTTGTAGTTATTATTTTATCCAAAAGCCAGAGGCTCATGAAAGTCTTGTGAGCACCATGGTCTTGGTGGGACACTCCTCAATGTGCATCAAGAGCATGAACAAGAGAGAAAACTGACAGAATCAAAAAAACAAAAACAAAACCAGAGAGGCCCTTTTCAGATACTATGTAAGTAACAGTGTTTTTTAAATGCAGCACTCTTGAAAAAGAATATGTAATGGATAAAGTAAGATTTATTCGTTATTAGTTATAAGGACATTGTTATGTAAAAAGACCCATTTACTACAATTGGCACAGTGCTAGAACATGAAACATCCTGAAGAGGATAAGCAACTGCAAACTCCACTGCACCACACAAATACCTTACTTCACCACCCCCCAAATGTGTTTACTTACCCACCACAAAACACATTTTATCTAAGAAGGCTTCCCTTAACTATAATGGTGCTAACGCTAAATGTAATACTGTAGTTGTTATTCCAGAGTCTAAGTCTAGTCATCATCAATTCATCCTTCTGCTGTCCAGTCTTGGATAAGAATCATATTTAGAAAGAATCCAAATCCATTTAGGAGGACCCCAGTTGATGATTACCATTAAGGTTTGCATACCTGAGAGAGGCACGCAATTGACTTGAAAAGCACTACCCAAGTCACTTAGTCTTCATGTCTGCATACATGCTCTCAGGAATACATTGAGCATATACTATGTCACTGACACATTAAGTGTTGTCCTCAAAATGTTCTCATTTTATCATGACAAAAATCCTTTACATAATTATTATAGATAAAGATACCAAAGCTCAGAGAAGAAAAGTAGCATGACTAATGTCACCCGGCTGCTAATTGTGAAAGCCAACATTTGGAAGTCTGAAAGACAGTGACTGAATAGGCATTTATTGTGTAGATTCTGTATAAGGGCAGAACACAAAATATAAAGGCATAATACAGATAATAAAGGAGAGAACAAAGAAAAAAGTGAGGCTGGGATAATATATCACAGGTTGTTTGGTAAAAACCTGAGCACAGGAATAGAATGAAGGGAATCCATATAAATGTGTATTTACCATGTCCTGAAATCTCCTTCACTGAAATATCTATGACTTCAAGCAAGACTTTAGAAGGAACTGGATTACCATCCAGTAAGAATAAATTCTTGAAGAATGGTCTAAATTACCTATGCTAAAAAAAAAAAAATTTGGCTAGTCAATGCTAATACAAAGTCAGCCCTCTAACTATGTAAATAAATAAAAAGGAAAGGAAACTAGTGCCTATGAAATAAAGTTGCAAATATACATATAATTAATCTTACCTGTCAGATTACCTGGAAGACATTTACTTCTGGAAATCTATCCAAAGATACTCTTTAAATAATGAGATATATTTTCCTGCATTAAAATGTCTAACAAAATGTTATAATATTTATAATAGTTTATTAAGAGTACATTAAACAAACAAGAAAAATGTTTTGTTTTGTTTTGTTTTTGAGATCAGGTCTCCCTGTGTTGCCCAGACTGGATTGTAGTGGCACGATCACAGCTCACTGCAGCCTCAACCTTCTGGGTTCAAGTGATCCTTAACTGCCCTAACTGCTTGTAGCTGGAACTACAGACATGCACCAGCATGTCCAGCAAATATTTAAATTTTTTATAGAGACGTGGTCCTTCTATGCTGCTCAGACTTGTCAGAAACTCCTGGGCTCATGCAATCCTTCTGCCTCAGCCTCCCAAAGTGCTGAGATTAATGGCAAGAGCCACTGCACTTGGCCAAGAAAAGTGTTTATAAGTACCATTGCTAGAAAGAAATGCAGGATGTCCAGTTAAATTTGAATTCCAAATTAAAAAGTCAAAGTAACTCCCATGCAATATTTAAGATATAATTACACAAAAAACAATTTGTTGTTCATATGGGATTCAGTTAAAAGGGTAACTTGTACTTTTATTTGTTTGCTAAATCTGGTGAACTTACTTATGATATAACATTAAGTTTAAAAAGAAAAGCAGGATACAAACTTTTATATATAGATGAATTTCAGCCAGGTTAAAAGATGTGGCATTTGGTATTTTTATGTTGTTTATGTTTAAAAAAATATTTCCGTACATTCATTTATTTCTTTAATTAATATGTTTTACTATCAAAATTAAAACAAAAGATATTTCTTTTTAAGAAACCAAACCCACTAAGTATTTTTGAAGTGTATACTTGCAGTGTAGCTGACACCTCTCTAAAAGAAGTTTAGCTCATTGAATAAGATTTTTAATAATTTTAGTACAGTATGTTAAATATTTAGTAAGTAAATATATATACACATATATATGTAGATAGATAAATAGATAGATAGATAGATAGATAGATAGATAGATAGATAGAACAAATAGACAAATTATGCTATAGTAATTAAAACATAGTCATTTTTTATTTGTCCTAACTTATCCCTAGGTACTTCAGATACGGGCATTGGAAGAAGCAAGCACTTCCTCAGACTCCAGTCATTGAAAGGAAGAGAAACTGCTAGTATGATTTTAGGCCAGAATTTCGACATGCAAGAAAGAGGTATGTAACAAGCTCACCAACAAAAAACACAGCAACAGAAACGGCCTTTCAGCCTGTCTCTGGGAAACAAGCACGCTAATTGATAGTCTTCCCACATGCAGGCCTGTCTCATTATAATCCACTCTCCCCACTGCAGCAGCCAAAATGTAAACCTCTGTTTAAAATCCTTCCAAACAATTCCATCATTCTCTGCATAAAGACCTATCTGTAACACAGCCTATAATTAGGTTGACTCAGAGTCCCAGTTGCCACCTGTTGTTCTGGTGTAATCATTGATAGTACCTCCCTTTCACTCTCAAAAGTGATCCAGTTTAAACAATAAATTACACAGTTACCTTTCCAAGTTCTAGCTTTTTCTCCTATCCCACCCTTTTCTACTTCATACCCACCAGATATACTGAATGTCCTCTGGATCCCGGAACATACCATCCTCCTTCCTCATTCAAGGCCTCCGCACAGGCTTTCCACTCTGGTCTAAAGCAGTCTTCTCTGCCTCCACCCCTCCTCCAGGCTTATATTTCCTTAAACCCTATTCATCAATCATATTTTAGTTCAAATATAACTTTTTTCCAGATAATTCATTATTTTTCTATCACACTAGGTGTGATCTTCCTATTATTTATTCTCCTAGTGCCATACACTTTTCTATGTTTTACAGAGGTGATATGGCACTTATTGGCAAGGTTATTTGATTAATGCTCACTTGTTCAATGTGACTGTACATGCCAGGTTGGTTTCTTATGATTAGTTTTATTTTCTTTTGGAAGTCACTGAACCCAGCACCCATAATTGTGCACGGTACATGTTGGTTCTTGATAATCATTTGCTGAACTAATAACTGCAGGAGGTACAAACTTTTTGATGAAAGAACACATACAACCATACCTACTTCAAAGTGCCTACTTCAAAGGCAACTTGTATGTGCTTTTTCATAAAAATGTTTGTAACGTTGGTTTTGATTTTCTGAGGTTATCAGCCAATTGTGCTCATTGCTACATACATTGATCCACAATTGTTTGTGAAAAAAAGATTTGATTCAATTCGATTTTGTCTTTGTTTAGTAGCTAGAATATATTTATAAGGCAACTAGCAAGCTCATTCTACTTTTCATGAACATTTCCTATTTCCCCCCACTTGTGTTAGCTTATTGGGGTATATAGTTTTAGATATCACACTATGTCTATGAAAACACCACCTATCTTGGTTCTATGGGTAAACATACTTCTGATATTTAATATAGACTTTAGTCTTTATGTTGATGTCTCTCCAAATGATTTTGCCAACTAGTTTTGTGGTAAATAATGTCTGTGAGTCCTTGATTTTGCTTTCTCTGTGCTCCATTTTTTTAGGGAATTCTGGAAGACTCAAACTGTGCTCAACTCACTATGTTCTCAGAATTCCTTATATTTGTTTAAATTTTGCTGTGCGCTTCCAGTGTCCAACTCCCCACATATCCTATGCTACATATTCGATATTACATAGGTTATTACAAACTAGTCAGTGAAATTTAAAACAATGAGTGTTATTATTACAATTATAATAACAATAGCAAACAGATATTAGGTGCTTACATGTGACAGTGTTCTAAGTGTTTTTCATGTATTAACTCAAGTCTCTAGCAAGAGACCCATAAAAAATGCGAAATGTAGCAGAGCATTCTAAAGCAATTAGCTTGGAACAAAAAAAGTCATTACAAAAACACAGATACTGTACCTTGGGGGAAGAATGCCAAGTCTTTGGTTTAGAGAGAGAGAAATAAGGAGAGTGAATGATTTCAAGTACGTTCTACACTTCAATTTCATGCTCGGTTTCAGGATAGTTAATGCTTAGCCTCTAACATTAATATTTTTTAATAGACACTTTGGACACTGGTATTGGATAATGACAACACAGAGATACTGTCCTGCTGCCACTGCCTTTAGGACAAAGCGCCCATAACTAAAATTGCTACCTAGCAGATTAAAAAGTATCACACAAAGGATATCCCATCTTCCCTCTGATGTGGCCCCAAGTTTGGGTCAAAATCTTTTACACTAAAAAATGAGAATCTCCTCAAGAAACATAAAGTGCTCACTTTAAGCCTGGGAATTCTGAACTTTAATAAGAGGAAGATATAATTTATCTCCTCCGGAAAAAAAATTTTGACCATGATATAAACAGAATAAATTTTATTGAAAGTCCATGTACAAATTATATAATGAAATAATGAACAATCTTATTTGTGACCATTTTTAAAGAATATATTATTTACATAACTCAGATAAGCTGGCATATCGTATAATCTTAGTTTTACTTGGTTTTGGTGAACACCCAACTTTTACCAACTCCACCACCTTTTCCTTCTTGATGGGAGCCTCAGAAACTATTTACTTTAAGGTTCTGGTCAAGTAAGTTTTACTCAAGAACATAATGCTTTTATTAGTTTAGTGTTGTTAGAGAGATGTAAAAAGTGAAATCAGCATTAGGTATTGATCTCACAGTTAATTAACTTCTATCCTGAAGTTAGTATCTCCCTAATTAGTGATGTGCATGCTAATAAAGAAAGATGTTTCCTCTAATAGATGCGTATGTGATTCTTCTACATGTTACTCTAGGTGAAGAATCTGGTAAATGTTAAATTCCTTTTCTCTTCATTTCAAATATCACCCTAAGCTCATTCCTAATTTAACTCCTAAAAATGAAAACTTTTATCTTCATATAGGTTTGTAAACACCAGTGGGCTCCACATGAATGTGCAGGGATTCATACTCCTCCCTCTTTCTCTCAGTCACAAACCTTTTATTCTTCTAATGGGTACCCAGGTTTCTACCCTGTTTCTCTGAAATTTAATTCATGAAGATATTTTAAAATTCACTTTTCTTTATAATGATCTGAGAAGTTTAAATTACCAATGTTTTGGCCTAGCACAGTGGCTTACACCTGTAATCCCAGCACTTTGGGAGGCCAAGATGGGAGGATCACTTGAACTCAGGAGTTTGAGACCAGCCTAAGCAACACAGTGAGATCACGTCTCTATTTTTAAAAATTATAAAAAATAAACAAATAATCAATGTTTCAAACGTGTTAACTATAGATTTAATTTAAATTTAAATTGAATTATACCTATGGTTTATATAACCCTTGTACACTGTTGATGAGAATGTAAATTAGTACAACCAGTATGAAAAACAGTTTGAAGTTTCCTCACAAAACTAAAAATTGAGCTACCAAATGACCAATAATCCCACCACTGCCCATATACCCCAAAGAAAGACAATCAGTATATTGAAGAGATACCTGTACTCCTATGATTGTTGCAGCACTATTTACAATAGCTAAGATTTGGAAGCAACTGAAGTGTCTTTCAACAGATAAATGGATAAAGAAAATGTGGTACATATACACAATGGAGTACTATTCACTCATAAACAAAAATAAAATCCCAGCACTTTAGGAGGCCAAGGCGGGTGGATCACAAGGTCAGGAGATCGAGACCATCCTGGCTAACACGGTGAAACCCCATCTCTACTAAAAATACAAAAAATTAGCCAGGCATGGTGGCAGGCGCCTGTAGTCCCAGCTACTCAGGAGGCTGAGGCAGGAGAATAGTGTGAACCTGGGAGGCAGATCTTGCAGTGAGCCGAGATTGTGCCACTGCACTCCAGCCTGGGCGACAGAGCAAGACTCCGTCTCAAAAAATAAATAAATAAATAAACAAATAAAAATGAGATCCCATCATCTGCAACAACATGGATGAAACTAGAGGTCATTATGTTAAGTGAAATAAGCCAGGCACAGAAAGACAAACATCACACTTATTTTTGGCGCCTAAAAATGACAACAATTTGACTCACGGACATAGAGAGTAGAAGGATGGTTACCAGAGTCTGGGAAGGCTAGTGGGGGTTTGGAGGGGAGGTGGGGATGGTTAATGGGTACAAAAAGAAGAGAAAATAACGAATAAAACCTATATTTTATAGCATAATAGGGTACCTACAGTAAATAATAACTGAATTTTGTATCTTGAAGTAACTTAAAGAATAAAATTGGATTCTTTGTACCTCAAAGGGGGAATGCTTCAGGGGATGGACACCCCATTCTCCATAATGTGTTTATTTCATATTGCATGCCTGTATTAAAATATTTCATATACCACATAAATATATATACCTACTACATACCCAAAAATTAAAAAAATATATATATATATAGAGAGAGAGAGAGACAGAGACACACACACACACACACACACACACATACACACAGAATCCCTAGAAATGAATTTATCATAAAATATTGTCTTAGGCAATTATGGTGACTAAGAAGTCCCATGATCTGCCATCTGTAATCTAGAGACCGAGGAAAGCCTGTGGTTTAATTTGAAAGCCTGAAAGCTAGAGAGCCAGCGGTGTAGATTCCAGTCTAAATCTGAAGGTCTGAAAACTAGGAGTGCCACGGACAGGAGAAGATTGATGTCTCAGCTCAAACAGTCTGGCAGAGAGGGAATTTAACCTTCCTCCACCTTTTTGTTCTATTTAGGCCCTCAACAGATTGGATGCTACCTACCTCCATTGAGAAGGCTATCTGCTTCATTTAATCCAGAAGTTCAAATGCTAATCTCTTCCAGAAACACCCTCATAGACACACCCAGAAATAATATTTAATGACATATCTGGGCATCCTGTGGCCTAATAAAGTTGACAGCTAAAATTAACCATCACAATGTACTATTTATAAAAATGTTGAAACTCATTATATTTTTAAGAGGCATACAACAAAACAATAAGTAGACTATCCCACTAATTTTCACTGGTTTCTCATGATGGACTATATGTAATAACATTTGCTTCTGATAGCCAAAACACAGATTATGGTTTTTAAAAGACTTTACTTGCAACAAAGTGGTTTAACAGGCTATAAGACCCTTAAATCAGCTTCAAGTTGTGAAGTCTTGCCATATCTGACTTTCTTTAATAATAAAGATCATTTATTGTTTTGGATAATAGATATGTTTGCAGATAGGGCTGAGAAGTGATACAGAAGATGAACGCAATAAATTTTCTCTATCTGCGTAAAGCCAATGATAGTCCCGAGAAAATCCTGAGGAACTCATATGACTTCACATTTCAAAGTTAGCTTTTTTCTGTAATTATGTGGTAAAAAAGTAAGTTGCAACACACACAAATAGGAAGGTTTTTTCAGTCAAACAAAATTATTTGGGAATTTTGATCATAAGGTTTTGCCCACCCTGAATATGAGAATCTTGACAGTCTTACAGGCTACCTCACAGCTATATATCAATTTACAATGGTGCCTGAATGGGTTCTGAGCCAACACAATTAAAATGAGTCAGAGAGCATACTACCTGTTAGTTTCTATAGCAATATATTTCAGAATTGCAAATACCACATAGAACTTATGATCTGAATTTTTATATTATTATTTGGTGTTTTGATAGAAACCCTTGGCCAAGTGTTGCTATGAAAATGTCCTTATGTTATCCTGGAAAATATTTCTCTTCCCCCATTGTCTAGGTTGGCTAAATTCCTTCTATGTGTCTCAAAATGCTCCATGTCCTTCTAAGTAGTTTAGAGATTCCCTTGTAGAAAGTACCTAAATAATTGCTAAGTGGTATCAGCTTTTCTTTATTCTAGTCACAAAGCTAAGCTTTTAAACAAGAGACATTATCAGCTACATTGATAAGAAGTCATTTACCCTAATGCTGTAGTAAGTGCCTGATAACAGTCAATTTTGTTCTTGCCTTCTTCCTTCATTTGTATGTCCCAATTCTGCTGCTTTTAAAGGGTATATGACACTGTCCACGTTCTCAGATGATGGTCTCAATTATTACACAGTCTATGCACCAGACATATTGCTAAGCAATTTATATTCATTCTCTTTCTTTTTTAGCCATTACGACAACTCTATAAGATAGGTGTAATTATTCACTTTTTAGCACTTCAGGAAACTCAGGGTTTGTGTAGTCATTTAACTTGTCCAAGTTTTCATAAATTAGAGACACAGAGGGAATAAAATAAAATTTTAGTTATCAGTGATGCAAAGAAGCATAGCATTAGTAAGGGTTCTCCAGAGAAACAAAACCAATAGGATATGTTTCCATATCTATATCCATCATATATATATATACGTACACACACATGAGAGAGAGAGATTTATTATTCGGAACTGGCTCACACAATTATGGAAACACAGAAGTCCCATGATCTGCCCTCTGCAAGCTGAGGACCCAGGAAAGCCGGCAGCGTAATTCCAGTCTGAGTCTGAATGCCTGAGAACCAGGAAAGTCAATGATGTAAATCCCAGTACAAGAATCGGAGAAGACTAATGGCTTAGCTCAAGCAGGCAGGCAGGAAGTAAAAGGGGTGAATTTCACCTTCTTCTGCCTTTTTGTTCTATTTAGGCCCTCCATGGATTGAATGATGACCACTCACACTGGGGAGGAACATTTACTTTACTGAGTCCACTAATTCAAATGCTAATCTCATCCAGAAATGTCTTCCCAGACACGCCCCGAAATAATATTTAATCTTAGCACCCCCTGGTACAGTCAAGTTGACACATAAAGTTAACCGTTACACACATCAATATAAAAAACTGTTACATGCATAGGCTTTGGGTCAGGTCATCTGCATTCAAGTCTTGGTTCCAATCCTTTGCTGCTTTTGTGAACTCTTGCAATTATTTAACCTAAGCCTCAGAATTGTCATCATTGTAATAGGCATAAGGATCATTCATAACTCATAATTGTGAGTATTTTTGAAATAATGCATATAAACAGCATAGCATAATATCTAGGATATTATAAATTCTCAACTAGGATATTATAAATTCTCAACAAATGTTACTTATTAACTATTAATATATTTTATTTTCCTACCACATTGATGAGAGAGAGTTATTCTTCCCTGCATATTTTTTTTTTTGAAAAAGTGTAACTTCCATCTGACTTAAAAAACTTCCTCTTTTTCACAGAAATGTGGGCAGCATCACTGGAAATCCTTCTGATTTCATTAGTAGATTGTTTTGCCTGAAAAAAGATGTCACCATTATGTAGACTACACAAAAACAAGCAAAAATAAGCACAAAAATCCAGTCATAATTGAATTAAAAATTCACTTCCAAATATTACCTCTGTAAAACTTTATTCCTTTTTTGTTTGTTTGTTTGTTTTTTGTACAGACAGTGTGTCTCACTTTGTTGCCCAGGCTGGCCTTGAACTCTTGGCTTTAAGCAATCCTCCCACATTGGCCTCCCGAAGTGCTGGGATTACAGGTGTGAACCACTGCATCAAGCCTCTTTTTTGATTTTTTAAACCACTACTATGTATTTACCATATGATAAGAATTTGTCTAAGGTCTTTTTACTTAGCATCTACTTCTCAGAGTAACAGTGTAAATTAGGTATTTTTATCATCATATAGTAGACAAAGAGACAGAGCCCCAGACAGTTACTTAACTTTTCAAAGATGATACAGCCATTATCTGACAGAGCCTGAGTCTGATCCAGATCTTCCAATTCCAGAACACTTTCTTTGCACCAAACCACAGTCTCTCCTCATGAATCAATTTACATTTGTCACACGATCAACGTTTACACTTTGGCATTCAACATTAGTTGAAGTTGTCTGTGAGTTTTGAAGTGAAAAAAATTCACAATCATCTATGTATCAAATTAAATTAATAAATACATAACCAAGATCTAATTAGTACTGCTAAAACCAGTATCAAAATGATAATGAAGAGGATAATTCTACCCTGAACTTACTGGTTTTGTAAGAAAGAAGTTTTACATTCTTCTTAGTAAAGTTTCAAAATCCTATTCTCCCAAGAGTTCTTCAATTAATACCCCCTTCTTAGGCAACAGTAGGAGCATAAAAGTCTTTTTATGGTACACTATGTTATGTGATGACGTATTTTCATCTAAATAAATCTACCTCTTTATTCACTGATTTTCCTTTTCCCAGAGTTATCATTCCTGGTCTCACTGTACAGCAAGTATTTTGGAATTTCCTTAGAATAACAAAGTCATACAGTCTTAGAAAGAAAGTGACTTTGGAGATCATATAATTTAAAACTTTCATGTTAAAAATGTAGATGCTAATATCCAGAAATCATGAGTGGCCTGGTCAAAGTCTTGAAAGAGAGGCATAACAAAAATCTAGCTTTTAGCCTCCTGATGCATTCAATATTCCTTCAAGAACTACTTATATAAGAGAGTTCTAGACCTGTAAGAGATGTTTCCTCTAAAAGAAGCTTATGATTTGAATAGAATGAAAAAAAACACACACAAATAAACTAATTGTCAGTTAAGAAAGGATTTCTGTTAGTCCGTTACCATGGTGATATATACATACATGTATACATATATTGACAACATTATTATTGGAAGTAGAAATAATGTACAAAAAGTGATGTGGTACAAAGTATAAATTCTGTGTCTATGAGTATTTTAAAACACAAAAGTAAAAAAAGTTGGTTCAAGACAGAAAATCGCCCTGAATGAGGGATGGGTCAGCATGGTTGGGCATCTTTCCCAAGGAAAACTGCTCATGCTCTTAGGCTAGAGCAGAGAAAATGTCAGGTCTCAAAAACGCAAATGACACGAGAGAAGCTACTTCCTTCACATTAACTCAAGAAATAAGACCCTGGCACCTGTGAGATGCTGAGTCTTTACTCTCCTTTAAAGGCTGCTTTTGGATTTGGGAGGAAAATACTAGGATTATGACTCTCTAGCAGTGTAACAAATAATTTGCTGCCACAAAATTATTGGAATAAATTGACAAGAAACATTAACTGTCTCTATTACCAGTAAAATTGTGAAAATATGAGAAAAATGTCATCCTGGAGCAGATCAATCATTTACGCATTCCAGTAAGTGAGCTCTCAAAATGTTACATTGAAGATTTCTAACTTCCTTTGACAAGCTGACATGCATCTGCCATCAATTAATTTATCTGAACTATTCTTGAACAACATCACCTTTCTGGGAAATGACTTTCATATGTTTATAATCACTTTCAAGTGTGAAAAGTCACCCTTATTCTAGTAATTAGAGATCAAATAAAAAGATCTGAAGTTACTGTATACACATCCCTCAGAATGTTTTGGACTTCAATCATTTCCACTTTCAGCTTTTATCTTCTGAGGCTATTGCCCTTTGTGTGTGTGTGTGCACCATTAAATGGAAACTGGTCAATCCCATTTCATCTGCAACTCTATCAAAATGTCCAATACCTTTTTAAAATGTGATGATTTACTGGAAAACTACTAAAATCTATTTTATAATTCCTTTTGAGGCAAAAACACTTAAACATAAAAATAGCTCACATAATAATCTGCCCAGAAAGAACAAACGTCTGTATTTTGTTTTTTAAATATTGGATGGGTATAAAAAATGGTGTAGAGTAAATCACACTAAAGATGATCGGCTCAGGTAAATAATCTCTTCCCAAAAGAATCATTCTGTCTACACATAATGCTGATCACTCTGCTACTCCAAATTGGATGACAATTTCTCCTAGTAACTATGGATAACTAAATAAAATTTTATTTTGAAAAAATAACAGGGAATATTTAAATGTGTATGATACTGATAAGATTAATATGCACTGTAATATTAATTTCTTTTTAACGTAAAATTGCTATCATGCATACTAATTTTATATTTCTTTTCTCCTATTAAAATATATTATCTAACTTTAAATTTTTCAGGCAATAGTTATGGAATCGGAGGCAGAACTGAGGGTCTAACACATTGTAGGTGTTCCTTAAATATATTTGAATGAGCAAATAGGCAGTTTCAGGCAAACATCACATCTATTCATTTCATACATAAGAAGTAATATTTCATTTGAATAATTTATCCAGTCGCAGTTGCTCACGTCTGTAATCCCAGCACTTTGGGAGGCTGAGACGGGTGGATCACCTGAGGTCAGGAGTTTGACACCAGCCTGGTCAACATGGTGAAACTCTGTCTCTACTAAACATACAAGAAAATTAGCTGTGTGTGGTGGTGTGGGCCTGTAATCCCAGCTATCAGGAGGCTGAGGCAGGAGAATTGCTTGAACCTGGAAGGCGGAGGTTTCAGTGAGCCAAGATCACACCAGTGCACTCTAGCCTGGGTGACAGAGCGAGACTCCGTCTCCAAAAAAAAAAAAAAAAATTATCAATATATAATTTTTTGCTATCTTTATATATTATGGCTACAGAAATAATTAAAATACTACTAAGATCCAAATAGAGTGTTTATACTTTCAATTAACAATTCATTATAAACAATTATTTATTAACATAAATTTTAAGGTTGCACAGAATTCAGTAAAATGTAGTTTATTTAAACAAGTTAATATTGTTTCAAATTGTTTTTTAAATATTTTATCTTGTAAACAAAACTATGAAAATGTGAATAAATTGCATTTTTCAAGTATATTGGCACATAGTACTTAATACATTTGTTGAATGCATTCATGAATGATTAAAAGTAGTAATTATTTTCTTCTTCAGAAGGACTTAATGAACTATTATATTGGGACTATTAAATGTGTCCAAAAAGTTTTTGATAACAATTAAATTCTCTTAATAAGGTATTTGTTATATCTCATAGGAATCAGGAAGATTATAAAATAAAGTATTTCATTGTAATGTATACAAAATGTATACATATATATACATACATAAATTAGACCAAAAATCTTAAATTTTTACAACATTTTTTGTCTTTAAGCCATTTTTTCTTTCATTTTATTATTTTAATGGACATATTATAATTGTGCACATTCATGGGGTAGATAGTGATGTTTCAAAGCATATAATGTATAGTGATGAGATCAGAGTAAATAGCATATCCGTCATCTGAAACATTTATCATTTCTTTTTGTTGAGAACATTCATTCCCTCCTTCTAGCTATTTGAAACTATATATTTTTGTTAAATTAAACATAATGTTAAATTTGGTTATCTCTTAGAAATATACTTCGTGAAATGCTTTACTGTTTTAATTTGTTTTCTCCACTTTCTAGATTTTGAACAAACAATTATTTGGCACTTAGTATTTGTTAAGCAGTAAGGCAGGGGCTGAAGACAGAGTGAATAGGGCTAAAGTCAAGGATAGTTAAACATGAAAACCTGGGTGCTTTATTACAATTTAGTAAGATGGGCAGAAGCAAAAGTAATTGGAGAAGGAGCTTGCCACTATGTCTTAGGCAAAGGCTTTTTAAAATACATAGATACTCCGTGGTCACCAGTGAATGTCTATCATGTATATACTCAGAACATTATAATGAAGGCTAGTGTATTTAAATTGACTGAAGAAAGAGAATTAAAAGTTTAGATTCTATTTGAAAAGTCAGGGAGATGGATTCAAGTATCAAGTAAACAGTGCATGTTCAACAAATGACTTATAACAAGTGGTTTGATTCTGCTAGCAAACTAAAATCCATTTTAAAATAAAAGATAGAGAAATTTCTTAATGATTACCCCAGTGATATGAATTGTATTCTCAGACTTCATACAGACTTCTGTGTCATGTTAGATGAATCATTTAAGCTTTTCAAACTGCCATCTATCAAAATATCTCGGTAATAATTATGTTAGGTCCAAGAGGAAATTTATGAGGTTGAACTTAATTTTTTTTCCAAAATGAACAGGCAGGACCAAGAAAATGTCCACAATTATTATTTTATGTGAAAAAATAAACAAAAGAATATGAACTTTTTTCCAAGAGCATTCTGGTTCAAAAGTAAAATTTAATTTTTTGACATTTTCAAGGCTTATATATTATAAAAGGCCTTGTATGTGAATGTTTTCCTGATTAGTTTTTTGGGCCTGTTTGTTTTAGAGATGAGGTCTTGCTAGGTTGCCAAGGCTGGAATGTAGTTGGTATTCAGAGTGGCAATCATAGCCTTGAACTCCTGGGCTCAAGCAATCCTCCTGCCTCAACCCCCCTCGTAGTTGAGACTTTAGATGCATGACACTGCACCTGGCTTTCTGATTCATTTTTGTATATAAAATATAATAATTCTGTTCTGGCATATGTTAAGACAAATCTTTGGGATTATTCTAAGGTTAGATCAAAGGAGGATTTCATTTTTTTCCCTTTAATGTTAATTCAGCGTTTCTAAAGTACTGTGACTTTTTAAAAAACAGGGGAAAAAACTACTGTGAGTAGACATGTTGCCAAGTGCAGAGGTTAAACTAATATTTAAAATCCAGGAAATGTAATCTTATAACAAATTTTAATTATATAGCTCATTAAAAATAAAAGTTTATGATTTAATAATGTATTTTAAAAGCTTATGTAGGTGAGTTAAGTGATATGAAATGTGCATATATACATTTTAAAATAAAATATTAAATTAAACATTTTAAAATATTTTCTTTGCAAACAGATTTAAAAAGAAATCCATCACAGGTGTCTCTTGAATAGACTCTTTGATTTTTTGGACAGGTTAGTACATTATTTTATATATACTTACATACATTTCATTTTATTAGGAAAAAACCTGAAGTCTCCAGAACCAAACTGTCTTGCTCAAGACCATATTGCTGCTAGTTTCATGGTGTATGCTTGTAAGAGATTCCTTAGAATAGATATGACATCAGCCTTAAATGAATAAAAGCCCAATGACTCTGAGAAACCTATGTGAGTGGTTGATTTCATTCACTTGATACTCTCTGGTGGCCTATTTAGTGGCATCTTTGAAAAGAAGGAAAATTATTAATGTAATTTTTTTATGCTCCCTTAATATCGTATATGCAAATTCATAGACATATGTGATATTTTCATGTAGGATATCTCTCTATATATATAGGTATAGCCCCAATTAAGATGTGAGGAGGAAAAGAAAAATTAATTCACAATTCAGTGTTTAAATACTGAACTTCCAAGACTTCATTTCTGAAGGTTACCATCTCTGAGAGTAAATATAAAGAGTTTTACAAGTGGTGAAGAAATTCAGAGACAGAAAGGATAGAAAGTAATTTATGTACATGAGCTATTAAGCCATGGCTTTGAATAGATGAACTGCTGAATATATAACTTGAAGATACTTTTTTTTTCCTTTCTTTTCTCTCTCTCTCTCTCTTTTTTTTTTTTTTTTTTGGTCTGAGACAGTGTCTTGCTTTGTCACCCAGACTGGAGTGCAGTGGCACAATCATGGGTCACTGCAGCCTTGAATTCCAAGCTCAAGCAATCCATCCACCTCAGTCTCCTAAGTAGCTGGGACTATGTACAGGAACCCGTTACTATGCCTGACTTATTTTTGTATTTTTGTAGAGATGCGGTTTCACTGTGTTGCCCAGGCTGGTCTCAAATTCCTGACCTCAAGCTATCTGCCTACCTTGCCAACCTGTAAGTGCTGGGATTATAGGTGTGAGCCACCACACCCAGCGAAGATCCATTTTTCTATATTGGAATATGTTTTTCAATTTAAGATTTTCCTTTATCCATTCGTTTGTTGATGGACATTTAGGCTGTTTCCCTATCTTGACTATTGTAAATAATGTCACAATGAACATGGGGCTGCAGACATATATTTTCAAGATATCTATTTCATTTCCTTTGAGTATATACCCAGAAGTGAAATTGCTGGACTGTATGGTAGTTCTATTTTTAATTTTTTGGGGCCCCTCCACACTGTTTTTTCATAATGACTGTACTAATTTCCATTCCTGCTAATAGTGCCCAAGAGTACCCTTTTCTCCACACCCTCGCCAACACTTATGTCTTCTTTGATAACTGTAATCCTAATAGGTAAGAGAACATATCTCATTGTGGTTTTGATTTGTATTTCCCTAATGTTTAGTGATGTTAAGCATCTTTTCACATACCTCTTGTCCATCTTTTTGGAAAAATATTTACTCAGGTGTTTTGATCCTTTTTAAAATTTTTTGTTATATTTTTGTCTGTTTTGAGTTGTGTGAGGTCCTTTTATATTTTGAATATTAATCTCTAATCAGATGTTTGGTTTGCAAATATATTCTTTCATTTCATGTATGGTTTTTTCACTTTCTTGATTATTTCCTTTGCTATGTGGAAGCTTTTCAGTTTGATGGTCCCACTTGTTTAATTTTGTTTTAGTTGCCTGTGCTTTTGATGTCATATCAAAAAAGACATTGCCAAGAACAAAGTCAAGGAGATTTTTTTTCTATGTTTTCTTCTAGAAGTATTATGGTTTTAGATCTTTAAGACTTAAAGATGTAAGTATTTAATCAATTTAAAGTTACTTTTCATGCATGTTGTAAAATAAGGGTCTGATTTCATTTTTAAAATGTTGTTGATTTTTTGATTTTCAGTTTTCCTTACACCATTCATTGAAGAGATTATCTTTTCTCCATTGTGTAGTCGTAGTGCCCTTGTCAAAGGTTAGTTGACCAGATATGTACGGATCCATTTCTAGGCTCTCTATTCTGCTTCGTTGGCAGACACATATTCATATGTGTCTCTTTTTATGGTAGTACTATACTGTTTTGATAACTACAGCTTTGTCATATATTTTGAAATTAAGGAGTGTGATGCCTCCAGCTTTCTTCTTTTTTTTCAAGACTGTTTTAGCTATTTAGGTTAAACAAATTTTCTGGTTCTAAACAAATTTTAGAATATTTTGTATGGCTGTGGAAAACAACATTAAAATTTTGAAAGAAACTGCATTAACTCTGTAGATCATTTTGGGTAGTGGAATTTACAGATTGCTTTGGGTAGTATGCACATTTTAACAATATTAACTTTCAATCCATGAACATGGAACATCTTCCCATTTATTTGTGTTCTTCTTCAGTTCTTTCATAAATGTCTTATTATGAGATAGAGCAAATCAGTTCTAAAAGGGAAGTTTATAGTGATAAATGTCTATACACTGAGAAAAAACAAAGATTTCAAAAAACTGACTTCACAACTCAAGAAACTGGGAAAAGAAGACAAACTATGCTCAATGTCAGCAGAAGGAAGAAAACAATTTAGACTGGAGCAGAAATAAGTAGAATAGAGACTAGAAAGACAGTAGGAAAAAATCAATGAAACTAAGAGTAAAGAGCTTGAATCAGTAATCAAAACCTGCCAACAAAGAAAAGTTCAGGACCAGATGGTGTCACTGGTGAATTCTACCAAACATAAAAAGATATCAATCCTTCCTGAATTCTTTCCAAAAATTGAAGGGTTATTTGAGTCCAAACTCATTTTATGAGACCAGCATTACCATAATACCAAAGTCAGATAAAGACACTACAAGAAAAGAAAATTAAAGGTCAATATCCCTGATATGGTTTGGCTCTGTCCCCACTCAAATCTCACCTTTAATTGTAATAATCCTCTAGTGTCAAGGGTGGGGCCAGGTGCAGACAATTGGATCAGGGGAGCAGTTTCCCACATACTTTTCTCATGGTAGTGAATAAGTCTCATGAGATCTGATGGCTTTATAAATGGGAGTTCCCCTGCACAAGCGCTCTTGCCTCCCGCCATTTAAGACGTGACTTTGCTTCACATTGGCCTTCAACCTTGATTGTGAGGCCTCCCCAGCCATGTGGAACTGTAAGTCAATTAAACCTCTTTCTTTATAAATTACCCAGTCTCGGGTATGTCTTTATTAGCAGCATGAGAACAGACTAATACAATTCCTGATGAGCATACATGAAAAAACCCTCAACAAAATACTAGCAAAACAAATTAACAGCACATTTTAAAAAATCATACACCATGATCAAGTAGGATTTATTTCTGAGTTGAAAGGATGGTTCAACCCATATAAATCAATAATTGTGATATATCACATTAACAAAATGAAGGATACAATTTATATGATCATCTTAATAGATGCAGAAAAAGACATTTGTCAATATTCAACACCCTTTCATGATTTAAGAAAACTGCATAAACTAGGTATAGAAGGAATTTTTCTCAGCATAATAAATAATATATATAATAACGTTATACTTAATGATGAAAAACTGAAAGATTTTCCTATAAACTCAGGAAAAAGACAAGGATGTTCACTCTTGACACTTCTATTCAACAGAGTACTGGAAGACCTAGCCAGACTAATTAGGCAAGAAAAAGAAATAAAAGGCATCAAAATTGGAAATGAAGTTAAATTGTCTCTGCCTATGACATGATCATATATATAGAAAACCCTAAAGACTCCACCAAAAACAAACTGTTGGAATTAATAAACAAATTCACTAAAGTATGCAAAATGCAAAATCAACATACAAAAATCAGTTGCATTTCCATATACTAACAACAAACTATCCAAAAAATTAAGGAAACAATCCCATTGACAATAACGTCAAAAAGAATAAAATATTTAGGAAGAAATTGATAGCCTTTATAATTGTGTCAGCCTTTTCTATTAGTTTTGAGTTTCTTAACTACAGGGATTGTCTTTTTTATCTTTGCCACACTTCTGCTAAGCTTAGTACTTGCCACATAGTAAATATGGAATAAATATATGTTAAATAAATATTTGGAGTATTAATAATATAGCCCCTGAGAGTATTAGATTACTAATAGAGGTAAGGGCTACTTTTGGGAAAGAGTTAACAAACACTACTAGAGGAAAAACCTCACCTCCTTTATAATGTTAATGCTATAAGTTTCTTTTATGGAATCAGGCATTCAAAAAGCACCAGTAAAAATGCAAATACGTTGCCCACAAGGCATAATATATCAAGTCACTAACATCCACTCTCAAAGAACAGACAAGCTTGAATGTAAAGTTAAGTTTAGATGATATAGTTTCCCCAAGTATAAGCCAATGCCCAGTGAGAAAAAAAAGTAGTGGATATCCCAGTGAAAATTAAATATAAAAGTTGAACAGAGTAAGCAATGAAAATGTCATCTATTTCAAAATAGGGTCTGACCATGTCTGTAGAGAAAGCAACACGTGCTTTGAAATCATGAACGAGTAAGGAATACTATCCTATAGGGACAAAGAGGTTTAGGAAAAAAAAACTTGAAAAATAATAAAACAAAAAGGATAAAATAACCATTGCCCTAAAGCTCAGTGTAGCAAATACAAGCTTTTGAATATTTTTTTGCCCTTTCTTGTCACCCTTTCATATTTGTTACCCTGCTGCAGTACAAGTGATCACAGAAACACAATCGACCACTGTCATTGAGTCGTCAGAGTCTTCCGCATACCTGTTGGAGGCCTCTCATTCATGTCAGCATTTTAGGCATGCTATGAAATAATGCTAAGAGTTTCAACCTCAGGTTTCTGGGCTTCCTGCCAGCTCCTTGCTTGTCGTTCTCTCCCTAGGACAACAAGGAGGATACATCTGCTGCCCCTGACCTTGTTATTTTACTTTTCTTCATTTTCTTCTATCTTGAAACATGTTCTCAGACCAAAAAAAAAAAAAAAAAAAAAAAACTTAATCACTAACTATACTGTTTCTTCTCCAGCTAAAAATTACACTCTAAGTTCTTTTGCTATAATTTCCCTTTAGTAATGATTTCTATCATTTCTGTGGCGAAATTTCTCTCCATATATATGTATATATGTGTATTCATATAGTTATATCTAACATCCTAACATTCCATGGAAAAATTTTACAAAATGTAGCCTCAGAAAAAAAAGCATTTTCTTTCAGGGCCCTTTGCATGCCCTTCCAACAACGCTTACTTTGTGGATTCGTATATTTTATTATGAAAAGCCAACAGGAAATCTTAATAATAAAAGTAAAAGTTGATTTTTGGCAACCTCTAAGATGGCGCTAGAGTCAAACCCAAAGACAAAACAAGTGGACTAAAATCCTGGCTCTTCTACTTATCAGCTTGCAAAATTTATTAGCTTGTGAAATTAATGACATTGATCTATCTGTCTTTATTTTCTGACATATAAAATGAAAAACAAAATCAGTGACCACCCTACAATTGCTGAAATTATTTTTTAGTATAATGCAGACAAAGGAGTTTGCACAGTGTGTGATACAGGTAAGACCACAACATATGTTAAGTTGTCACAACTCAATTACTAGTTATATCAATGCCCCCATTCCATTCTCAGCTGAGTGATGACTCAATAGTGTAAAATTTGATGAGTTCTGTAAGCATCTAAATTGGCATTTACATCAAAGAGAATTGGAAAGTTATCTATGTCTTCACAAAGGGCTTCAAAAGAGTTATCATATGGAATGTTGGGGGATGCCCTTGAAGTTTTAGAAAAAGATTTGCAACTATTGAAGTATCAACAAAAGTTAAGCAGGGAATAGAAATTCATAAATCCCTACTTTCTTTCATTTGCATCTATAGCTCCATTTTTCCACATATAAAATGAGAATAATTTAATTAAATTCTACAACTCTTTTAAAAATACTATCTATCAATAATAGATCAAAAATATAAACAAGAGATTTCATTCTACCTAAAAAAGTTATTTTCAATGTAAAAGACTGAATTTGAACACTTTTAAACATAGGCAACATAATCTAATAAAGAGCATGGGTTCTGTCTGACCTGCCTGAGTTTAAATCCCTGCATTACCACTTACTAGCTCTGTGACCTTGGGAATACCCGTTAACCTTCCTATGCCTCTGTTTTCTCATCTACGAAATAATTATAACATTAATATGAGTCAACATTAGAACAGTGCCGTAGCAGAAATAACAGGGAAAGACAATGGGACAGAAGATGAGAATATTTATTATGAAAGAAAACAATATAAAAATAAGATAAATCCTTAGTCCCTCAAACTAAAAATAATTATCACAAGCGTATTATTTATAACTGAATGGTATGAAGGGAGATATAACTAAAATATACCAGAATGTTATATTTTATTGAATATGAGTTTTAAAATACAGTAACATGAGTTTTGGAGCTAAACCACCTGCCATTTTCTACTTGTGTAACCTTAATCAACTCTATTTTTCTGTTTCCTTGGTTGCAAAAAGAAAAGAATAATAATACCTATATTAAAGGAATGTTGTAAGAATTCGGTACATTAATTCATGAGAAGTGCTTTTAGATGAGGACCTGTTGCATAGTAAATATTCAGTAAATGTTATCAAAGGGTTTATTTTAATGCAGTTATAGAACTGTATATAAATCACTGTAACCACAGTTTTCAGTTCAATTAATTAGTATCTGTCAACCCCTAACATGATCTAATTAGTATAAACTCACTATCTTGTCATTATCTACTCTCTTGCCAGGGAAAACCTGACTGATCCCAAAAGGTAACCTAAAATTTACAATGTGAAATAATCTGAAAATATTTTATTGCAAAACAAATGTATATGCAAAACAAAATTAGAACTTTCTTGCTGTGCTCCAGCAAAGGAGAGAGAGAGTCTTTACATTTTCTTATTAAATTAGCTCTAGTTGTAATTGAAGAAATTGTATGATCATTTAAACCTACTGAGGAAATACAACAAGATTGATGTATGATTATTCTGTGAATATTGTTCAGCACAGGAATGGTTTCAAAAGGGTCTTTACTAAATCCAGCTATATTATATATCTTACAAAGAAAAAAATTTGAATAAAAATCATTGTAATATTTTATTTCTCATTTTTGTCTCCTCACATTTTTCCCAATTAGTATTTCAGTAATTTAAAAGAACTATAAATATAGATTTTTCTAGGTGGACTACATTACAACATTTCATAGTTCTATTAATATTTACTCAATCTTACTGAGGCCTTACTTACATCAGGCACTGCATAAATGTCCATCAAGTGTGAAGGGGGTATAGCTTGGAATAAACTTCCCAGTGGAAATAATATTTGATCTGAGTCTTAACAAATTATAGAGAAGAATCCTGTGACAATGTGTGAGGAAATAAACTGAGCCATTAGCAACAATTTGAAAATTGCTGAATTGCAAGAAAAAGAAAGGTGGCTGACATAATTTAGGAGCTTAGCATGATCCAGGTCACAGGTGTCCTTTAAGTCTGCTAAACAACTGGCTCTTCACTGTGTAAGAGCTGGAGAATCATTGAAACAATTGAAAGGGTGTAAGAGTGAATCAGACATACATGTTTCTTGTTTTTGAGAAGGGTTTTAGAAGCAAGATGTGCTAATTATTTAGATGTGCAGGGTAAGGAAGAAGGGATATGAGAAGGTCCTCAGATTTGGGCTTGGGAGACCATGCGAAGCTTTGTGCCACCTCCAGAGCTAGAATGGAAAGAGAGAAAAATACCTACGGAGGAAAGGTGAATTCAGATAATAAACATAGTGCATCTGTATTTGAGTCAAGTGAGGATGTCCACTAAGTGGGTGGAGACTTGAGTTTAGAAGTCAGAAGTGGGGCCTGTGTTATCAACATTATTGGATGTGGATAAGCTCTTTCTCAGAGAGTGAATGGAACATGAAAAGAAGAAAAGGATTAAGAATATTAACATGATGCCCAGAAAAATCGAATCCAACAAAGGAGGTTAAGAAGCAGTGTGTAAAGCAGAAGGAAGAGAGCCAGGGTAAGCATGTTGTCACAGAAGCAAAGGGATATGAAAGAATGTCAAAGAGAAAGGAGCCAACAATGGCAGTACAGTAAGTTCAAATAAGAACTAAATGTGTATTAGATTTGACAGTTTTTAGTTTATGGGTAATAGTAGCTAGAAAAGCTACAGTGGAATGACAATGTTGCAGTAATTTCAGAAGTGTATAGTAGATGAGAAAATTAAATGGGATAGTAAGTGGGCACTCATCTTTTAAGAAATTTGGATGAGTGAAAAAAAGAAGCTGGTAACTAAAGGACTAGAAGGATGCTTGGGGAGTATAGGACAGCTAAGCCTTATTATAATTGATGAAATGACCCTGTAGACAGGAAGTGTTTTAAATTGTTGGAAAAAAGTTAAGATAATCAAAGCAAAACTAGCACTGGACAAAGTTAAATAGGAAGACTCTATTCAAGGTGACTGTTATAGGAGAGAGAGTTTGAACTCTGAACTCAACTCAGACAAATGACTAGAAAGTTTTGAAGATCTGGGATAGGGGGATCATAGGCCTTCTCTGATCATAGACTTTGCTCAAAAGGAGAGTAAACTTTCTCATATCTTCATGACATGAGGTTGTTTTACAATTTAGTTGCCTTACCTGTGGAGGTTAGGCTCCTATCTTCCCACGGAAATTTTTCATCAAGAAAGATAGCACCCTTATTTAAGGAATGGCTTCCATGTCCTTGAAAAAGACATTTCTGGAATTTTGTGTTTTTGTTTGTTTGTTTGTTTTCTTTTTTTAAGCCAGTAGCTTTTTATAAACTTTACATGTCAAAAGGATAGAGAAAAGATTCACAATTACAAGTTTTCTAAAGTAAATGTTCTAAGTAAAGAGAGGTCAAGAGTCTACAATCGAACCCAACGGGAAGAAGCTTTTCGAAAGTTTCTTCAAGATGGCCTTAAGGCCATCTTGGTCTTCCTACAGACCAAGTACTTAGTTTAGATAGAAAAGACTGAGGTTAAGGGTAAGGGAGGAGCTGTTGAAATAAAAAAGCAGGAAATATACCCCTTCAGCTGAACCTGGAGTGTTTGAGGTCAGGCTCAGTTGGATATAAGTAAGTCTATAACAGTGGGGCAGGTAGTTGAGAGAATTTAAGCCTGGGTCTCTCAATTTTCTCAATAAAGAAGGAGGTCAGAAATAAAAAGATCTGAGATCGTGATGTGGGGTGGGTGGGAAATGGGGAAAGCAAAGATCAGGAAGACTATGGAGGCGATAAAAGACAGAGTTAATCAAACCATGGCCCCTTGAAATATAAAAACCATTCACGGACAGATACAATGTTTTTCAAAAGAAGATGTTGCCCAGGCCCCCAGCAGCATTTATAAAAGGTCTCATCATGTTTCTGAGTTGGCATCTTTTTTGATTCCTTTCTTCCACTTAAAAGGCTGAGCCGGCTACATAATTATATTTTTTTCCTCTTTTTGCTAATGATGTTTTTCAGTTCGTCTGATTTGTAAAGTTCTGTGTCAAACCTATAAAGATTTCTTGGCAGATTGTCTCCTCTGTGTATAGAATATGATAAAGAGGCATTGAATTTTCTTACCAACTTTCCTGAACTTTGGTTATTACTGTGATGCTGGGTATGTTCATTTCTCTGCTCCTTTTCACAGTGCATTAACTTTAAAATAACATCTAAGTCCCTATCTAGCTGTTTTCACATTTTATTTTCTTCTATTGCCAGCCAATGAATTGTTCAACTTTTCAGTCTCTCTTTTGGGATTCTACTTTCATTGACAATAAGAGTTATTAAGATCTGTATAGCTGATTTTTATCCTCACTTAGATCTGTTTATATCTCCTGGGTAACTTTTCTGTGCACAACTACAATTACTTTATTTCTGTACTGTCCTTTCTTTGTACCAAAATTTGATTTTGTTCATTGTTATGGTCGTATAATAGATTCTTGGACTCCTTTTTTATTTTCTTGTCATGGTTACGCACTGACTTTCTTTTTGAGGTTTTTATGACCTGATATTAAAATCTATTTGCAAGTTTTGAATACATATTTCATTTCTGGAGATTTGTTTTCTTTTGTTCTCCCATCTTGGAAATTTCCATAACAGCTGTTCTTTGGATAATGCTTTTGTTCACATTTTATTCACACCTAAAACTGTATCCCATAAATCTATTTAGAATTACATAGTCTTATTTACAAAAATACAATTAGAAATTTTAAAATCTTCCTTCTTTTAATTATGATTCTTTTATATGGGGAAGAGGTTGGACTATGTTAATTGTCAAGATCTTTTTACATCTTAGAAGATTCTGTATGTTACGAAAATGTTCCTAAACCTCATCTTGATATATACATTGTGTATCTTTTTGTCTTAGGGACATAAAAGAAAGTAAGCAATTTCCAACCACCTATGATTTGAAGATATCTCCAGGCTCAAATATGGCACCCCCCCACCACACCCTCCCCCACCACTGATCTGCCTTGATACCCTCTGTCCTCATAACTGGCATGAAACTCTAATTATGACTATGATTCTTTGAATAATAAAATTTAACTTTATCTCTCTGAGACCCCAGGAGCTATACAAGTAAATTTCCTAGGCCAGGAGTAAAATGTCCCAGATAATCATGCTTTCCAAGGGGCAATCATGACAGTTGGGGAGGAGCAGTTAGAAGGCACTAAAGGGAAGAATTACTCAAAGGGGACAACTGGGGCAATTTTAAAAGTAAGTCTAAAGTTAGCCCTGCTGTTATGATACAGGTAAGAGGCTTCATTGTGATGATAAGTTCAATATTCTCTTAGTGATTAACTTATCAACCCAATGCTATGAAGCATGAAAACGGATTGTCCCCATGTGGAGGTTAAATCATTTTCCACTGCGAATGAATGATAAGTATATTTAGCCCTTCTATTTAAATAACACTTCAAAGATTAATAAAGGGTACTTTTACATGTGCTTTCTAAGTTTTTGTTAGAACTGTCATCCTTACTTTAATAACAAGAGCACTACTTCAGCGTAAGAAGAACCAAGGCTATTGCATTTCTCTTAGTAAATAAAGAAAGAGTAATATTTAAAAAGCTACTTTTGTGATCAACAGCCATAAAATTTGTGCCCCCAACCAAAATGTTTCTGCAGTGGAAAGCCATCAATGACCCCACTGTACAGATAAACATTTCTACCTAAAGATATGTAAGATATTCTGAAAAAAATGACAATATCTGAAAGAGGTAAAAGGCCTTAAATTGTAGAAACAGCTATATTTGAATAATTTTTGTTTTCCTTTTATTTTATTTATTTTTTTTTAGCTCTTTAAGGAAGACGGGTAAAACAATTTTTTGCCCTAACATTGTTCATCAAAGATTTAGGTCATTAAAATCAATATTGAGTTTTTAAGATACCAGTCATGAAATATTTGTTATCCAAATTTGATCTGTAACAATGGAAAATATTTATTATGCCTCAAGCTTATAATTTATAATTTAAATGAATAATAATAATAATAATATCAATACTTATATATTCAGATTTCTATGGAACTCTCAATATTCTCTCAGTACAGTTATGTGCTATATAGGTGACATCCTTATTTGATGTAAAAAGTGAGGACACAAAGTTATGGTTAAAATTCATAAGAATAAATTTATTTCTTATTTTTTATATAAAAAATACGCATTCTAGTGTTTTCTCCCCTCACCCCCACTGGCCATCTTGCATTCACCTTTAGGTGCAGTCACATCATTGTAAACATATAAGATAATAAAAGTTGTTATTTTAAACATCTTTTATTGTTGAAGTAATCATCTTTTGGGGCAGTCTTACAACATATGCAGTAATCCTTTAAGATCTGTAAGCATTTCAGATGACAGTTACTATCAAATATGTACTCCTTTCAGATGAGAGTTACCATGAAAATATTTGTGTGCACATTGCTCTTCTCTGAAGAATGCCGCTGTTTAAATGTTATCCACAAATTGTGACACGCTTTAAAAGTCCTATTTCTCTTTCCCTCTGAAATACGTGTTTTCACCATGGTGCTCATTTTACCTAGAGATGATATTCTAAAGTAAGTGCATAAGATGAAAATCATATTTGGGCAAATTGCCTTTGAAAAGAGCTAATAAAGTGGTTAAGTAGAGAACAGTATACCATGTCAGTCACCTTATTCTCTCAGCATTGGATGAATTTATTTAAAGTAGCTGCTATGTTTTTAGGAGAGATGCTATTACAAAAATAAAGTGTATACCTTTAAACTTGAAAAGTACAGTAAGAGCAGGGAGATAGAGATGATCTGCCTACGAGAAACCCAAAAGAACAGCAACATTATAACTCCCAAGTCACATTTATTCAGGAGTATACACTCCTCAAATAACCTATACTGCTATAAAGCATTTTTTTTCTTTCTCTGGCTTTCTTCCTCCCCACCTTCAAATATGAACTCTTGTATTTGTGTCATTTAAATTTTTACATGACATTCACTGGGCTGGACTTCAGTGTGTCCTAACAGCTACGTGTTCTAAGATAAGACATTTAAAAAATTCGATTTAGTCATGGATCCTCTTCTGCTCATATACTACACACTATCTTGGCTTAGGAAAGAGTTGTCTGTCTTGCCTGTGAAATATCTAGTTGCTTGTTCAGCTGCCGTGTTGTGCTGTATCCCATGCCTATGCTGAACCTTTTGAGGCTGTGCTGCAATGTGATTTCATTCTATCTTCTTGTGCCCCTCTCACTTCAACTTGTCAAGCAGCCGCCACTGACAAATCCTGCTGTCATCCTAGAGAATTCACTGTTAGCAGGACTAAATAGCTTGCTAACAGTGGGCCAAACACTCTACACTGCATGTCTCTCATTCACAGGGACCAGTAATATCTGCCTTGTCTCTCCTCTCCTTTTCAGAAGGGTTCTTTCTTAAGTATCTGTATGTCATGCCAATATGCACTTAAAATAATGCATTGCACAACCATGACCCCCACCCTGAGCACACAAGGGAAGGACGAATTTAAGTGATATTGTGCCCTAAAAGATTGAAATATGAGGCTTTTAAATTGCCAGTGTAAACTAAATAAAGCGTGATGACAAGTGAAGACAAATTCATTTTACAATTCAATTTTACTTTTTCATTTCTCTAAATGGCACTATTCCCCAGATATTCCAGTATTAAGACAGGTATTATTTTAGTCAGCAGCAACTGGGCTTGACCCATTTAGATTGTCACTTCCAGACAAGCTAATATCATTCTTAGCTTGGACCCAAAACAATTGATTATTCCAGATAATGAAATTTTCTCTGGTATGAAGGCTGCTTGATAGTGCTCTTCATGGAATTCTGGGCTGACACATGCTCCCCTAAGTCATAAAGATTTTCATGGACATTCTTTGTTTCTCTTGGCAGGGGAAGATATCTCACAACCGAGGGCAAACATTTAACATTGCTTTAAAAAATATCTGATTACAGAGAGATGGCATTCAAAATGTAATCTGAAATCACGATAAATAACTGTAAAAATTATTTATCTACATCTCTGGTTATTCCTATCTTTCTCATCTTTAAAATAGTGTTGGTCTTATGAAAAAAACTAGTCTGTAGAGAATGACATGACTTATTGCTAGGTAATTTAAGAATTAAAAAAATAGATCAAATGGTTAGCTAGCAATTTGAGTTTGAAAGAAGCTTTTTGTTTTTATTTCATGTCAAATTAAAAATTTTCCCATATACGGGTTAGTCTCCTTTACTTTCACAAAATAAATTTTTTTATATATTCAGCATTAAATAAATTAAAATGTCCTGTTCTGTTATTTAATAGGCTATACCATACAATTCAGTATATAGGTATAATATTTGGAAATAAATATGGACAAATCTAACAGTAGTTAGAGAATTTCACCTAGCTGTCTGATCCAAGATATCCGTAATAGTTTTACCATTTACATACATTTTGCACTTCAGAAGGTGGATTTTGTAAAGGCAACTTATCGGATGAAGCTACTTTTGTTGCAAGAAAAAGAAATAACTACTTCAGATAATCATGGTTTTTGTTATGCCTGAAGACAGGTGGATCCCCTCTAGAATTTCAAGGCCAGGAGTTTAAGTGCAACAATCTCAGGAAAACAGGAGCCACATGGAGAGTATGGATTAAGAATTGGTGCAATAATCTTAGCAGAGAAGAAAGTTATGGTTTTCATTCCGATACTACACCATTAAGTTGATTAAGCTACGTTCTGATTGTCTATTTTCTTTCCCACTTAAAATAACTGACTGACTCCCTTTAGCTCCTATTCCTTAGCAACATCAATTTATAAATAAACCATTATACATTTTTAAGGCTCAACTAGCTTTCATGATCTTTCGATTGCAGCTTCTAACAATGACCATCAAATTCCTGCATGTTTTTAGCCATACTCCTAAGAGAGAAAAATCTGATGACTCTGGCTCATCAGGTTTACTAGATCATTGGTTGCTGTACAACTGTTGTCCTTGAAACAAGTGTTCCTGGTTGGTCTAATTGCTGTGGCTGTGGCACTCATAGTTACATGCTAGAGCGAGGTCTGTAACAAAATCTTTTTCTTGGAAAGAGATTTTCAAGGCCTATAGCATGACAATTAACCTTCCCTGCTACAAGCTGCATAACTAAAACAAGGAAGATTAATTAATCATTCAATATGTAATTAAGACATAATAGAAACACAAAATGCAGTAATCAGAAAGTATGTGAAAACAAAACATCTGTGACATAATTTTGGCCTGAGCTTAACATGTTACCAAGAGAAGCTTGAGAGGACCAAGTAACTAAAACATAGGATCATTCTTTTCATAGGCAAGTGATTTTAACTCTATTAATAAGGACTCCTTTTATGATTTCCTCCATTGTGTTTATACTGTGTGTATTTTTAAGGCAGAATAAATGTTTCCTACACTTCATAAACTGCTTCAGAGATACAGAGATGGTAAGTTTTCAGATTCATTTTATAAACTTGCATATTCTTAATATCGAGCCTAAAATATAGCATGCAAAATAATACATTATGAAAAAGCAAGTTTATATATACATAAAATAAATTTAAATAAAATGGTAACAAAAACTATTTTGGCTATATATTATGAAATTAATACAACCTGACCAAGAAGAATTTGCGGTAGAAATGCAAAAATTAATCCACTATAAGCGAGTACTTAATAGATGAGAGGAGAGAACTCAACTGTACATCCAAATAAGTGAGCAAAGGGCATTAACTCAAATTCAACATCTTTTCCTCTTTTCATCAAAGTGAACAAAACAAAATAAATAGATAAAATAACCTTTTTAATGAACTGTGGTAGAAAGACCTTTATTTATTTATTTAACAGGTATACAATAGCTGTCTCAAATGAATACCACCAATTTAATGCTCAAACATTTGCAGAATGCCTGATCATATTAGGAATAGAACAGGGAAGCTTATTATTATTCTAATGTCTACATTTTTTTCTGGAAATAAGAGACATAAAAGTTGGAAAGAAGAAATATGTATCTCTCTTTGCAGATAATATAATGATCTTAGATCAACCCAAGGCCTGCATAGATAGAAACTATTAAAATTAGTAAAAGATATCAATAATGAGAATAAATTGCATAACCACTGCGGAAAAGTTTGGAGGTTCCTCACAAAACTAAAAATTGAGCTACCATATGATCCAGCAATCCCACTGCTAGTTATATACCCCAGAGAAAGGAAATCAGCATATTGAAGAGATACCTGCATTTCCATCTTTGTTGCAGCTCTGTTCACAATAGCTAAGATTTGGAAGCAACCTAAGTGTCCATCAACAGATGAACGGATAAAGAAAATGTGGTACATATGCACTAGTAAGTACTATTCAGCCATAAAGAAGAGTGAGATCCTGTCATTGGCAATAACATAGATGGAACTTGAGGTTACTATGTTAAGTGAAATAAGCCAGGAACAGAAAGACAAACATCACATGTTCTAACTTATTTGTAGGCTCTAAAAAACAAAACAATTGAACTCACAGAGATAGAGAGTAGAAGGACGGTTACTAGAGTTTGGGAAGGGTAGTGAGGAAGTGGGGGAAGAAGTGGGGATAGCTAACAGGTAGAAACAACAAACAGAAAGAATGAATAAGACCCAGTATTTGATTGTACAATAGTACAGTATAGGATGACAACTATAGGGTGACTATAGTCAATAATAATTTAGTCGTGTATCTTAAAATGACTAAAAGAGTCAATGGGATTGCTGATAGCACAAAAGATAAATGCTTGAGCGGTTAGATACCCAGTTTTCTATGATGTGATTATTGTACGCCTACACCAAAATATCTCATGCACCCCAAAAATATGTGTCTACTATGTACCCACAAAATAAAAAAATAAAAAAACACAAAGTGTACAAAAAAATAGCTATCATGTGAAACAAAGAATTCCAAGAAAATATAATAAAATAAAAATATTCTGTTCAGAATGGCAATTATAAACTATCTTAAGACGTCCAGAACTGTGCTGTTCAATACGGTAGCTTTAACTCACATGCAGCTGTTGAGTATTTGTAAGTAGCTTGTCCAAACTAAAATGTAAACTATGCACTGCATTTTAAAGACTTAGCAGAAAAGAAAGGTGAAATATTTCATTAATACTTTTAGATTGATTACAGGTTAAATGGCATTCTTTTGGATATATTGAGTTAAATACAATCTGTAATTAATTTTTTTTTTTTTTTTTTTTGAGATGGAGTCTAGCCTGTGTCGCCCAGGCTGGAGTGCAGTGGCGCGATCTCGGCTCACCGCAAGCTCCACCTCCCGGGTTCATGCCATTCTCCTGCCTCAGCCTCCCGAGTAGCTGGGACTACAGGCGCCCGCCACCATGTCCGGCTAATTTTTTTGTATTTTTAGTAGAGACGGGGTTTCTCTGTGTTAATTTCATTTGTTTGTTAGTACTTTTTTTTACTACGGCTACTAGAAAATTTAAATTTGCATATGTGGCTTAAATTTGTGGATAGCCTCAAAGTTCTACTGGCCAGTGCTAACCTAAAACTAAGCAAAGAGAAAAGTGTAAGGCTTTTAGGAATAATGGAAAACATTAATGAAGGACATAAAATAGCATTAAAATATTTGAGACAAATTCTATTCTTGAATGGGATTTTATAATGTGAAAATAATCATAATAAACAAATCCATTTATATACACTAAATGCAATTTCAGTTTTGTGTCAAAGTGTCAAGTGGACTTCACCAAGCAATTCTAATATTGATTAGTTAATGTAAAATGTTATACATGTGAAACTCAACAGAAAAAATTTTAAATAAAATGTTATTGAGAAGCTTGCACAAGTAGATAATAAAATATGTAATGAATTTTTAATTCTTGAATAGCTGTAATTTTATAAGAAAATTTGATTAATGGGATAAAATCAAAACACAGAAATAGACTCAAGTATATAAACATATGTATAATTAAAATTAATGTATTGCCATAGTGACATCAATTAAGCGGAAAAATGTCAAATTATTTTAATTAGCTAAAAAAACTATTTAAATATTTGCTGCAGGTGAAGTAAGTCCTGACTATATATCATAACACATGTTAAATCAATTCTAATTAATTAAAAAGTTAATTACAAAAAAATAGAATATTTAAATAGAAATGTTTATCCTATATCAGGAAAAATAAATAAACTACTTTAAGCCTATGGTAAATGCTCTAAGCATAATATTTCATGTAGCAGACGTGATTACTACATGTGATCGGTACTGTCCTTACATCACCTTTACTAAAGAGAAAAATGAGATTCAGCAAGGTTGAGCAACTTGTCCAAAGTCATTCAGCATTTAATTGGTAAAGCTGGGACTAAACTCATATGTATATGCCTCCATAGCCTGTGTTCTTAATAACTACACTGTCACAGAAGAAAAGCATAATAAATAGGCTTGCATAAAATAAAAAAATTCGATATTAAAAAACTAAAGCAAATAACTTGAAAAATTTGGGAAAAATTTTTACAAATCAATAATAAAAATAGATTTTTCAAAAAGACAACTAAACAAAAGAAAATGCAAAGAATCATTAGTGATATTAAGAAAGTGGAAAAAGTACCTCTACATCATGATCAAGCTACAAAATGCAAAATAAAATGACATATTCATTTTTCAATAAGCAATTGGCTAAATAAGAACAATTTGATGGCATCTTTATAAAAAATTTAATTTTTCTGAGTACATAGTGGATGCATATATTTATAGGGCATATGGGATATTTTGACATTGGCATACAATGTGCAATGATCATATCAGGCTAAATGGTGAATCCATCACCTCAGGCATTTATCTTTTCTTTTACAAACAATCTAATTATACTCTTTTCATTATTTTAAAAAGTACAATTAAGTTACTATTAACCCATCTTGTATTACAGATACAGCAAAATCTGTTTGAGGTTAAAAAACAGACCACCAGGCCAGGCGCAGTGACTCATGCCTATAATCCCAGCACTTTGGGAGGCCGAGGCGGGCAGATCACTTGAGGTCAGGAGTTCGAGATCAGCCTGGCCAACACTGTGAAACCCCACCTCTACTAAAAATACAAAAATTAGCTGGGCATGGTGGCGCACGCCTGTAATCCCAGCTACCCCAGAGGCTGAGGCACAAGAATCGCTTGAACCCAGGAGGTGGAGGTTACACTGAGCCAAGACTGTGCCACTGCACTCCAGCCTGGGAAACAGAGCAAGACTCCATCTCAAACAAACAAACAAACAAACAAAACAACAACAACAACAACAAAAAACCCAGACCACTAACCTAGAAAAGATGTGCTTGTTGAATAAGACTTTGAAGGGATTCACTGCACGCAGATGACTTTCTAAACTTCTGGGAGCTTGAGGTTAGTAGAATTTTTTGTCTAAGAGCTGGATGTAAGCTTGGGTAATAATGTCCAGCTACTTTACTAATGTAATCTAATCATTTAAAGTGATTATGTTTGTAAAAAGAAATAAATTACACAGTCATTGGCCAAATATGATGTCAAAATAACCTGTGAATAGAATTTCAGAAGACGTGTAAGGTAATTTTTTTCTGGTATTCACAGACAAAGTGGGGGAAAGAATGCTTGCATCTGGGGTATTACCTCTCCAGGATGCACCATTAGCCATTTTATCATTTATTTATATTCTCCTACTTCCACATTTTTTTTCCTCCAATCAACTGAAATTTTTAAAATGGTTAGATGGTATAAAAAGACTAATTTGAAGATTGATTATTTTAGGTCAATTTATTGTAATTGAAAAATAATACTGGTACCTTGCCTAAATAAGTGGACAATCTTGGCTTTTTATGACTATTTTGAGCACCAAGTTAATTCATTACTTTCTTCACATTGAAAAATGAGATTGCATGTCAAAAGATGAAATGAAATATGGAACATGAAACCACTGTACGCTTGAGTAGCAAGGGATCAGATAAGAGTTTAGTGATAAAGGGTCAGACATCGGCTTTTTTAACAGATATTTTTTCTAAAGTGGAACAGTCTCAAACAACACAAAGCAAAATAGTTTATCTTATTATTTATTTTAATGGTTGATTCCCTAAATTGTGGATCAGACCCTGAAGTTAGACAAGGAAATAACATTTCTCTAGTAAAAATTAAGTTTGAGAGATGGAGACAACTTTGATTTGTTTGAGCTAGTACTTCACTTTGCATGTGAAACATATATAGCGTATGTGTGTTAAATAAATAGCATTACAGGGTTATCTCTCCACTGAAAAGACTTTTACAATTGTTTCCCTGAGATTGCTGATCAGAAACCCTATGTCAGCCTTGTGAAAACACAAACAACTTGACCTGTGAGAAACAGATCACACTTAACTTTCTCCCTACTCAACCCTCAAACAATCTTTTAAAAATGTCACTTGTCCCAAATATGGCCCCAGTGGAGTGCCTGGGGACTTGAATGCATTCTTTGCTGCTGAGGGCACTTCAGTTTGTGAAGCAAGAAGCTGTATCATTTGCAACTTAATGGTCTACAGAGCTGAAACTCTAAGACTTGCCAAAGAAATTGAAGACATAAATAATCATCCATTATTCAATAAAGTATCTAAATGAAAGACACAAAACAATATGTATTTTATTTGTAACAGGCATATTCTAGGTACAATTGTATAGTCATTTCTTGTAAAAGGCTGCAAAGAACCTAACACTTTTCTGTTTAGCAATGCTATCTTATTGCTAAAAGCAAAAAATAAGTTTTCTCTTGATCTTTGAAAAATAAGTGTTCTACTTCACAAGAATGTATACATCATTTTCTTAGAGCTATGCATATGTTTTTCTTAGATACTATATGGCAGATACATATGTGAGTGAGAATAAAAAGAGCCCATTTATGTTTTGAAAGTGAATAATGCAAATGATCATTCAAGGAAAACAAATGAGCAACCGAGGTTTCTGCTCCTCACCTTTTTACATTCATGATGTGAGAGGTTCTGTATATGCAGATCTGTCATTTAAATACATCACTCTTCTACTTAAGTGCAATTTGCTCTTCCACAGAGGCTAATGTGAATTAGTAGACCAACTATCGGGATAAACTGGCTAAAGTCTGCCAGCAAAATCTGCTAAATTGGAGAGTCAGTGTGAAATTTGCTGATGCTGCCATAATTAAAGTTAGATAAGAATAAGGTATATTCTAACAATGTACACTAGAATAGATCATGCATCTCTTCACAGAAAAGATAGGTTGGGTATGCACCTTAAATTTATTACTTAAATCCATAGAGTATAATTTTCAGAAATTTTCCCACACCTCCTACCACTATTGATTTGTTGGTCCTATGGTTCCATATTCTCTATCAGTGGCTTTGATGATCAATATGATACCTTTGTCAGAGAGACCATTACCATTATCCGTGCTAGAAACAACCATGAAAGTCTTTCCCTCCCCCCCTTAGTATACATAATATAAAATTTTACTTTATCTTCTAAAATTATTTCACAATAATATTATAATGATGTCTCACCAAGAGATTGAACGTACAAATGGACAGACCATAGAGAAAAATAGAACTCTAAACTAAAGCCTCTATAGTTTCCTGGCAACCTGTCCAGCAAGCCAAGCCACAGCCTCTTCAGCAACTGCTCCAGAATGGTCAGGACTTAGTTAATGACTTCCAGCTTCCCTAATTTTTGTCTCTACTTCAAATTACAGGTCAACCAGAGAAAGACAAATATGCTTCCCTAAAACAATGACAAAAAATACCCTGACTCTACCTAGCCTGCCTCCAGCTTCCCATGCCAATAATCTCTAATCAGAACATACATGAAGCCTTCACATTTTTTTCACTATGAACTTTTCCCACTCCACTGCCTGCTTTGAGTCACTGGGAAATACTAGAGAGGGTGGGTGATTCTGAGTAAATAACCCCTTTTTGTTTTCGTTTTTGTAATGTTTATTTCTACAACACATACCATGTACTATTAATCTTTGCATTTTCTTTTTTGTGAGACAGAGTCTCACTTTGTCACCCAGGCTGGAGTGCAATGGAGTAATCTTGGCTTACTGCAGCCTCAACCTCCCACGTTCAAGCAATCCTCCTTACTTGGCACCCAAGTAACCGGAACTACAGGTGCACACCACCACATCTGGCTATTTTTTTTTTTTTTATAGAGACAGGGTTTCACTGTGTTGCCCAGGCTGGCCTCAAACTCCTGGGCCCAAGCTATCCACCCACCTTTGCCTCCCAAAGCCCTGGTATTACAGGGATGAGCCATTGCGCCTGGCTTCATCAGTGTTCGCTTTACTAAGTCTTTTGTTTTATTCAAGCCTCAACTGACTGGACAATGTCTACCCACATTAGGGAGGGCAATCCGCTTTACTCAGTCTACTAATTCAAATATCATTGTCATTCAGAAACACCTTGACAGAAACACACAGAAGAACATTTGACCAAATATCTGGGCACCCTATGTCCCCCTAACACATAAAATGGAATATACCAAAAAACTGTATGCAGTTTTTTATTCATAAACAAAAATAAGAAAAAATAAATAAATGAGAACTCTTTAAAAATTGAATTCTTTTGTGTAGCACACTTATGGCAATGTTGATGAAATCCAATAAATTGCTATTCTACTAGGATATATCATTATGAGAGAAGTATTGTTGAAAAAAGAAATAATATTTTGTGAACACATTTTTGGCAGAAGGAAATAAAACTATACTTTTCTAAATATAACAGAATGACTGTTATTACTAAAATAACTAAATAATTTTCCACGTAGAAATAAAATTCAACTAGCAATAATGAGAATTTTAGCTTTCTAAATACTAATTCTTTTGTGAAAATGTCCTAAGACGTGTTTCTCAAAATAGTTTCACAAGATATTAAAGATGTTATTAAAGTGGGGAGGGTGGCTTAATGAATTTAGGAAATTCTGGGTTAAATACTACAAAAAAGAGTTCTCTTTAGGCAATATTATAAGGGTCTTTAGTAGCTTCGTGAGTCTTATGAATCTTCAGGAGGGAGAAATAATATACATCTTTTTCCAACTTTTGGACCACGACATTGTTTTTGTCCTGGAGTATTTCATAGATTGGTGTTCTGTGAAACGCACTTTGGAAAATGCTTCTCTTGAGTATTTTAAGTTTGATTTGGTTCTAATGTACTTTTCATTTCAAGGGAACAAAAATATCTCTTTATATTATGAAACTGTTATAATAACATCTTATATAAGTATAGAACTAATTAGTTTCAAAGTACTTTCAGCAATATTATTGCACTTTAACTTTACAAGATTTTTTTAAAAGAAGGTATAATAATCCTCATCATATGAACAAGAATTTAGAATAGAGATCATTTAAGAGACTCGCCTAAGGTTGAATAGCTAGTTAGTAATAGAACTTGGGTTAGAATTTCTTTTTAAAGATACTCAAATACTCAGACAAAAGCTCTTTCCTGTTAATTATACTGTTTCCACAGCATTGATTCATTAATGTCTATTCATACATTACTTGAATATGAGGGAGATTAGTCATTCCTGACTTTTAGCCATCTAAGACTGAGTTTCAACACTACCTCTCCGGACACTGACTATGTTATCCTGGACAAGTTTCTTAAGCATGTTGAACCTCAGTTTACTCATTAGTAAAATGGGTATTAAAAAAAGTTCTGCAATCCCTTTACTGAAACCCTGAGACTAGCTGTATTTCTCAATGTAAACTGTATTATAATAAGGTAATTCTCTCCATATTCCATATCACAGTCACAGCAATACCTATTACAAGAAAGTATTTTTCAGCTAAATATATAAATATTCACACTAAGTAAATTTGGTTAAAGATTATGATTAACCGAAATCAATTCAGTTCAGACTTCTGCCACCAAATAAATTTTATCATCAATTGAATGAAAACAGCTTTCAGTTTCCAGGGTTTTGGATACCAGAACTTTGATAACAGATATGAATACCTACCTAATTGGATTGTTGTGAAGATACATAGAGATACATATGGTAGAGCATATAGAGCAGTGCCTGGCACCCAGTACAGGAAAAGCACAATAAATGCCAGTTATTGATATTGTTATCATCTAATCTTTTTTATAAAAAGGTTACATGATAACTTAAAACCATTATAAAATTTAGAATTACCAAAAACACATAACGTCATATTTTCTAAATTATTCTGTGGCTACAATATATAGACTTTTTTTGTAATGAGAAAAAAAGAAAGGGTGAACAGAAATCATAGTTAATACATCTTAAGTGAATGAAAATCTTCAAGATTATGACCAAAGATGTAGTGTTAGAAGAAACTTATGTAATATATCTTGCTCTTTACTCACTGTAAACAACTATGAGCCCTGTTATTTATACCCTGTGCACTCAAGTACAGCATCTGGCACCAAGAAGAACCAAATACCTAGTTATTCAATGAACACATTGATGAAGGATGAACTCCCAGTATCTGTGCAAACCTTGTAGGTGCTTGTATTTACAGGTATCAGTCCTTGTTGCACTTGCAGAATTGAGTCTCAGAATTATAAATCCCTCTTCGGGCAGCATAATGCATATTTCCTCCTTAAATGTGTGAGTTTTTTAAAAAGCCTTTGTTACTGAATATTAATTCCCAGATAATGTTGTAGAAATCATGAAATAAAAAGTTCAACTTACGTCCCTCTGTGTTAGCTAACCAGAATAATGAAGATCCTATGTTTGGACAAGGTATAAATGTGGTTGAACACATGTGAATTAGGAAAAAAATAGTGATCTGGCAATATATTCGAAGAGATTTAACTTCAAAATAATAACTAAAAAATATTTGCTTCTTAAGAATGAAATTTTGATTGTCAAAGCAGAGAAAACATATTAAAAATGATCACCTTCCTTCTTGAAAATATATTGTGTTTAGCAATACTATGCTGATAGGTATATGTACAAAAATCATGCACATACTGATTTTTTAAAGTTTTTTCTTTGAGAGGAAAGTAAAGCAAGATGACAGAATATAAGGCTCCACTGATCATTCCCCTGCAAGGACACCAATTTAACATCTACCTACACAGAAAAAAACACCTTCATAAAAAACAAAAATCAGGTGAGCCCTCATAGTACTTGGTTTTATCTTTGTATCACTGAAACAGACACTGAAGAGATAGAAAAAACAGTCCTGAATCACTGGCACCACTCTTCACACTCCCCTAACAAAAGCAGTGCAGTGTGAACTCTCTAGGTGCTAGGGAAGGGAGAACACAGCAACTGTGATACACGGAACTCAGCAATATTCTGTTAGAGCAAAAAGGAAAACTGGACCAAACTCAGCTGATGCCCACACACAGAGAGAGCATTTAAAACAGCCCTCGCCAGAGGGGAACTGGTGATCCCAGAGGTAAGAACTGCAGTTCCTACAGATCTCTGCCAGAATGGGCTAATGTGCTCTGGGTCTCTAAGTAAACTTGAAAAGTCGTAAGAACTGTAACTCTTAGGTGAATCCTAGTGTTGAACTGAGCCCAGAGACAGTGGACTGGGAGGGCATGCGTTCCATTGAGACAACTAGCTGGGGCTGCTAACACAGTGCTGCCATCACCTCTCCCATATCCCCAGACTGCACAGTTCACAGCTCCAAAAGAGATCCCTTTCTTCTGCTTGAGGAGAGGAGAGGGAAAAGTGGGAAGGGTTTTGTCTTCCATCTCAGATACCAGCTCAGCCACAGGAGGATACCGCACTGGTCAGAGTCATGAGGCCCCTATTTTAGGCCCTACCTCCTGGACAATATGTCTAGACACACCCTGGGCCAGTAGGGAACCTGCTGCCTTGAAGAGAAGACCCAGTCCTGGCAATATTAATCACCTGCTAACTGAAGAGCCCTTGGGCCCTGAATAACCAGCAGTGATACCTAAGTACTACCCGAGGGCTTTGGGTGAGCCTCTGAGACTTGCTGACTTCAGGTGCCAGCATGGCCACAGCAGGGTTGAGCACCAAATGAGCTCTTAGGGTCCCTGGTTCCAGGAATTGACTCTTGGATGGCATTTCTGGACCTGCTTTGGGCTAACAGGGGAATCCACTGCCCTAAAGGGTAAGTGCTAGGGGCCAGGCAGCATTCACCAAAACTGTCTTAAGAGCCCTTGGGCCATAAAAGAACATTGGCAGTAGTCTGGCAGTATTCTCTGTAGTCTGTGGTGGCAGTGGCTATGAAGTGAGGCTCTTTTGCCTTTGGAAAGGAGATAAAAAAGTGGGAAAGACTGCATCTTTTGGTTTGAGTGCCAGCTCAGCTGCAGTACAATAGAACACCAGGCAGACTTCTTAGGTTTTTGACTCTTCTCTGACCCCTGGACAGCATCTGTGAACCCACTCAGGTCAGCCACCTGCTGACTGGAGAACTCCAGGGCCTTAGGAGAACACAGGCACTGGCTAGAGAGTGATAACAACAAGACTTGGGCAAGACCGAGTGCTGTGCTAGCTTCAGGCATGACCCAGAGCAGTCATAGCAGTGGTGGCCACAGGAGTACTTATGTCACTTCACCTCAAGCTTCAGGTAGCTGAGAGGAGAGAGAGAGAAAGAGAAAGAGAGAGAGGGAGAGAGAGAGAAAGAGAAAGAGAGAGAGAAAGAGAGAGAGAGAGAGACTCCAATTGTTTGGGAGAAAGTAAGGGAAAAGATGAAGCCTCTGCCAGATGATGCCTAATCCAGAGAATTCTCCTGGATCTTATCTAAGACCATTGAGGCAGTACCTCTATGTGTCTGCAAGGACAACAAAATTACTGGGCTTGGGGTGCCGCCTAAAGCAAGTAAAGCTTAGATCACAACACCCAAGTACTTTTGAATATCTGGAAAGTTTTCCCAAGAAGAACAAGTACAAACAGGCCTAGATAGTAAAGACTACAATAAATACCTAACCCTTTAATGTCCAGGCACTGAAGAACATTTACTAGCATCAGTACCATCCAGGAAAAAAAAAATAACCACACAAAATGAACTAAATAAGGTATCAGTGACCAATCCTGAAGAAACAGAAAAATGTGACCTTTCAGAAAGACAATTAAAGATAGTTGTGTTGGGGAAACTCAGAGAAATTCAGGAGAACACAGAGAAGGAATCCAAAATTCCATCAGATAAATTTAACAACAGATTGAAATAGTTTAAAAGAATCAAGCAGAAATTCTAAAGCTGAAAAATACAATTGGCATACTGGAGAATGCAGCAGAGTCCTTTAATAGCAGAATGAATCAAGCAGAAGAACCAATTACTGAACTTGAAGACAGGCTATTTGAAAATGCACAGTCAGAGGAGACAAAAAATAAAAGAATAAAAAACAATGAAGCATATCTATTTAAAAAAAGCTTCAAAAGGCCAAATCTAAGAGTTACTGGCTTTAAAGAGGAGACAGAGAAAGAGATAGGGGTAGAAAGTTTATTCAAAAGGATAGTAACAGAGAACTTCCCAAACCTAGAGAAAGATATCAATATCCAAGCACAAGAAGATTAGGGAACACCTAGTAGATTTAACCCAAAGAAGTCTACCTTAAGGCATTTAATAATCAAACTCCCAAAGATCAAGAATGAAGAAAGGATCCAGAAGCAGCAAGAGAAAAGAAACACATAGCACCCAATGGAGCACCAATATGTCTGGCAGCAGACTTTTTAGTGGAAACCTTACAAGCTAGGAGAGAGTGGCACGACACATTTAGAGTGCTGAAGGAAAACAACAACAACAACAAAAACAAAACAAACAACAACAAAAAAACCTTTTACCCTATCTGGTGAAAATAGCATTCACACATGAAGGAGAAATAGAGACTTTCCTAGACAAACAAGGCTGAGAGATTTCATCAACACAAGACCTGTCCTACAAGAAGTGCTAAAGGGAGTATCTCAGTCAGAAAAAAAAAAAGGATTTAAATGAGCAGTAAATAATCACCCGATGTTACAAAATTTACTGGCAATAGTAAATACATAGAAAATAATATAATATAACAGAATATTATAACAGTGTAACTGTGGTGTAAACTAATCTTATTCTAAACAGAAACACTAAACAGTGAACCAATCAAAAATAATAACTACAACAGCTCTTCAAGACATAGCAGTAGAGTGAGATATAAATAGGGACAACAAAAAGTTTACAAATGGGATTATAAAATTAACATGTAAAGTTTTTATTAGTTTTCTTTTTGCTTGTTTGCTTGTTTAGGCAAACAGTGTTAACTTATTATCAGGTTAAAATAATGGGTTATAACACAGTATTTGGAAGCTTCGCAGTAACCTCAAACCAAAAAACATACAATGAATACACAAAAATTAAAAAGCAAGAAACTAAATCATATCACCAAAGAAAATCACATTCACTAAAGGAAGACAGGAAGGAAAAAAAAGAAGGAAGAGAAGACCACAAAACAACCAGAAAACAAGTAACAAAATGGCACAAGTAAGTCCTTACTTATCAATAACTGCATTGAATGTAAAGGGACTAAACTCTCCAATCAAACCATAAAGTGGCAGAATGAATGAAAAAACAAGACCCATTAACCTGTTGCCTACAAGAAACACACTTCACCTATAAAGACATACATAGACTAAAAATAAAGGGATGGAAAAAGATATTCTATAGCAATGGAAACCAAAAAATAGCAGGAGCAGCTATACTTACAACAGTCCAAATAGATTTCAAGAAACTAACTATAATGAGAGACAAAGAAGGTCACTGGATAATGATGAAGGAGTCAATTCACCAAGATGATATAACAATTTTAAATATATATACAACATTGGAGCATCCAAATATATAAATGAAATATCATTAGAACTAAAAAGAGAGCGGGGCCCCAATGCAATAATAACTAGAGACTTCAACACCCCACTTTCAGCATTAGACAGATCTTATAGATGGAAAATCAATAAAGAAACATCGGAATTAGTCTGCACATAGACCCAATGGATCTAATAGATATTTACAGAACATTTCATTTAACAGCTGCAGAATGCAAATTCTTTTCCTGAGCACATGGATTGCTCTCAGGAATAGACCATATGTTAGGTCATAAAACAAGTCTTAAAACATTCAGGAAAACTGAAATAATATCAAGCATCTTCCCTGACCACAATGGAATAAAACTAAAAATCAATAACAAGAGGAATTTTAGAAACTATTCAAATACATAGAAATTAAAAATTATGCTCCTGAATGACCACTGAGTCAATGAAGAAATTAAGAAGGAAATTGAAAAATTTCATAAAGCAAATGATAATGAAAATACAATATACCAAAACCTATTGGATACAGCAAAAGCAGTACTAAGAAGGAGGTTTATAGCTGTAAGTGCCTAAATCAAAAAAGAGGAAAAACTTCAAAGAAACAATCTAATGATGTATCTCAAAGAACTAGAAAAGCAATAGCAAACAAAATCCAAAATTAGTAGAAGAAAAGAAATAACAAAGATAAGAGCAGAAATAAATGAAATTGAAATTTTAAAAAATACAAAAGATAATAGAAGCAAAAAAGTTGGTTTTCTGAAAAGTTAAACGAAATTGGCAAAACTTTAGCCAAACTAACTAAGAAAACAAGGGAGAAGACATAAATTTTAAAAAGCAGAAATGAAAAAGGAGACATTACAACTAATACTGCAGAAATTCAAAGAATCCTTAGTGGTTACTATGATCAACCATATGTGAATACATTGGAAAATCTAGAAGAAATAAACAAATTCCTATATACATAAAACCCACCAAGATTGAGCCAGGAAGAAATCCAAATTCTGAACAGACCAATAACAAGTAATGAGATCAAAGCGGCAATGAAGTTTCCCAGTAAAGAAGAGCCTGAGATCCTATGTCTTCACTGCTGATTGCTATCAAACATTCAGAGAACTAATACCAACTCCTCTGAAAAAAATAGAGGAGGAGGGGATACTTCTAAACTCATTCTACAATACCAGTGTTACCCTGATTCCAAAACCAGACAAAGACACATCAAAAAAAGAAAACTAAAGCCCAATATCTCTGTTGAATATTGATGTAAAAACCCTCAACAAAATACTAGCAAACTTAATTCAACAATATATTAGAAAAATCATCATCATGACCAAGTGGGATTTGTCTTTGGGCTGCAAGGATGGTTCAACATATGCAAATCGATCAATGTGATACATTGTATCAACAGAATGAAGGATAAAAATATGATTATTTAAATTAATGCTGAAAAATGACTTGAAAACATTTAATATCCCTTCATGATAAAAATCCTTAAAAATCTGGCTGTAGAAGGAAAATACCTCAACATAATAAAAGCCACATATGACAGACCCACAGCTAGTATCACACTTAATGGGGAAAAACTGAAACCTTTTCCTCTAAGATTTGGAACATGACAAGGATGCCCACTGTCACCACTGTTATTCAATGTAGTACTATAAGTCCTAGCTAGAGCAATCAGACAAGAGAAAAATATAAAGAGCATCCAAATTGGAATGGGAGAAGTAAAATTATTCATGTTTGCAGAAGATATGATCTTATATTGGGAAAAACCTAAAGACTCCACAGGAAAACTATTAGAACTGATAAACAAATTCAGTAAAATTGCAGGATACAAAATCAACATACAAAAATCAGTAGCTTTCTATATGCTAACAGTGAACAATCTGAAAAAGAAATAAAAAAGTTATCCCATTTGCAATAGCCACACATAAATTAAATCCCTAGGAATTAACTTAAGAAGTGAAAGATCTCTATAATGAAAACTATAAAACTCTGATGAAAGAAGTTGTACACCAAAAATGAAAAAATATTTTATGTTCATTGACTGGAATAATCAATATTGTTAAAATGTTTATACTATACAAAGCAATCTACAGATTCAGTGCAATCCCTCTTAAAATACCAATGATATATTCTTCACACAAATAGAAAAAATAAACCCTAAAGTTCATATGGAAACACAAAAAGACTCATAATAGCCAAAGCTATCTGAGGCAAAAAGAACAAAACTAGAGAAATCATATTACCTAACCACAAATTATACTAAAGAGCTGCAGTTACCAAAACAGCATGGTTTTGGCATGAAAACAGACACAGAGACCAATGGAACAGAATAGAGAACAAAGAAACAAATCTACATGTCTACAGTTAGTTCATTTTGACAAGTGTGCCAAGAGGGTACACTGGGGAAAAGACAGCCTCTTCAATAAATGGTGCTGGGAAAACTAGATATTCATATGCAGAAGAATAAAACTAGACCCCTATCTCTGGCCATATAAAAAAATCAAGGAAAAATGGATTAAAGATTTAAATCTAAGACCTCAAACTATGAAAGTACTACTACAAAAAAAAAAATTGGGGGAAAATCTCCTGGACATTAATCTGGGCAAAAATTTCTTTAGCAACACCCTACAAGCACAGGCAACCTAAGCAAAAATGAACAAATGGGATCACATTAGGTTACAAAGCTTTTGCACACCAAAGGAAGCAATCAACAAATTGAAAAGACAACCCACAGAATGGGAGAAAACATTTGCAAACTACATATCTGACAACCGGTTAATAACCAGAAAATATAAGGAGCTCAAACAACTCTATAGGAAAAAAAATCTAATAATCTGATCAGAAAATGTGCACATGATTTGAATAGACATTTCTCAAAAGAAAACACACAAATGGCAAACAGGCATATGAAAAGGTGTTCAACATCACTGATCATCAGAGAAATGCAAATTAAAACTGCAGTAAGATATCATTTCACCACAGTTAAAATGGCTTATATCCAGAAGATATAACAAAAAACAATATAGCAATAACAAATGCTGAAGAGGATGTGGAGAAAAGGGAAACCTTCTTTGCTGGGAAAGTAAATTAGTACAACCACTGTGGAGAACAGTTTGGAGGTTCCTCCCAAAAGTAAAAATTGAGCTACCATATGATCCAGCAATCTCTCTGCTGGATATATACTAAAAAGAAAGGAAATCAGTACATTGCAGAGATATTTTCTCTGTCATGTTTGTTGCAGCACTACTCACAATAGCTAAGATTTGGAAGCAACTGAGGTGTCCCTCAACAGATGAATGAATAATGAAAACATGGTGGAGTACTATTCAGCCATAAACAAGAATGAATTCCAGTCATTTCCACCAACATGGATGGAACTGGAGATCATTATGTTAAGTGAAATAAGCCAGGCACAGAAACACAAACATCACATGTTCTCATTTATTTGTGGGATCTAAACATTAAAACAATTGAGTTATGAATGTAGAGAGTAGAAGGATAGTTACCAGAGGCCATGAAGGGTAGTGAAGATTTGGAGGGGGAGGAGGTGGGGATAGTTAATTGATATAAAAAATTTAGTTAGAAATAATGAATAAGACCTACTATTTGCTAGCACAACAGGGTGACTATAGTCACTAATAACTTCATCATGCATTTTGAAATAACTGAAAGAGCATAATTGGATTGTTTATAACACAAAGGATAAATGCTTGAGGGAATGGGTACACCGTTCTTCATTCCACCACACCCCGCTAATTTTTGTATTTTTAGTAGAGACGGGGTTTCACCATATTGGCCAGGCTGGTCTCGAACTTCTGACCTCGTGATCTGCCCACCTCAGCCTCCCAAAGTGCTGGGATTACAGGTGTGAGCCACCGTGCCCGGCCAAAAAGTTGATTTTTTAAAGATGCGTCTGCGTCTACTTCCAGAGTATGTAGAGGGCTAGAAGTGAAGAAGGTATCCATAACTTCAAAAGCAGATAGGCCACATCTTTCCTCAACCCAGACAAGCTGTTAAATATAGATTTTAGATGGTTGGTTGGGTACAAAGAGGAAAATTTGCTGCAAGGTCCTGTGTTATTAAAACAATAAGAAAAGGAGTTTCTGGTTTAGAGAACACTTGGTTTCATTAAAACTAGAGGCCACAGGCCGGGCACAGTGGCTCACGCCTGTAATCCCAACACTTTGGGAGGCCGAGGCGGGCGGATCACAAGGTCAGGAGATCGAGACCATTCTGGCTAACACGGTGAAACCTGGTCTCTGCTAAAAATACAAAAAAATTAGCCGGGCGTGGTGGCGGGCGCCTGAAGTCCCAGCTACTCGGCAGGCTGAGGCAGGAGAAGGGCGTGAACCCGGGAGTCGGAGCTTGCAGTGAGCTGAGATCGCGCCACTGCCCTCCAACCTGGGTGACAGTGCGAGACTCTGTCTCAAAAACAAACAAACAAACAAACAAAAAAAAAAAACTAGAGGCCACATCTCAGGATATGTGGAGAAATCACAACACAATTCCAGGAGTCATTCTGTATGTATTTCACGAGGCCATGTGAAGACCTGTGTCTTTCCCATTTACTCTGCCATTCATTTTAACAGGATTTTAATGCAGCTGCATGTTTTCAACTGTACTTAACGGACCCTGCTCATGACTTCTTGGTAATGTATCAAGGTTTAGACTTCATCTCTGGGCTCATCGGAAAGCCTAAGTTTGTTTAAACAGTAAAGAGATCTCACTTGCACTCCTCTTTCTCCAACCAATCAAGTAGACCATCCAAATTTAATATTGATAATATCCAAATTTTCACAACTCCCATCTTAGGAAAGATCTGACTTCCAGGAAGCAGAATGATGGTGATTCCTGTTCTGGTGTGACTTGCCTGTCACAGGGCCCTTCAAAATTGCCTATGCCTCCTTTATACACTTAGCTTAAGCAAGAGAAAAGCTTCTATAATGTAGCCTTTATCCCTGAGTGGGCACCTAGATTAAGCTGGGTTATTCACAGTGCTTTGCAATACCAGTCAGGGTTTTCCAGAGAAACAGAACCAATACAATATATATCGATATATAGAAAGAGATTTATTATAAAACATTGGCTGATGTGATTATAGAGACTAAGTCCCAGAATCTGTCATCTACAAACTGGAGAACCAGGAAGCTACTAGTGTAGCTCCAGTCTAACCCAAAGGTCTGAGAACGAAGGAGCTGATGGTGTAAGTCCCTGTCTGAGTCTGAAGGCATGAGAACAAGGAGCATTAATGTACAGTTTCCAGTGTTTCAGGGGCAGAAGACAAATGTCCCAGCTCAAGCAGAGAGCAAATTAGCCCTTCTGCTGCCTTTTATTCTATTCAGGCCCTCAAAAATTGGATGTTGCCCACTCACATTGGTGAGAGTGGGTCTTCTTTGTTCAGTCTACTGATTCAAATGCTAATCTCTTCTAGAAACACCTTCATGGACACATCCATAAATCATGTTTTATCAACTATCTGGTCATCCCGTAGCCCAGTCAGGTTGACACATAGAATTGACGATTCCACCTGCCCTCCTGGCAAGTATGTAAAGTTCAGCAATGAGCATCAGACCCAGAGCCAAAGAGCATCCTTGCTGGATTTTTGTGTCTAGAGACAAAGTAAGAGAAGTTTGTGTGAGCTTCTTATCAGCGATTAAAGATATGAAGAAAACAGAAGCTGTACCACCTGTATTCCATTTATTCAAGAGAAGCAGAGGAAGGAGAGAAAAAGGAAAGCCAATATGCAACCTGTGCAAAGCAAAAATCCCAGAGAGATGAAGGTGTTGGTTTTTGCTTTTGTTTTTGCCATGAGGATTTTGAAGTCCTTTTGCCAAACCTGCCATTCTGGACAATTGTTTGATGACTTATCAAACTGTCATATCCTTTCAACAAATCTGTTTTGTTTTGTATTGTTTTGATTTAAGCTAATAGGGTTTGTTTCTGGCTTTTGCCAGAAACAAAAAAGTGAGTCTTGTCTAATATAGGTCAATGGCTTTATATATAAAGCTATTGTATTAGGACTGTTTACAACATGAAAACAACAACAACAACAGACGTGAAATAATCCACAATGTAAATGTAGTTAAATAAGTCATGGTAAAAACTATAAAAATGAAATATGTTGTAGCCTTTAAAACTATGTTTCCAAAGATTGTTAAATAATCAGTGTTTATGTAAGAAACTATTAAGTGAGAACGCAGAATACAAAACTAATCAATATTAATTATGTGTGTTTGTACATACATAGATGAATGTTTAGAAGAAAAAACATGAAAATATCAGGAGCAGTCAACTGTGGGTGGTGGGCTCACAGGTGGCATGGTGTTCACGTGCTCTTTTACTTAACAAGTAAGGATTTATTTTTACATGTAGAGAAAATTATAAAATATTATTTTCAATATTACATTTATTCCTATGTAAACATAATATTTAGTTTAGTACTTAAGCAAATTATGTGAAATTTCAAGTTAATAGAGTCAAATTACTGAATTATTTATTTTGTAGAGAGAAAGCCAGAGAATGAATGTATTCTAAGTAGTCTTTATTCTCTGTGAACATTTATACAAACAAACCACAGAGGTATCTCTCCCCATAAATTAGATTTTTAAGTGACTTTTTCATTAAACAAATATTAAGAAAGTATAATAATTACTTGAGTTGTGTTAAATTCTTCCTTTAATTAAGAAATGAAGCCCACAATAGGTAAGGTAATTCTTATGCTGAAAAAGTATGTAATTCCAATTATGCGCACAAGCACTGTGTAATGAATTGAACCCTTTATCTTTTGCCTTCTAAAAAAAATACATCATCTGGCTTTTTAAATGCTTCAGTTTAAATACTTTTGTTGATTTTTTGCAATAGAGGCCTGCTCTCTGGAAAAGTAATAGTATAGGCTAACAATCAATTTTTTTAAGTAAAGAGATTAAAAAATAAACTGAATAAGCAAAATAAGGGCTTTTTTCTAACTGAAGACTGATTTTTGGTACAGGCTAATGTTACTACAACACCTAGAAATTAAACACAATAAATAAATAAATGTATATGACTATAAAGAATGCCTTAAACATTAAGTAATTCAATTTCATTTTATAAAACCACAATATACATAAAGCCAGGTAATTCATTTGAAAATCACTGAATAAGAAATTATATAATCTGGCTCTTGAAAAATTTTAGCTATGTCCAAAATGGTTACAAATATTTCACATATTGAAAACCCATATATCTTCATTTTTCCTAAAAATGCAGAATATTTAAGTAATACTATTTATCAGATTAAAGGGGAAATTTTTATTTTAAAAAATAAATCTAAATCTTTTCAACAACTGACTGTTTATTCTCTTTCTACATCCAGATATCCACCCTTGGAGAGTTCAAAATCTATGTGCATCACCTTAAGACTCCTTTCTCTTTTATTTACTTTCTGTACTGTCTATTTCACTTCACTTCATTAAATCTTTTATATTAAGCAAACTGATTCCTAATTGCTTTTTTATTTATAGGCTGCAGTACAAAACTTCTGTTATTTTGTGTCTTACAACTTTGACTTTATATTACAAATATTTTCCTTTCAAACACCAAACTCTGAAACTATAGCTTCTTTTTACTTGTAAAGTTACTGAGATTTTCTTTACAATTAAAATCAAATCAGATCAGACTTTCTTTTCATCTCCAAATTTAATTTAACAAGTATTTTTAGTGTTAGCCAGTAACTATCAAAGATGTAATAATTCATGAATACAATCTGTTCCATGTAGCATATATCAGACTTCTTGTATGATTTTTCTCAATTACATGCATCCACATTACTGAAGATTCTTATATTGTTTTCTAGTTAATCTGAATTATTCTGCCGAATCTTTAAATTTTGTTTTATGTCACACCAATTCTTAAAAGTAATTTTTCTTTGATTCTGATCTTTTGACTTTACCTCAATCTAGGATGCACTTCACTTCTAAGTTCATGTAAATACCAATTAAAATATTTTGAGTGAAATGCCTACTAGTAAATCTACTGAAGAAGAATAAGAAGATGAAGAACAAGAAGAGGAAGGAGTAGGAGGAAAGAGAAGAGAAGAAAAAAGCAAAGAGAAAGAAATGACAGGAGACAAAAGCTGGTTGCAAACTTGAGTTCCTAAATGTGTTCAAGAGAAATTCACTGGGGCATGTGAGTCTATTGTAAACTTGCCATACATTTTATCTTTATACTTGTGCCTCTGTTTCACCTTATTTACAATTCTTCCCAGAGCAAAAATATAAACCTTCTAAGGTTATCCAACAACAACTTGATAGGCAAATTTTAAGATTTCCTTGAAATTCTGTTTCTGAATATTCAACCAACAGCTAGCTCTTCAAAATTATCTTTAACTTATAATTAATGTCTGTGTTTTTTCCATATTATAAAAATATTCTTAAGATATATCAATAATTTTTCACTTCTTTTCAGTCTTTCTCTTTAACAACTCAATTAACATGTATTTATCAAGAGACTTTTATCCATAGATAAACTTGCTGTACTACAGAGGAACCAATATTACATCCACATGAAGTCCACGTGCATAGATGCTAGGGAATTTTAGCATATTACAATGTACTGCATAATGGTGATAACACATATATGATATGTGCTAAATATATGGGGGTCTTTTTCTAGGGCTACTACAGTCAACTCCCTTTCTTCTTCTTTATATTCTGCAAGCCACATACTACAGAAAAGCCAGAGTAAACTTTTCAAAAATGTACATCGGATCATTTCAGTCTGTTCATCTCTCTTCTCCACCAACCCCTCTTTCAGTTTCATGTTTTCAAATGGCTTTCCATTACTCTTAAGATAAAGCTCACTTTGACCTACAAGGCCCTACACAGCATCTCTCTGCTCGTCATTTCAGTTATCTTAAACCACTCTCTTTCTTGCTCACTAAGGGAGCTACACTGGCATCAATTTTGTGCCTTGAACATAACAAACCTTTTCCTGCCACATAACTTTTTTAAAAAAATAAATCTGGCTCTTTATGCTATTGTTAGCTCAACTATTGTCTCCTTAGAGAAGCTGCTTCTCAATCATTAAGAATCTCCAAGCGCTACCAGGTACTCCCTATCACATTACTCTTTTTATTTCCTTAAAATGTGGCCAGGCACGGTGGCTCATGCCTGTAATCCCAGCATTTTGGGAGGCTGAGGCGGGTGGATCACTTGAGATCAGGAGTTCGAGACCAGCCTGGCCAACATGGTGAAACCTCATTTCTACTAAAAGTACAAAAAAATTACTTGGGAGTGGTGGTGGGCACCTGTAATCCCAGTTACTCGGGAGGTTGAGGCAGGAGAATCACTTGAACCCAGGAGGCAGAGGTTGCAGAGAGCCAAGATCCCGCCATTGCACTCCAGCCAGGGTGACAGAGCAAGACTGTCTCAAAAAAAAAAAAAAAAAAAGTGTGCCATGGCATGTAATTACGTTGTATATCTCTTTATTTATTGAGTGTTCCCCACCCCTAAGTAATTCTGCGTTATCTGCGTATTTTTCCATAAGGGTAAGAATCATGTATATAGTAGATGTAAATATTTGAGATTAACAAATAATAATAGAAGTAAATCAAATTTGAGAGAGGAGATGAGCTGAGTTTGCTGTGGGGGCACTACATTGGGCTGGAGGTTGTGGGGTCAGAGAAGGTTTGCCACAGAAGATAGCATGGATTGAGTCAGGGGAAGGGCTACCAGGAATTAGTCAACTCAAGATGAGACTAAGAAACACCTTCTAAATCTTCATACCAAATAAAAAATTACATGAGAAATTTTCAGAAATTAGAATCCAGAGTTAAATTTAGCAAGAGCCAAAGTTGCAAATTGCAGAGTGCTGGGTCTTAAGTTTTCTCAGATAACTAAAGCAGATAATAAGAGCCCTTGTGCCATACTAATGACTTTTTAGTTGTATTTTATTTGTAAGATGTGTCTAGCAAAAGACTGTACAAGGAAGTTAATTTCAGATAGATCACTCTAAAGGCAATGTCAAGGGTGGTTTCCTAAGTTTTAAACTTAAGAATCTAGATAGCCAATCACTGTCATTTATTAAAACAGGCAATTCATTGGTACAGGATGTTCAAACGTAAGTGAAAAGATAGGAGTTTCGTTTTAGATGTGTTTCAAATTCATGTAAGAGTATAAGTATAGGTTTCCAATAACCAAAGGAATACGCAAGTCTTAAAATCTGAGCTGGAGGGAGAAGTTGAAGGTTGTGACAGTATTACAGTTATTCACAAATATCTCATCTTTTTTTATGCGGGATCACAATCCCCTGCTCCCTTGTTGTAAGCAAAGTCATAGCAATAAAATGTGAGAAACAATGATATATATGTTATTTCCACAAAGATGCTTTAAGAGACAATGTAATTTACTACTTCTTTTGAGTGACCACGAAGACAGCTGACACCCCAGCTATTCTGTGAAAGAGAAATATCTATTGAGTTAAACCATTGGGATATTATGGGCTTGGTTATTACTAAAGAAAAGCCTAGTCTCTTCTTACCAATAAAAAAATTATCAGTTGTCTACTTATGGATGGTGTATTAGACTGTGCTCATGCTGCTAATAAAGACATACCTGAGACTGGGTAACTTATAAAGGAAAGAAGTTTAATGGATTCACAGTTCCACATGGCTGGGGATGCCTCACAATCATGCTGGAAGGTGAAGGAGGAGCAAAGTAATGTCTTACATGGCAGCAGGCAAGAGAGAGTGTGTGAAGGGGAACTTCCCTTCATGAAACCATCAGATCTCATGAGACTTACTCACTATCATGAGAACAGCATGGGAAAAACCCGCCCCCATGAATCAATTACCTCCCACCGGGTCCCTCCCATGACATGTGGGAGTTATGGGAGCTACAATTCAAGATGAGATTTGGCTGGGGACACAGCAAAACCATATCACATGGTAATTAAAGCCATGAAAGAAAATGATATTTCTGGGAGTGTGTAAGAAGAAAAGTACATCAAGAATCAAACCTTTTGGACCACCATCATTGGAAGGATAGATCAGTCAAGGAGTGTCCTCAAAGTACACTAAGTAGTAAAGAAACTTAAAAAGAGAGTAGTGTTTCAGAAGCAAAGGTAGAAAAGGACTTTTAAGAAAGAAATAGAAAATATAATGAAACACAAACTATGAAAATAAATTAAGAACTGAAAAGTGAAACTTGAGTTAGGAACTGGAACCAATGGTGACCTTAGTGAATGAAGTTTTATTAGGATTGTTTGAAGGCACAATGTAGTAAGTTTAGGACTGGCCAGGAGGCAAAGACTGCTTTTAAGGAGGCTGGCTGTAAAGGGTAAAATCTTACATTTTTAATAAAAGGAATAGTAATTAAAATAATGAAATACATTTGATCATCAGAATTTCTTTTACTTCACCCTTTAATTATATCAGTAGCCACATACATTATGTGTAACAATATTATATATTCAGTGCCTTAAACACTTGGAGGAAAACATACAGTTGGAACATAAAATAAAGATCAGTATAAGTGACTTTAGAACAAAGTGGACTTTTTACATAAACTATGTCACTATAACTTTATATAGATCTTATCAAAAGTACAATAAACAGAGTAGGATAAAAAGACTTGTTTATTTGGATGACTACATTCCATGCACACACACACAGACACACACAGGCACACACACATATGTATAGACATACATATATATTACATTGCCTTCCTATATGTGTGTGTGTGTATATATATATATATATGTATACACACACACACACAGGACATACATCTACATGCACATGCATGCACACATGTATATTATAACGATATTGATACTGAGAAGAATGAAAATTTGGTAAAATGTATTTTATGAATTGAGTGTTCAGAATACATTAGTCTATTAATTTGGGAAGAAAAATGTATTCTTAAGGTTATTCAGTATTTCTCTTAAAGCTGTTTTATCCTGTAATTTGAATTTACCCTGAGATTGATACTTAGGGATATTTTTCATAAATTGAATTATCATTTAGCTACATGCAAAATTTTACAATGTCTCTTAGACAGTTTAAGTTTTTAAAATAGTGACTAATATATATATATATATATATATATATATATATAATATATATACCAACTGAATTAGTTACCTTAAATTGACTAACTTTTTTAGAGTATAGACTCCTAATAATGTTGATCTATATTAGGAATGAATAAATACAAGAAGAGAAGCTAAGATTAAATAGCTCTATTTCAATAATTATTTGAGATAATAAATTTATAGAAGTAAATGGATGGGTAATATTCTGAGTCTCAAGAAGTATTTTGTCTTGATGTGCTTTAGACACCATCCTGAATATCAATAGTGCTTAGAAGCTGTTTGAGTAAATGTCAAACTTAAAATGTAAATTTATGCAGCAATTAGAGTATCATTTGTGTAGAAATGCAGCAAATTTGAGATAATATAAAATTGCTACAAGCTTTTAGACAGGGTGAGAACCTTACAGGCTCATTTTAAACTGTCAGATGAAGTGTTGTGTTGTTATGGACACTCTGTATTAATGCAGATGGGATGAGCAACTATTTATTATCCTTGCTGAGTCTATCAAGATTCATCCTTTCTTAATCAGATTCCCTTCTGGTTATAATTAAAATTTGGTCTTTCCAAACTGTAAGCCACAATGTACTATCATACAAATTAGACGTTCATAAATTTAAACTATAAAAGAAGGCATTTAATTGTTTTTTGTCACTTAACACAGTTACCCAAATACCATTCCACTCCTAAATATGTCAGATCCATACTATTTGGATATGCCAATCAAATGATCAAAAACAAATACCTTAATATGAAATCTAAGTAATATGTGCTACAAGATGATAGCAGGTTGTCTCCAGCACTGGCTCTGTGATTATATAAGTAAAATTCCACCACAGGAAAAATCCTGGCCAAAACAACGTTCTCCAAATTAGCGCTACTTAAAATACGGCCTGCAGGCCAATGGAGGACTGCAAAATAACACAGACCATGGCAATATCAATAAATTATTTGAGAGTAAGTGCTTAGAAACCTTTATTGCACTATGGCACTGCTAAGACATCCAAGAACACCATCCTTTTTCTGTTCATTCATTTTTATTTTGTCTTTTTAAAGCCTTCATCCCTCAATGGCTCAAAGGAAAAAATACAGATACTTTGAGAAGCACAGGGTGTTGCTTCCTGATATGGTTTGGCTGTGTCCCCACCCAAATCTCATCTTGAATTTTAATCCCCATAATCCCCAAGTGTCATGGGAGGAATGTGGTGGGAGGTAATTGAACCATGGGGACAATTTCCCACATGCTGTTGTCGTGATAGTGAGTGAGTTCTCACAAGATCTGATGGTTTTACAAGCATCTGGCATTTCCCCTACCGGCACTCATTCTCTCTCCTGCCACCCTGTGAAGAGGTGCCTTCCACCATGATTGTAAGCTTTCTGAGGCCTCCCCAGGCCTGCAGAATTGTGAGTCAATTAAACCTCTTTTCTTTATTTATTACCCAGTCTCAGCTATTTCTTCATAGCAGGGTGAGAACAGACTAATACACTTACCTTTGTTTGTTGAGGCAAATTTTAGGCAAATTACTTAATGGCAATAAAAATGTACTTAAGATCTTCAAGGCATTATGTGGTAATAAATAACAGATAATTTTTCAGCATTAGAAAATCCTAAGTGAATACACACTATTTTTAAGTGACCTTGAAGACATTAACCACATAATTTCACTGATTGAATTCTAGGTTAGTGGATCCATACTAGTGGATCCAATCTCTTTTTCTTTTATTTCTTCCTCTCTTTTTCTCTTTCCTCACCCCACTCTCACATTTTTGGTGGGCAAGGGCATCCTAAGAGTAACTGATAGTTGCCCTTCTAACCATTTGGCTTCTCATGGATATCTACAGCTCACGTCTATTAATAATTTTATTTATTATTGAGATAAAATCCTCATGCAATGGGTCTATTAAAATGCGTGATGTTTCAGCTGTGGTTCCACACTGATTCATACCCTGACTAGAACGTGATCATAGCTCTAGGCCTTCACTCCAAGCCGTTGGTAGTCCCTGAGGTTCACTTCTCAAAAATCAGTTCAACTGATGTTGGTTAATGAACTTGTTGAAGCTTAGTTAAGGAGAAATGCTTTATGTATACAGAAAATTCTCCAACCTCCTCCATAGCACAAAGGATCACAAAGTCATGAGCTTCTTCATAAAATGTCCACATTAGAGCACGCAAAATCTACTCAGACATTCACGTGTGACTATCAGTCCACTTACTGTCATTTAGAGATGAAGCCACTCACCAAAACTTTGGTATTTTTGAAAGGGCCCATGAATTTTGAATTTATGCCAATTTACTTCCTCCATCATTAGTTTTACTTTTCCAGAAAAAGTTGACTGTCATGAAAAATGTGACAAATATCTTGAGGAATCCATTAATTCCACATTTATAAGAACTGCTATAACGTATTTTCTCACACAATTGTAGAAATATCTATCATGCATAATCTTAACGTAAAGATTTTTGAAGGTGGTACTTTTACCCCAATCTAGCAAAAAAGTGTTATGAAGTGAGCAAAAATTATACCACAATAAAAATACATGTTTTAAAATGTATTTTCATTAGACCGTAAATAGACCTGAAATAGGTTATTTTTAATTTTTAATATAATGGGTGTAGAAGAGCCAAACATAATCAAAATGCCTGCTGGATTTCCATGGAGACAAATCTTGGCCGTTTTCAACCTGTTGACTGCTTCTCCTTAATATACATGTACTCTGAGGCATTGTTTTCTAGTACATACCAGTTTTCTCACTTGCCATGACTTACAATATTTCACCTCTACGATTTTTGTTCTAAAAATTTCAAGAGAAACTGCTTCCGTAATGTTATGATGATCAGATGCAGACTGTCTTGTTAAGTTCTCATTATGCAGAAGGAGGAAAAATATGTTTTTAAAAAGTTCCTGAACATCTAGCATTACAAATATTAAAGATCAGTTCTGCTGAAATGATGGAATCTTCACTGCCTATTACTTCACGAAAATATTTATATATGCTTCTTTTTTCCCAAAATTACATTTCCCTGCAGTGTGACATGACTTATACATGTCTTCACAACATGCTAAACTCCTTTCAAGTTTTACTAAAGTTGTATCTATCACTTGGCAAGCAATTTATTTCATTGGTTATAGAATTTGTTGAAATCATTTTATGAATTGCTATTCCTTGTTTTTTTTTTTTGAAATAGAATATATATTTGCTCTGATAATATATTTTGGACACAGGTAGTTTTGACATTCCCCTATTTAATTTTCACAACCTCATTGGGTCATGGCTAGCTTTATTTTATTTATTTATTTATTTTAAATGTAATCATTGAAGCACCTACATCCCATAATTGAAATACTTGAGGCTATCTTAAATTACCTCCAAATTTTTGTCAGATCTAAAAGAGGTTGGTTGTTTCTAAATGCCAGTTAGATATAAAGTTAAAGTTTTATTATTCCTCTCTTTCTACTGCTTCTTCTTGTCCCCCAGAATTGAAACTTAACCTTGATCTTCACATTCCTGTCTCTCTGAGACAATGCTCTTTCTGGTTCAGATCTCTGCACAGGCTGCAGGGAAGCCCACAAATTGAGTTTCAGAGTCTCAACTCTTATGCTCAGCCATTGTTTCTCAATGCCCAGTACGTACACACTTTTCCTATTTCCTAAGGGTGACTTCCTTCCTTCTTTCCTTCCTTATTTCCTTCCTTCCTTCCTTCCTTCCTTCCTTCCTTCCATCTTTCTCCTGTCTCACTCTCACTCTTGCTTTCTCCTTTCATTTCTTTTTCAGCCTTAACTTCCAGAAAATGTTCTAGTCCCATGAAATATTATACCTGTGTTCTGAACCCTGGTTTGCAGTCCAGTCAACTCTTTTCCTTTACATAATTTTTTATTTCCACGAATTCCTTGCTTACCTTGTCTAACAAACACTCAGTGGGCCTATCCTATTTCACTGTGATAGCTCTACATAACTTCAGATCTTTGGTAGCAGGGCTTGGGACAAAATTTTTACCTCCAAGATTTTGTTGATATCCTACTCAGCAACCAGCTTTACCAAGAAGAGTTATCATAAATGTGGGGTGAATAGAGGGGACAGTAAGAGGCAATATGCTATAGGGAGGAGCCAGGTTAGGAAAGACCAGATAGTGTATTTGGAAGATAATGAGAACATCAGTTTGCCCAGAACATTTGTACAGGGGTACATTTAGAGAGAATTTCAAAGATTAAGATGAAGAACAGAATGTGATCACTTTGTAATGTGGTGAGACAAACTGAATTCCTTGGTACCATGGCCCATGGTCAGAGGACAGTCCTAGGAGCTAGAGAGAGCTGATTTTTCCATTGTTTCAATCATTATGTATCCATATGAGGGAGCTCTAATGAGAATACAGTGGAGATAGATGTGTCCTTCATAGAAAATATTCAGTTATTATTTTGTAGGATACAGGGCCAAAATAATATATACACAAACACATATATGCACACACAAATACGTTGAGACAGGGTCTCCCTCTGTCACCAAGGTTGGAGAGCAGTGATAGGATTATAGCTCACTGCAGCCTTGAACTACTGAGCTCAGGAGATCCTCTTGCCTCAGCCTCCTGAGTAGCGAGGTATACAGGCATGTATCAACACATCTGGCTAATTTTTTTTTAAAGATGCAGTCTTACTATGCTGTCCATGCTGGTCTTGAACTCTTGGCCTCAAAGGATCCTTTACCTCAGCCTCACAAAGTGCTGGGATCACAGGCATGAGCCACCATGTCTGGTGTGTGTGTGTGTGTGTGTGTGTGTGTGTGTGTGCACATATATAAAATTTGTTGGAGTAATGAGGAAAATATAATTCTTGTGGAGTTATTTTCTAAATTTTCAATAAAATCTATGAAAACACAAAACCAACTATAACCTTCTCACCAAACCCTCCATTCTTACTAATACTTATTCCACTCACAGCCTTCCCCTTCACTCCATGTGGGCGGAGCCACTAGAAACTGAAATCAGATATGCTTCCTTCACTTAATGAAGTCATCATAAACTAAGCAATTGAGAAAATCATTGATATTAAAAAGGAGCATTAGTTCTTAGTATTTATAAGATGAAAAACTGAATTGGGAGGAGGAGAATGGAGAACGAGGCTAGGTGGTATTTAGGCAAACGATCTCCATACCCTTACTTACCCAATGAAGCTTTTAGGACAATCATCACACTCTTCGGCAAAGTGTTGAATAAAATTTATCAAGGCCCACAGGTTCTTAGGAATTGGGACATATGAACATATGTCTATTCCTAATACAATCATTGGAAAAGGAAATGGGTTTTAATTAGACCTATCTCTGAGAGTCTCCTGAGGTTTATTTTACATACATAGCTATTTAGATGTGGGGTAGGTATCTGAAAAATGTCAGTTTCCTTAGGAAGAAAAAGAAGGTGGGAAGGGATATTATGCAAAACAAACAAACAAACAAAAAGAAAAACACCAGAGTCTTCTATGGGTCAATATGCTTACTCCTATTTTATACATGAGAACACTAAGGTTGGACGTGTTTATTAAATTGGCCAAAGTCTCAAAGTCTCTTATGTGCAGAGTCAGAATTCAAACCAGATTTGTCAGGCGGAAAAGTCTCAATGAGTTTTACCATTTCTGAAAAAGATGTTTTCACGGCGAACACTGGAATATCTGACTAAAAACACTATATTCTAATCCTGCATGCTGCCTGTGAGGTAAAGGACTTTGTACTTTAAATTTGGAAGGTCAAAATAGTTGACATTTGTTATTCTCTTCACTGAAGAGAATGATTAATAAAATTGACAGAATTTGAGTCTCAGAAACTATGAGTAATTTCAAAACAACTAGAAGGCCAGGCATGGTGAGTCATGCCTATAATCCCAGCACTTTTGGAGGCTTGAGGTGGAAGGATCGCTTGAGCCCAGGAGTCTGAGGCTACAGTGATTGTGCCAGTGCACTCCAGCCCAGGCAACAGAGCAAGACTGTGTCTGGAAAAAATAAAGGAAAAAAAAAAAAAAAAAGGCCGGGCACGGCGGCTCACCCCTGTAATCCCAGCAAAGCCTGGCCGATGTGGTGAAACCCTGTCTCTACTAAAAATACAAAAATTAGCCAGGTGTGGTGATGGGCACCTGTAATCTCAGCTACTCAGGATGCTGAGGCAGGGGATCACTTGAACCCAGGAGGTGGAGGTTGCAGTGAGCTGATATTGCGCCACTGCACTCCAGCCTGGGTGACAGAGTGAGACTCGTCTCCAATAAATAAATAAACAAACAAACAAAACAAAATAAAGTAAAAAAACAACTAGAGATGTGTTAACTAAAAGTCTGGCACGAGATTCCAGGCAATGAGAAAAATCTCTTAAAAGTAGTTTAAAATTACCCCAGTACTTATCTGATATAGCCATTCATCTTGCTCTTTCCCTGGAAAAAAATGACTTTTTATATTTAAAATGTCTTTTTAATTTATAATAAAAAAAGTAATAGCAATAACAATTGTCTTGGTTCTTGACCTTTGGAAACATAGGGGATGATAGAGCAAAAGGTAAATTTTCCTATAAAGCTGTGCATGTAATGATTAGTTTTTCTCCAAACCTGTGCTGTGTGGCTTTTCCCAGGCTGAGACCCTCTCTTTATTCATATGAAGGGTTTTTATATTGGCATTTCTTTGTTTGTTTTGTTCAAAGGAGTGCCCATTCTTATGAAAATGACAGGTAGTTGGAATTGTAATTTTATTTTCAACATCCTTATCAAGAAGATTATAAACCAACATGGTCTGGTGGGACACTAATATTAGCACCAAAGTCTTTGCAGTTTAATAAGTGTAAGAGAAGAAGCCTGAACGGAAATCCCTCCAGGGACAATGGATGGACATGGCAAGGCAATCTGCTAGTTTATAAGAACATAGAAATAGAGTGACCCTATTTATTTCTGTGGTGCTAGAAAGACTATGTATGAGTAAAACAATTGAACAATTACAATGCAGTGTATTGTGAACACTATAAAAACCATAGGAGGGATATATAACTCAATATAAAGAAAGAGCTTGTGAGACATTTCTGGGAAGAAATGTTTGCATAGAGCTTTAAAGACATCAGATAGGCAAGAAGGCAATGAGCATTCCACACTGTTAGAGCATGAACATGACTGATGGGGAACATCTACAATGCATGGCAGGCAGTTTGACATCTTGGCATTTATTTCTAGAACACAGTTTAAGTTTGGAGAGATTGGATGGGTTCAGATGCCAAAGGATCTTTGGTACCAACTTAAGGAATTAGATATGTTTTGATAACTAGGTGATATCAAATTTGCATTCGAGAAGACAATTTTAGTAACACTGTTGAGGGTGATTTGGAGGGAGATTATGACCTCAGGAAGGGGGATTTGATTTAAATTTACTGTAGTCTTTTTAACTGACAGGTGATGAAACTAAATGAAGTCAGTATAGAAGAGAAATAAAGAGGAGACAGAGTGATTAATTGTATATTGGGTGTAAGGGAAGAGCCAAAGATATGTTTTCTAGTTTAGAAAACTGACTAGATAGTAATGTAAATTATCAATAACAAAATTATGAGGAAGATCAGGATGAAGCAGGGAGGGGAAAATCAATGAGTTTGATCTGGGACATGTTGAATGTGAAGAACAGATACATGATTGCCTGGAGATGTTCAGTGAGGAGTTGAAAGTACATGCCTGGAGATTCAGAGAGAGGTATCCATTTGATGGAAGTTGAATATTTTCAAATAATTTGATTACTCAGGTAATGCAATTTTTAAAAAGAACAACATTTCTGAAGGAATTATACTTTTAAGGGTGAGGTTGATGGTGAGTCAGGAGAAAACAAAATCAGATTGTTTGCACAAAATGGAAAGAAATGAATTGGGAGAGGTTAATCTAAAGTCACTGTCAAACACAGTAAACAAGCAAATAAGTACATTGATTTTATTCCTGCTATTGCAATAGGGAGACCACTCAAGATGTCAAGATCAGTGTGGTTTGTCTTAGACCTTTTTTTTTTTTAAGACAGTCTCTCTGTGTGGCCCAGGCTGGAGTGCAATGGTGTGTGATCTTGGCTCACTGCAACCTCTGCTTCCCAGGTTCAAGCAATTCTCCTACCTCAGCCTCCCGAGTAGCTGGGACTCCAGGCATGCACCACCATGTCCAGCTAATTTTTGCTTCTTTTTTTTTTTTAGTAGAGATGGGGTTTTGCCATGTTAGCCAGGCTGGTCTCAAGTTCCTGAACTCAAGTGATCTGCTTGCCTAGGCCTCCCAAAGTGCTGGGATTGCAGGCAGGAGCCACCACGCCCAGCCTGTCTTAGACTTTTACAGGGAGGAGTTACAGCGATTTACAATTGGAAAGTTTATGTGTGATCTCTAATTAAAGAGTGGTAAAATTATAATCACAAAGTGCAATGTCGCTGAGATCAAGGAAGAAAAGAGTTTTAAGGATAAGTATGTGCTTATAAATTAAATTAAATTTTTTTTCAACTTTTAGGTTCAAGGAGTACATGTGCAGGTTTTTTATACGGGTAAATTGCATGTCACTGAGGTTTGGTATACTAATGATCCCATCACCAAAGTAGTGAGCATAGTATTCAATAGGTAGTTTTTTGTTTTTTTGTTTGAGACAGAGTCTCGCTCTGCCGCCCAGGCTGGAGGTGCAGTGGCGCTATCTAGGTTCACTGCAAACTCCGCCTCCCGGTTTACGCCATTCTCCTGCCTCAGCCTCCCCAGTAGCTGGGACTACAGGCGCCCACCACTGCACCCGGCCAATTTTGTATTTTTCAGTAGAGATGGGGTTTCACCATGTTAGCCAGGATGGTCTTGATCTCCTGACCTCGTGATCCACCCGCCTCGGCTTCCCAAAGTGCTAGGATTATGGGCGTGAGCCACCGCGCCTGGCCCTCAATAGGTAGTTTTTTTAACTCATTAATCTCCTCCCAACCTCTCCGCTCCTGTAGTCCCCAGTGTCTACTGCTGCCATCTTTATGTCCATATTTACCCAATGTCTAGCTCCCACTCACAAGTGAGAGTATGTGGTATTTGGTTTTCTGTTCCTGCATTAATTTGCTTAGGATAATGGCCTCCAGCTGTGCCCATGTGGCTACAAAAGACCTGTTGCTACAAAAGACATGATTTTATTTGTTTTTATGGCTGTGTGGCATTCCATTTTGTATATATACCATATTTTCTTTATCCAGTCCACCACTGATGTGCAGCTAGGCTGATTACAGGTCTTTGCTATTGTGAATGGTGCTGCAATGAACATAAGAGTGCTTGTGTCGCTGGGTGCGGTGGCTCACGCCTGTAATCCCAACACCTTGGGAGGCCGAAGTTGGGGATCACTTGAGGTCAGGAGTTCGAGACCAGCCTGGCCAACATGGTGAAACCCTGTCTCTACTAAAAAATACAAAAATTAGCCGGGCACGGTGGCGGGCTCCTGTAATCCCAGCTACTCAGGGGGATGAGGCAGGAGAATCTCTTGAACCTGGGAGGCAGAGGTTGCAGTGAGCTGAGATCATGCCAATGCACTCCAGCCTGGGCAACAGAGTGAGACCCTGTCAAAAAAAAAAAAAAAAAAAGAGTTCTTGTGTCTCTTTTGTAGAATAATTTATTTTCCTTTGGGTATATACCCAATAGTGGGATTGCTAAGTCAAATGGTAGTTCTGTAATCAGTAGCATCTCTATACACCAATAACGTCCAAGCTGACAGTCAAATCAAGAATTCAATCCCAATTTACAATAACCAGAAAATGGATAAAATACCTAGGAATACAGCTAACCAAGGAAGTGAAAGGTCTTTATAATGAGAATTACAAATCTCTGATGAAACAAAGCAGAGACAATGCAAACAAATGGAGTAACATTTCATGCTCATAGGTAGAAAGTAACAATATTGTTAAAATGACCATACTGCCCAAAGCAGTTTACAGATTCAATGCTATGTCCATGAAACTACCAATGTCATTTTTCACAGAATTAGAAAAAACTATCCTGAAACACATATGAAACAACAACAACAAAAACCTGAATACCCAAAACAATTCTAACAAAAAGAGAAAAGCCAGAAGCTTCACACCACCTAACTTCAAGCTATACTACAAGAATATAGTAACCAAAACAGCATGATACTGGTACACAAACAGACATATAGACAAATGGAACAGGATAAAGAATTGACATGAGGCCACACACCTACAACCATCTGATCTTCAACAAAGTTGGTAACAAGTAAATGGGGAAAGTACTCTCTATCTAATAAGTGGTGATGGGATAATTGGCTAACTATATGCAGAAGATTTAAACTAGACCCTTTCTTTCATCATATACCAAAATTAGATCAAGGAGGGTTAAAGATTTAAATGTAAGACCTAAAATCCTAAAAACACTAGAAGAAAACCTAGGAAATACCATTCTGGACATGGGCCACAGCAAAGAGTTTATGACCAAGTCTCCAAAAGCAATTGCAACAGAAACAAAAGTTGACAAATGTGACCTAATTAAAGAGCTTCTGCACAGCAAAAGAAACTATCCATAGAGTAAACAGACAACCTACAGAATGGGAAAAGATATTTACAAACTACACATCTGACAAAGGTGTAACGTACATAATCTGTAACAAGCCAACAAGCAAAACATAACCGCATTAAGAAGTGGGCAAAGGACACGAACAGACACTTCTCAAAAGATGACTTGCATGTGGTCAAAAAGTATATGGGAAAAAATGCTCAAAATCACTAATCATTAGAGAAATGTGAATCAAAACCATAATGCGTTACCATCTCATACCAGTCAGAATGGCTATTACTAAAAAGTGAAAAAATGACAGATGTTGGCCAGGTTGTGGAGAAAAGGGACCACTTATATACTGCTGATGGGAATGTAAATTAGTTCAGCCACTGCGGAAAGCAGTGTGGAGATTTTTCAAAGAACTTAAAACAGTTTATTTAATTCAAATGAATAGTGAGAAAAAAATCCTTTCTTCAACTAGATAATCAATAATGAGGTTGGAATGAGTAGTCTGAGAAGAATAGTAAGCATACAAGTCAAACTGCATGTGGTATGTAATATGAGTGATATGTGAAAAATCAAAGTTGTATTTTCTCATAAATTTACTCAATAAATTGTTGGGTGGAGATAGAGTAATTAGTAAGTATAGCAGAATCAAAGGATGATGACACCATATTTGGCTAGGCAGAAGGAGAGTAGTGGGTGTAAAAAGGATTAAGAATGTTATTTTTATAAATTCAAATTGTCCAATCATGTAATCAAAATTTGGTATGGATCAGATTCTCTATAGCTAAATTAAGACATCAAAGATATGATTAGGACAATGAAAACTTTGGGGAAAAGATAAGTAGACTAATGGAATGCAAATCTAAAACAATAAACATTGTTTTATTTAATAATAATTTTAAAATATTTAAATTTAATATTAATAAATATAATTAATGACTTGAAAATTATAATATTTATTATTGTAGTTACTAAAAATAAAGATATAAATGTTTAATAACAACTGACATTAATTGATGTATTTTTCTTATGGATTACAAACTAGGTTAGGACTTTGATAAATGAAATCAATGTGGGAAGGAAATTTAAATGATAAAACATAAAAATGCTGAACTGTTTTAGGTCTTACGTTTGAGTCTTTAATCCATCTTGAGTTAACTTTTGTATACGGTGTAAGGAAGGGATCAAGTTTCAGCTTTTTGCATATGGCTAGCCAGTTTTCCCAACACCATTTATTAAATAGGGAATCCTTTCCCCATTGCTTGTTTTTGTCAGGTTTGTCAAAGATCAGATGATTGCAGATGTGTGGTTATTAAATAGGGAATCCTTTCCTCCTTGCTTGTTGTTGTCAGGTTTGTCAGAGATCAGATGATTGTAGATGTGTGGCATTATTTCTGAGGCCCCTGTTCTGTTCCATTGGTCTACATACCCGTTTTGGTACCAGTATCATGCTGTTTTGGTTACTGTAGCCTTGTAGTATAGTTTGAAGTCAGGTAGCATGATGCCTCCAGCTCTGTTGTTTTTGCTTAGGATTGTCTTAAGAAACTATCATCAGAGTGAACAGGCAACCTACAGAATGGGAGAAAATTTTTGCAATCTATCCATCTGACAAAGGGCTAGTATACAGAATCTACAAAGAACTTAATCAAATTTACAAGAAAAAAACAAACAACTCCATCAAAAAGTGGGTGAAGGATATGAACAGACACTTCTCAATAGAAGACATTTACACAGCCAACAAACACATGAAGAAAGCTCCTCATCACTGGTCATTAGAGAAATGTAAATCAAAATCACAATGAAATACCATCTCATGCCAGTTAGAATGGTGATCATTAAAAAGTCAGGAAACAACAGATGCTGGAGAGGATATGGAGAAATAGGAATGCTTTTACACTGTTGGTGGGAGTGTAAATTAGTTTAACCATTGTGGAAGACAGTGTGGCGATTCCTCAAGGATCTAGAACTAGAAATACCATTTAACCCAGCAATCCCATTACTGGGTATACACCCAAAGGATTATAAATCATTCCACTATAAGGGCACATGCACATGTATGTTTATTGTGGCACTGTTCACAATAGCAAAGACTTGAAACCAACCAAAATGCCAATCAATGATAGAATTGATAAAGAAAATGTGGCACATATACACCATGGAATACTATGCAGCCATAAAAAAGGATGAGTTCATGTCCTTTGCAGGGACATGGATGAAGCTGGAAACCATCATTCTCAGTCAACTAACACAAGAACAGAAAACCAAACACCGCATGTTTTCACTTATGAGTGGGAGTTGAACAATGAGAACACATGAACACTGCGGCAGGGGGACATCACACATTGGTGCCTGTTGGGGGTTTGGGGCTGGGGGAGGGATAACATTAGGAGAAATACCTAATGTAGATGATGGGTTGATGGGTGCAGCAAACAACCATGGCACGTGTATGTAACAATCCGGCACGTTCTGCACATGTACCCCAGAACTTAAAGCAAAAAAAAAAAAAAAAAAAAAATGCTGAACTCTGTGAGATAGTAAAGACATTTAATTGCATAGAGAAAGAGTTACAGCATGTTTGCGCCTCGATTGCAAAGATCTTTCTCCCATCGGAACTAGTAATTTTTAATATGTCCCATTGTATCAGCATGTGGAACATAAAGTGCTTAGAATTAAAAAAGACTGCAGTTGACAAGGCCATGTAAGCAGACAATGAAATATCCCCAGAGTGATTAATGGGAAATATTTGGCAAACATAGTGAAATTACAAATATCCCCAGGAAAACTCAATTCTCAAAGTGAACTTTGAGAAACTGTGTATCTAGGAATAGATTTCTATGAGCAAGAAGATTTCTGACTAAACAGAGTGTTATGTCAGCCCATGGATCTTTATATTAGCACAACATTATGCAATTAGAGCACAAATATAAATATACGTTGTCAATATTATATAGGAAGAAAGGATCTCATCATTTTTAACTTACCTTCACACTTAAGGATTTCTAAATTGTTAGCCAAAAACAGTCAATGATCCAAGGCCTGATACACTTTGGAATTCTTTTAATCTTATATTGTTAAAGTTCTATTACGTATCACATGCTTATTTATTTCTTTTGCTTTGTTTTGTCTAATGCTTGTCTGTGTCAGCCTATTTCTTTATTAAAACAGGGTTTTTGTTTGATATTTAATATTTCTATTGATAGAAAATCAAAGAATCTTGAAAGAAAATGTTAGACAAATGTGTTTTTCATCTTTGATGAAAAATAAGTTCATGTGCATTTATACAGTGCTGTTAGGACTACAAAACATTTTAAAGCATTTAGAAAGGAATTCAATGATAGAAATATAAAATAAGAAGGTGCATCCCCTTTTACAACGGATTCTGAGTCTATGTCTAGATTGAAGTCTAAAAATTAACTTGAAATTACACAAGAAAAAATACTTTGGGTTAAAAGATATTTACTGAAGAGATACAAATTGAAAATAACCCCAATTTGTAACTACAGGAACATGAAGCCTATGTAGTTGATTAAATAGTATACAGACGTTAAAATATTGTATATAATTAGCCTCATAGCATAGTAAACTGTTAGTGTTACATAAAAAACACTACTATATATATAGACACGTGATTACAATTATATAAAACAACAAAATGACAAGAAATATAAGAAAATGTTACCTGTAGGTTCCTTCTCTGTAAGATTATGGATATTCTGCCATTTTTCCAGATTTATGTATTTTCCACATTTTCTACATGAACATATGCTGTTATATACAAATATAAACCTACATTTTATTTTTTAAATAATAAAAACAGTGTCCTTCACTGAGCCCATATAGGGCTCATGGGAAGAATCTGAGAACAGCTGTTAGTAACAAGCAATTGTTGGTATAAGCATATGCTAATCATGGCACCTGAGGTACGTATAATTAAAATTATTCTCTTGAACTACTGAGATCCAAAAATCATTGATAAATGCAAATGTATTAATTTGATTCATTAGTACACGAAGCTGTTACTTCCTTTGAAGCTATCATGGCTTATATCAATGTCTAATTTGACTAATCTCCTGGGAAGGCCCAGGAGAAATAGAGTCTAGAAAAGGACTGTTCTTCAATGAATAAAGGAGAAAAATTTCTGAAGCACGGGGATAGGGTTAGGAAAACCAGTTAGGAGATGTAATTATTAAGTCAAATCCTAAATACTACCAGTTGTAAGATTCATTATTACTTAATGTATGACTACAAAATTTAAAATGCTGTCAATTAAGTCACAACACAATGCTAATCATAACTTGGAATTTGTATTTTTTCACTCCCTGTAAAAGCTATAGTGCATTTTCTTACACATAGATTTTATCACATATCTCACTTATGCATATGTAAAAAGGAAAATAGAAGAAAAATGAACTTCTAATATGCTTCTAACATTACTTTCCAACAAGAATATGAAAAAATGCTCAACATTACTAATCATCAGAGAAATGCAAATCAAAACCACGAGATAACATCTCAAACCAGTCAGAATGGCTACTATTAAAAAAGTCAAAAACTAACAGATGCTGGTGAGGTTGTGGAGAAAAGGGAACGCTTACATACTGTTGGTGGGAATGTAAATTAGTTCAACTCTTGTGGAAAGCAATGTGACAATTCCTCAAAGAACTTAAAATAGAATTACTATTTGACCCAGCAATTCCATTATTGGGTATATACCCAAAGTGATATAAATTATTCTACGATAAAACACATGCATGCATATCTTTATCAGAGCAGTATTAACAATAGCAAAAACTAGAATCAAACTGAATGTCCATCAACAGTAGACTGAATAAATAAAATGTGATATATATAAATATACCATGGAATACTATGTAGTAATGAAAAAAGAATGAGATCATTTCCTTTGCAGGAACACAGATAGAGCTGGAGGCTATCATCCTAAACAAATTAATGCAGGAAGAGAAAACCAAATACTGCATGTTCTCACTTATAAGCAGACGCTAAACAATGAGAACACATGGACACATAGAGAGGAACAACAGATACTGGGGCCTATTTGAGGGTAAAGAGTGAGAGGAGACAGAGAAACAAAAAAACTACTTATTGGGTACTATGCTTATTACCTGGATAACAAAATAATCTGTACACCAAACCCCCATGATGTGCAGTTTACTTATATAACAAACCTGCACCCATACCCCGAACCTAAAATAAAAGTTTAAAAAAAATTACTTTCAGAGTCTGATTCTTCTGAATGATTTTTCAACTCAGAACTATTTATGTTTTTTCACAAGACTAGCATACAAACTGGCAATAGAATTTTCTTCCAAACTTTCCATATTTTGTTATTGTCACTTTCTTGATTATATTAGAAAGTGACACATAATCTTTCCTCAAGTGGTTTTAAAATGGTTTGTACACAGAAACACTGAGGGAGTATCATTGTCTAATAAGAAATAATAGCCAAGTTCACATATCCAGTGGCACTAAACAACGATGCTGACTAGCCAGCAGTGATTATAAGCTCCTAGACATGGTAAAGTTTATCCCAATTTTACAGGAGTTTTTTTTTTTTAAGTATTTCAGAATCTGTGAAATAAGGTAACAGAACAAAAGATAGTAGGATAGTAAATACTGTGTAGGTCCTGGGCGGCAGGAATACAGGCAGGGGACAGTTTGGTAGTTCAGGATTCAAAAAGAAAGACCAATGGCCACTAATGATAAACTTGCATATTTAACTTTCTGAAGTAAGCATAGCTGGTGTCATTATTTCCATTTTATAATAGACAACTATATCCAGTGATTTATATAGAGTAAGGAATAATCTAAGTTTTCTGATTTCTGGAACAATTTGTATTACTCTGTCATCATAAAGATATCCATTAAAAGGGATACAGAATTAATTAACATATATAGATATGGTAATTACCTATACTTACTCAATAAAAGGGATATGATATTGAATATATATACACAATAACAAAGGGATACAAACTGAAACAATATTCAACAAAATATACAAACAAAACATATCAACAAAAGGGATATAAAATTAATTAAACGAGCTAAATATTTAATTATATATTTAAAAAATAAGTAAAACAGATGTTAACCATAACTCTTTGGTTACCCTAAATACATAGTTGTTCAAAATGCCAAACCAATGCATGCATTTTTTACATTATTAATACCTATAAGATGTATGTATTTTATCACATCACTGTATAGCTCTCTACCTCTCTCATTCTTTCTCTATTAATGCTCTTTTAAATCTGATTCCTCTAAGTTTATTTCCTTCCTGCTAGCTGTACTTCTTGCCCTCCTCTGTTTCTCACTTTGTGGAGGTCTCTTTAGTAATTATGCCACTCTGCTAATTAAGTTCAAGCCTAAAAGCTTTGCCGACTCTTAAATTGCATGCCAATTTAGCTTTTAATTCCTTTCTACATATTATGTCTTATATGACCCTGATATAATGACTTCCTGTTTGCATTTCAAACACCTGCTTGAATTTGGATTTTAAAACCGTATACTTTTATTTATATCTACACAGTCACTACCTTATTGTCACTATCATTTTTTAGCAGCATCCTTCTGTCCACCTCTATTGATGTATACTTGACAAATAAAAATTGTATATATTTAAAGTATACATTGTGCTATTTTGATATGCATATTCATTTTGAAATGCTTATCAAAATCAAGATCATTAGCATATTAATCATCTCACAGAGTTATGGTTTCTTTGTGTGTGTGTGTGTGTGGTGAGAAAGCTTAAGGTCATCTCTCAGCAAATTTAAGTATACAATATGGTATTATTAACTGTAGTCACCATGCTATACATTAGACCTCCATAATGTATTCATCTCACATAAGTAAACATTTCCATCCTTTGACCAAAAATTTTCCAGTTATTTATTAGGCTTTTAAATTTCTTTTGAAATACAATAAAATTAATTATAATACACATATAATTAAATATACAATTATTCATCTACAGCTGTAAATCTTTTAATATTTATCTTTTAACTTCAAAAATTGCACTATCATAAGGAAGCAGAAATAGTATTAAGTTTCCTTGTGGTTGAGAAGACTAAAGTAATTACAATAATGAATTATAACTTTAAAAATCAAATTACGGTGTTCCTTTCTTTGTTGTTAGCTTCATTGATCTACCCATTATGCTGCTTTTCTTCCAAGAAATTGGGAGAAAAAGAACATTTGTGTAGCTATTTAGAAGATTAATAAAGTGTAGTTGGTTATTTGTAATCAGGGTTCTTGTTGACTCCCAGATCTATTTCAATAGCTTGTACAATTCAGCAACCACGAGGGATGCTAGTAGAATATTTAATAAAGAAGGTTATATTCAGAATGCACTATATTTTTCTTCTTCCTGACAACATAAATAGGATTATCCTGAGCAATTAAATATTCACACAAAGGAAGACAAGAAACCCTTGGACAAGACAGTTAAAGATTATGGTATTTTAAACCTGCAATGGTGGCATGTGTTATTGTTCTCTTGGCTATAATTTGTTCAGGTGCTTTTATCAGGCAAGGGCATCTAAAATGCATTGTAAATTGAAGAAGTAGCAAGGTGTGCAAACAGTAGATTTTTAAAACTCCATGACAATGATAAATAAAAATACATATTAACCAGTATATAAGAAAAACAATAAATGAATGTAATGAAACGAGACAAATGAAATATATTTCCTGATTTTCAAATTATATGATTTTAGTGTTGAAATAATTAGGCTTGAAATACATGTAATCACTAAAGAAGAGAATTAAGAATCTGGGTTTAGTGATAAATACACTTACTTGGGAAAAATTACCACTCTGAACCAAGCTCTCTGAAAATGTAAAAATTTTACTCTCGATAACTTGAAAAATCTATAGATATTAATGAAAAAGTCCTCTATAAAGCTCTACTAGTATACTGCCTTTGTAGCCCAGATACAAAAGCAAAGTTTGATTTGCTAAGAAATGCAGTAGTCAGGGTAATTAGATTTTTTTTAAACTCCAGGATACAGTTCATCTTGAAATCTCTCTGAATTATTATTTGGGCTTCTCCTGAAAATAAATTATCCTGCTAGTCCTCTTTACAGCGTATCAATTTATTTTCATCACAGCTGACTCTATCTGAACCCAAACCTGAAAGGACTAGTGATGATTTCTGAGATGTTTTTCAGAAAATCATTGTTAAAAGCTGATATGTCCTCTTTAGAACACTTTAACTTTCCTAGTGATAAAAAATAATGATAGAAAAAATAATTGGACTAGTTTCCTGGGTCTACTTATTGGATCAATTAAAAGTTTAAATATTATTTTTAGGTACAACCTAAGTAGTCTCTTCTTTTGTAATCATCTTAACTTCATCATCTAATTAATCTTGCTTAAGGTCTTCTAACTGTCTTAGAATAACTTAAGACATCAAAAGAGGCACGCATAAAGAATTCATCATTAAATACTAACAAAATAAAAGCAAAGCTCAATGTAAATTCCCATTTTGACCTAGAATTTTCTTTAGGTATACCCAAATACTTATCAACCTGATTATTATTATTTCATCAAATTAAAAATAGTTTTTAAGAACACAGTTTATGTTAATGTAAGACTAAAATGTTTGAAGATTTGGGGTAATGCATTAATTTATTAAAAATTATTTCCAATCAATTCAAGTTTTCTATAACTTTTCCCTAAAGACGACCTCTCTGACTTCTTTCAGGGTTCCATGCAGGTAAAAAGGCTGGTGATACTCACCTACCATGCGAAGCACTAAATTCACCACAGCCCTCCACATAATACAGCCTTTGGGCCCTAGCTCATGGATAAGCAGTATTTTCCTGATTAGCCATGTTACTGCTCAAAAGCTGCTTATCCATTTCTTGTCCAGTCCCATCAGAAACACTGAAAAAAATGCAGAAAGTTAGAGACATATCCAGCCCTTAAGCAGGAAATTGGGGATGGGCTGCAAGAAATAATTGGATAGCCTCGCCTAACAAACTGACTAGAACAATTTTGACCTCAGCATTAACAAGTTGTGTGACCATAGGCAAGTTGTATGGCCTCTTTAAGCTTTAGTTTATTTACCTGTCATGTGGAGTAATACTAATAGCCAGCTCATATGTCATTGAGGATCAAATGAGATAATGCATTTAACACAGAGGAAGCAAGCAAGCCAATAAATGCCAGTGTTTGATGTTGATGGTGTTACTTTCCCTACGAGCCACAGAGTATTCAAAAAATATCCTGTTTCACTTAATTACTACTTCTTGTATATATGCTGCATTTATTGCAATATACTCTGATATGTTTAACTTTTAGAGTCAATAAGATAAGTCAATATGTCTTTGTTATTCAGAAAGGAGATACATAGTCCTGGCATCGATAATAAGAATATAAGAGTTCTTAGAGAAGAATGCAGAACTGTTAAAGTAGCTCTTTATTAAGTGGGAATGAAAATTTCTGACTCCCTCTATGTCTCTCCTTTTTGTATTTGGTCTTCTGAGACTCTTCCAAATGAGGGAAAATGGCTAAACAAGACTTCTGCTAAAAGGAGGGAATCAGGAAATCAAGAAGGGAGCTGAAAATAAATACATCAATTTTCAACCAGATGATCTACCTGCCTATTACACTCTGTGTATTTTTTTTATTCCTTAGCTTTAGTAAAATAATATGTAAGTGTTCTAGAACAGTACTATACTGTGCTGTAAATACAACTTAATCACTGAGAGATTCCAAAAGTGAAGGAGAAACACAAGGTTTAAGATTTAAGGATAATCCATCATCCTTCCTGAATAAAGATATCCTGTTCATTGCCAAATTGGAGAGATTGGGATTTTATTTTGTAAAAATTTTCAGTGCATTTGGAGTAACCTATTTTAATCCTATGGGATACACACAGGCAGTACTCTGTTCAAACTGCTGGTCAAAAGGAAACCTAAGCTTGGGCACTAAGAACACTTCAACTGTAGAAGTGAAGAAACTCCTGCTATCTGAAAAGACTTCAGTTCATCAACTCTATCAAGGCCCTGAGGAATCAATGGCCTTTAACTTCCTGAGAGGGAAGTTTCCTTATGAGAAGCACTAGAGACACAAGCCATACCTGACAAGCAAAAGAAGAGATCAACCTCAGTAGAAATATCTCCAAGTATTTTTGAGTGTTTTATCACACCTACTCTATACAGTAAAGGATTTTACTAAGGTATTAAATGAAACATTGTATAAAGCATAGAAAACATAAAAATGGAATCCCAGATTTAATTCCACATTATATTTTAATAACATTAATCTTAACAATTGAACTGTAGTTTCCTTAATTTGTAAAACAATGTATCTCATCTTTTGTCAGAAGAAGGTATAACATGAGAATTAATGGGAACTTTTTTAAACCCTTAAATGAGGCTTTCAGTGACATATAAGATATTTTTATCTTGCTCCCCTTTATTAAACTAATATAAAAATTGCAAAACAGAAGAAAATTTCATCTTCGATGAACCAGAGAAAGAAGCAGATCTTCAAAGAACTTCAGTAAACACTCTGAAATCTATGTTCTGAGAGCTAATTAGATGTTCTGAGTGCCAGAACATAATAAAAATGTGCTTAAAATCATGGTAATATCTCTGAAAAAAATTCTGTGCAATACAACAGGAAAATAGCAAAAGCATTGTTGAAGAACAAAACTTGCTGACATAAAATTTCTGGTTGAGACAAAAGCATCAGAAGAAATAAGGAGGATTTTGTCTCTGCTTGAGACAAAAGCATCAGAAGAAATAAATTGAGGAGGATAACTGTCAGTTTTAAAAACAGAGTTTATGGAGCCTTGTTTTTAGCCATGGAGACCCCATGAAAACCAAATTCAAAATTAGACTTATCCTAGAAAAGAAAACAGATATAGAAGATGTTCTGGCCCCACTCATGTCAGTTTCAAATACAATATTTGAAAGTAATTCCTGGCTTTACACTTCCCTGCAACCTTAATAGACACACACACACACACACACACACAATTCCTTTTTTTAAACTTTTATGTTTAAGTTTGGGGGTGCATGTGAAGGTTTGTTACATAAGTAAACATATGTCATGAGGGTTTGTTGTATATAATTAATTATGTTGTATATGTTATATATATAATATATATATAACACCTGGGTGATTAACCCAGGTGTTAAGCCCAGTACCCAATAGTTATCTTTTCTACTCCTTTCCCTCCTCCTGCTTTCCCCCCTCAAGTAGATCCTGACTTCTGTTGTTTCCTTCTTTGTGTTCACAAAGTTATTATCATTTAGCTTCCTCTTATAAGTGAGAACATGTGGTATTTGGTTTTCTGTTCCTGTGTTAGTTTGCTTAGTATAATAGCCTCCAACTTCATCCATGTTCCCACAAAAGACATGATATCCTTCTTTTTCATGGCTCCATAGTAGTCCATGGTGTATATGTACCACATTTTCTTTACCCAATCTGTCATTGATGGGCATTTAGATTGATTCTGTATCTTTCCTATTGTGAATAGTGCTGCAATTAACATCTGCACACATGTGTCTTTATGGTAAAATGATACATGTCTCTCTGTGTATATACCCAGTAATGGGATTGCTGGGTTGAATGGTAGTTGTGTTTTTAGCTCTTTGAGGGATCACCATAATTATTTCCACAATGGTTGAACTAACTTACATCCCCACCAATCGTGTAAAGTGTTCCCTTTCCTCTGTGACCTCACCAGTATCTGTTATTTTTTGACTTTTTAATAATAGTTATTCTGAATGGTGTGAAATGGTATCTCACTGTGGTTTTCATTTGCATTTTTCTAATGACCAGTGATGAGCTTTTTTTCATATGTTTATTGGCCACATGTATGTCTTCTTTTCAGAAATGTCTGTTCATGTCCTTTGCCCACTTTTTAATGGGGTTGTTCGTTTTTCTCTTGTAAATGTGTTTAAGTTCCTTATAGATGCTTGATATTAGACCAAAGATGCATAGTTTGCAAATATTTTCTCTCATTCTGTACATTGTCTGTTTACTCTGTTGATAGTTTCTTTTGCTGTGCAGAAGCTCTTATGTGATCCCACTTGTCAATAATTGCTTTTATTGCAATTGCTTTTGTGTCTTTGTCATGAAATCTTTGCCTGTTTTCATGTCCAGGATGGTATTGCCTTGGTCACAACGTTACTCTAGAACATAGCCAACCCTGCTAAAAATAAGAAGTAATCAGAAAGAAGAGCATTAAAAAGAGCATTATTTTTTTAATTGAAGGAATAAATGTAAGCAGTTAAGTTAAATAACAAATACTACAACAGAAATGTCTCAAGAGTACTCTAAAAAATGATCAGGTGCAGGAATAGAAAAGAGAGTATGATATTTACTGAGAGAGAGCTCAAAATAAAGATAAAATAGCTCTTAAAAGAGAATATAAGGCAAAAGAAAATAGAAAATAATCAGAGACCAGCATAAAATTATAAAAATAAAAAATATTATAGGAGTTAAAGTCATATTAGAGTAACACAGATACAATATTACAAAACATAAAAATGGTAGCTAGACCTGAGAAATGACAAAAAAAAAGAAATGCAAAAGACCAAAGACATTAAAATTATTATAAAGAAGATTCTAGTAAGTTAGATAATGAAGAGCAAACAGCAAAATTCAGCATTCTGAGAAAAAAAATAGAAAGCATAACATTTAAAAAGAAGTGCTCAAAGACATAATAAACCCTGGGTCCTGCAGCTGCTACTATTCTAGAAATGTGTGACCCAGAGGCTTTTAACCTAAAGATAGATTTTAGTGACCATGTAGTAGAAGGAGTACAAGATAGTTAGGGAACCAAGATAAGATATAGTAAACACTGAAATCTCCTGCAATAAACTATAATCTTTATAAATAGATAATTTTTAATTATAATGGAGACACACCTGATTACTTACAAAGAATAATTGATGTGTTAATTCCAAGTATGGTTCATGTAATGACCAGAAACAAGTAGTCAGGCCAAAAGAAAGAAAAAGACAAAAATCTTAAACTATACCCATTGTCTGCTGTGATGGAGCTGTGACTAAAGCCACCATTTTGAGTTGAAAACTCCTTTCTCCACTGTAAGGACAAAAGTCATGTCAATAGGAGACATCCACAGCCCAAAATGTGTTAGGGAAAATTCCCTTATGAAATGTGAGCTTTCAGAGATCACCACAAGGTGACATCAGCAATGTGGTGACTAGGAAGCACCTGGCCCTCATTGCCCTGAGGAAACATCAGGTAAACAACGGGGTGTATAAAATAGCTCTACGGGAGTTCCAGAAACCACCCAAGAATCTGCAGAAGCCAAGAGAGCATATAATCCAGAAGAAAAAACCTACAAAATGGTTGAAGAATTCAAAAAGTTTTTACTTACTCATGCCTCATCCTCCCCTTGCCACAGCATAGTGTTGTCAAAAGGAAGCTGCCCCAATTTTAGTTACTCCCTTGGGATAGAAGTAAGTAAAGAAGAAATTGGTGGCAGTGTTTTGTCTTGTCCATCGGCTCCCAGAGTATGGGATTCTGTCTTGCCTGACTCAGAGCTCAAACAGGAATCGTGGCATAGTTAGGATCTCAGATTGCAGGCCTCTGAAATCTATAGTGGGCTCTGTGACATGCAGAAACATTAGCGAGACTGAATCACTGTGGGCACTGGGAACAAGAAATTGCAGAAAGACAAATAGAGTAGAATATCCAAGGCCCTGAGAAGAGGCAGGGATGAGGCATGTAGCAATTTTAAGACATTAAATACAGCTTTGTATGAGGGCAATATGGGGAAAATGTGCATGCATAGGCCCAGGGAAGATATATGTCCAGAAAATTCCTGAGAAGACTTTAAGTATTTATGCCAGTCAGATTAATGAAGGTCTCTCCCTCACAGAGCCGGTCTGCAAAGATTGGAAGAGGTGACTATTTTTCCAAATGTCCAACTTATAAAAAAACTCGGTGAACATACAAAGATACAAGGAAACATGGACAATTAAAAGTAATAAATTTCTATTAATCAACCCTGAAGAAATACAGGCTTTGTACTTACTAGACAAAGATATTAAACTAACCATCATAAACATGCTCAGTGAGCTAAAGGAAAAACATGGACGCAGAACTAGAAAAATTAGGAAACCAATATATTAACAAATGTGAATATCAACAGAGATAGAAACTGTAAAAAATCACCAAAAAGAAATTCTGGATTAGAAAAATAATATAACTGAAGTTAAAGTTTTACTAAAGGAGATCAACAGCAGACTTGCATAGGCAGAAGAAAAAAAATAAGTAAACATGGATAAAAGTCATTGAAATTATTTAGTCTGAGGACCAAAAAGAAACCAAATGAAGAAAAGTGAACAAAGCCTAAAGGAATTATGGAACAACATCTAACTGATCAATTCTTAGAAAAGAGCAGAAAAATAGAAAGAGAGCTTATTTAAATAAATAATGACTAAAAACATTCAATTTTGAGGTAAAAAATAGATATGCAAATAAAAGAAGGTAAATAAATTCCAGGTAGGATAAACTTAAAGAGGTGCACAAGGAGAAACACTATAATCACATTTTTAAAAGGCCATTTGTATGCTATCTTTTGAGAAATGCATATTCAGATAATTTGCCCATTTTTAAATTGGATTATGTGGTGTTTTGCTATTGAGTTGTTTGAGTTCATTATATATTCTAGTTATTAATTCCCTGGCAGATGGATAGTTTGCAAGTATTTTATCCCATTCTTTAGATTATCTCTTCACTCTGATGATTGTTACTTTTGCTGAACAGGAGCTTTTAAACTTGACATAATCCGATTTCTCTATTTTTGCTTTTGTTGCTTATGTTTATGAGGTCTTACCCAGAAGATTTTTGCCCAGTCCAAGCCTGGCAAGAATTTTTCCAATGTTTTCTTCTGGTAGCTTCATAGTTTCATGTCTTACATTTAGTCTTTAGTTCATTTTGATGTAATGTTTGTGTATGATGAGAGATAGGAATCTAGTTTCATTCTTATGCATATGAAACCAGTTTTCCAACCACTGTTTATTAAAGAGATTTTTGCCCAATATGTGTCCTTGATATTTTTGTCAAACAGAAATTGACTTTATATGTGGACTTATTTCTGGGCTATCTATCTTTTACGTTTGTCTATGTGTCTGTTTTTATTCTAGTATTATGCTATTTTGGTTAATTTAGCTTTGTAGAATATTTGGAAGATAGGTCATGTAAAGCCTTCAGTTTTGTTATTTCTGCACATGATTGATTTGGCTAATCAGGGTCTTTTGTGGTTACCTATGGATTTTAAGGTTGATTTTTTTTTTATTTCTGTAGAGACAGTCATGGCATTTTGATAGGAGTTGTGTTGAATCTGTAGATTGCGGTAGTATGGATATTTAAACAATTAATTCTTCCAAACCATTAGCATGAAATATCATTCCATTTGTTTGTGTTCTGCTTAATTTATTTTATTGTAGAGATCTTTCATCTTTTTTATTAAATTTATTTCGAGGTGGGGTTTTTTTGTTTCTTTTGCTTTATTTTTGCTATTGTAAATGGAATTGCTTTCTTGATTTCTTTTCAGATTGTTCACTGTTGGAATATAGAAATGCTACTGATTTCTGTTTGTTGATTTTGTATCCTGCAACTTTACTGAATTTCCTATCAAATCAAATAGTTTCTTGGTGGAGTTTAGGTTTTTCCAAATATGAAATCATGTAATCTGCAAAAAGGAATAATTTTACTTTTTCCTTTCCAATTTGGATGTCCTTGTTATTTATCTTGCCTAATTGCTCTGGCTAGGAGTTCCAGTAATACATTAAATAAAAGTGGTAAACATGGTCATTCTTATCTTGTCTGAGACCTTAGAGGAAAGGCTTTCAATATTTTGTAATTCATTATGGTATTAGCTGTGGGTTTGTCATTCATGACCTTTATTATGTTGAGGTATATTCTTCCTATACACTGTTTGCTGAGAGTTTTTTTTATCATAAAGGGATGTTGAAATTTATCAAATGTTTTCCCACATCTATTGACATGATCACGTTTTTCTGTCTTTCATTCTGTTGATGTGATGTATCATTTTTATTGACTTGTGTATGTTGAACCATCCTTGCATTCCTAGGATGAGTCTCATTTGATCAAAACAAGTAATTTTTTAATGTGTTGTTGGATTCAGCTTGCTAGTGTTTTTTTGAGGATTTTTGCATTTATGTTCATCAGGGATATTGGGCTATAGTTTTATTTTTTGTTGTGTCCTTGTTTGATTTGAGTATCAAGGTAATGCTAGCCTCATAGAATGAGCTTGGGAGGATTTCTTCTTCTCAATTTTTTGAAATAGTATGAGGATAATTGGTATTTATTTTTCTGAAAATTTTTGGTAAAAATTCATCAATGAAGCCAACCAGGCATGGGTTCTTATTTCATAGTTCAATTTTTCTTATTACTTGGATCTCATTATTCATTATTGGTCTGTCCAGGATTTCTATTTCCTCATAATACAATCTTGGTAGACTGTATGTGTCCAAGAATTTATCCATTTTTTTCTAGACTTCCCAATTTGTTGGCATATAATTGTTCGTAATAGTTTCCAGTGATTCTTAGTATTGTTTGGTATTGGTTACACTATCTCCTTTTTCATGTGTGATTTTATTTATTTGGGTTTGCTATCTTTTTGTGGTCAGTCTAGATAAAATTTTTCAATGTATTTATCTTTTTAAAAAATCGTTTATTTCACTGATCTTTTGTAATTTTTTAGTCTCAATTTCATTTATTTTTGCTCTGATCTTTATTATTTCATTCCACGTGCTAATTTTGTGTTTGGTTGTTACATTTTTAATTGTTTGAGGTGCATCATTAGGTTGTTTCCTTGAAGTCTTTCTACTTTATTATGTAAGCATTTATTGGTATGAAATACCCTGTTAGTACTGCTTTTGCTGTATCCCATAGGTTTGGGTATGTTGTGTTTCCATTTTTATTTGTTTCAATACATTTTTAAATCTCCTTCTTAATTTTTCATTGACCCATTGGTCATTCAGGAGCATATTTTTAAAATTTTTATGTATTCATAAAGTTTCCTAAATTCCTTTTGTTACTGATTTGTGGTTTTATTCCATGTGGTCAAAAATATATTTGATATACTTTAGATTTTTTTTAATTTCTTGAGACTTGTTTTATGGTTATACATGTGATCTATTCTGGAGAATTTTCGATGTGCTATGAGAATAATATGTATTTTGCAGAAGTTGGATGAAGTCTTTGTAAATGTCCCTTCAGTTCATTTAGTCCAGAGTTTAGCTTAAGTCTGATGTTTCTTTGTTGATTTTGTGTCTGATGATCTGTCCATTGCTTAAAGTGGGGTGATGAAGTCCCATATTAATATTGTATTAGAGGTTATTTCTCTCCTTATATCTGTTAATATTTGCTTTATCTACTTGAGTGCTCCATTTTTGGATGCACATATATTCATAATTGTTATATCTTCTTATTTAACTGACTCTTTTATCATATATCAACATTTTTTGTCTCTTTTTACTATTTTTTAAAGTGCACTTTATCTGATATAAGTAAACATACTCCTGCTCTGTTTTCGTTTCAGTTTGCATAAAATATCTTTTTTCATACTTTGACTTTTAGTCTATGTGTGTCTTTATAGCTGATGTGAATTTCTTGTAAGTAGCATGTATTTTGTTTTGTCTTTTATCTGTTCAACCATCTGTGTCTTTTAATTGAGGAATGTAGTCCCTTTACATTCAAGATTATTATTGATAAATAAGGACTTTCTCCTGCCATTTTGTTACTTGTTTTCTGACTGAAAAAGAAATCTATAGAATATACAAAAAAGGAAATAATCAGAGAATCAAAACATATTACTCTAAAAACAAAATTAAACACAAACAAGGCAATAAGGGAAGAAATGAAAGACCAATGTAAGACATAAGGAAAACAAAAAGTCCTCACATATAAATAATTAATTTAACTGTAAATGGATTAATTTCTCCAATCAAAATACAGAGAGTGGTTGAATGGATTTAAAAAATCAAGATTCAATTCTTTGCTGTATACAAGAGGCTCATTTTAGATCTAAGGACACACATAGACTAAAAGTGAAAGTATGTAAAATAATATTCAACACAAATGGTAATTAAAAGAGATCAAGCATGACTATACTAATTTCAAACAAAATAAACTTTAGGTAAAAACTGGTAAAAGAGAAAAAGAAGAATGTTATATACCAATAAAATAATTAATACACTGAGAAGATATAATAATTATAAAAATATCTACACCAAACATCAGAGTTCCTAAATATATAAACCAAATATTGACAGAATTGAAGGGAGAAATAGATAGCTTGACAATAATTGTAGGCAACTTTAATTAATACCGCACTTTCAATAATGGATAACACAACCAGGCAGAAGATAAATGAGAAAATAAAAGATTTCAACTACTCTATATACCAATTGGACCTATCAAAGATACACATAACACTCCACCCAACAATAGCAGAATAAGGTATACATTTTACTCAAGCATTCTCCAGAATAGATAATGTGTTAGATCACAAAAAGTCTCATACATTTTAAAAACTGAAATAATACCAAATATCTTCTTACCTTTTTTATTCATATATTTTTAAGGATGGGTTCTCATTCTATCATTTAGGCTGGAGTGCAGTGACACAATCATAGATTGCTGCAGCCTTGAACTCCTGGGCTCAAGTGATCCTCCCACCTCAGCCTCCCAAGTAGCTAGGACTATAGTCATGGACCACCAAGCCCAGCTAATTAAAAAATAAAAAAGTCTGTAGAGGTGGAGGTATTGTTATGTTGCTCAGGTGATCTTGAACTCCTGGCTTCAAGCAACCTTCCCTCCTCAGCCTTCTAAATTTCCAGGGTTACAGGCATAAGCCATCATGCCCAGCCCAAAGTATCTTTTTCAAAAGAAAAATTGGAAAGCCTACTGAAGTGGTTTTTCTCTGTGTCCCCACCCAAATCTCATGTTGAGTTCTAATTGCCAACGTTGGGGGAGGGACATGGTGGGAGGTGATTGGATCATGGGTGTGCATTTCCCTCATGTTATTCTCACAATACTGAGTGAGTTCTCATGAGAGCTGGTGGTTTAAAAGTCTATGACACTTTTCCCTTGCCCTCTCTCTGATGCTGCCATGTGAAGAAGGTGCTGGGTTTCCCTTCACCTTCTGCCATGATTTTAAGTTTCCTGAGGTCTCTCAGCTATGCCTCCTATACACCCTGCAGAACTAAGTCAATTAAACCTCTTTTCTTCATAAATTACTCAGTCTCAAGTAGTTCTTTATAGCAGTGTGAGAATGAACTAACAGAGAAAATTTATACTGGCAATTGGGCACTGCTATAAAGATACCTGAAAATGTGGAAGCAAATTGGGAATTGCGTAACTGGCAGAGATTAGAACATTTTGGAGGGCTCAGAAGAAGACAGGAAAATGTGGGAAAGTTTGGAATTTCCTAGAGAATTGTTGAATGGTTGTGACAAAAATGTTAATAGTAATATAGATAATGAAGTCCAGGCTGAGGTGGTCTCAGATAAAGATAAGAAACTTATTGGGAACTGGAGCAAAGGTCACTCTTTCTATGCTTTAGCAGAGAGACTGGTGGCATTGTGCCCCTGCTCTAGAGATCTGTGGAACTCTGAACTTGAGAGAGATGATTTAGGGTATCTGAGGGAAATAATTTCTAAGCAGCAAAGCACTGAATATGTGGCCTGCTGCTTTTAAAAGCCTATGCTCATTTGCATAAGGAAAGAGATGGTCTCAAATTGGAACTTATATTTAAAAGGGAAGCAGATCATAAAATTTGGAAAATTTGCAGCCTGACCATGTGATAGAAAACAAAAACTTTTTGTGGGGAGGAATTCAAGCCCAAGCTGGCAGCAGAAATTAGCATAAATAAAGAGAAGCCCAACGTTAATAGCCAAGACAATGGGAAAAATGTTTCCAGGCCTTTCAGAGTCCTTCTGGAAGACCCATCCATCACAGGTCTGGAGGCCTAAGAGGGAAAAACGGTTTCATGGGCCAGGCCCAGGGCCCTGCTGCTTTGTGCAGCCTCAGGACATGTCACCCTGTGTTTCAGTTGCTCCAGCTCCAGCTGTGGCTAAAAAGGGGCCAAGGTACAGCTCAGGTTGTGGCTTCAGAGGGTGGAAGCCATAAGTCTTGGTGGCTTCCACGTGGTATTGGGCCTGTGGGTGTGCAGAAGGCTAGAGTTGAGGTTTGGAAACCTCTGTCTAGATTTCAGAAGATGTAAGGAAATGCCTGAATGTCCATGCAGAAGTCTGTTGCAGGGGCCCTCATGGAGAACCTCTACTAGGGCAGTGTAAAGGGGAAATGTGGGGTTGGAGCCACCACACAGAGTCCCTACTGGGGAACTGCCTAGTAGAGCTGTGAAAAGTGGGCCACCATCCTCCAGACTGCAGAATAGTAGATCCACCAACAGCTTGCACTGTGAGCCTGAAAAAGCCACAGATAATCAATGCCAGCTTGCAAAAGCAGCCATGGGGGCTGTACCCTGGAAAGCCACAGGGCCAGAGCTCCCCAAGGCCTTGGGAGCCCACTCCCTGCATCAGTGTACCCTGGATATGAGACATGGAGTCAAAGGAGATTATTTTGAAGCTCTAAGATTTAATGACTGCCTTGCTGGGTTTCAGACTTGTGTGAGGCCTTTACCTACTTTGTTTTAGCCAATTTATCCCATTTGGAATGGATGTATTTACCCAATGCCTGTATCCTCATTATATCTTCAAAGTAACTAACTTGTTTTTTATTTTACAGGTTTATAAAACATGTAAAATAAGGCACTAGCCTTATTTAAAATTTAGATTTTGAAATAATAAAATAAAATAAAAATAAAATAATAAAATTTAAAAATTGAAATAATACCAAATATCTTCTTACCTTTTTTTATTCATATATTTTTTAAAATGGGTTCTCATTCTATCATTTAGCCTGGAGTGCAGTGACACAATCATAGATCACTGCAGCCTTGAACTCCTGGGCTCAAGTGATCCTCCCACCTCAGCCTCCCATGGAGAACTTCTACGAGGGCAGTGTAGAGGGGAAATGTGTGGTTGGAGCCCCCACACAGAGTCCCTACTGGGGAACTGCCTAGTAGAGCTGTGAAAATTGGAAGGCACTAGCCTTGTCTCAGATGAGACTTTGGACTTGGGCTTTGGGTTAAGGCTGGAATGAATTAAGACTTTGGGGGACTGTTATGAAGGAATCATTGTGTTTTGAAATATGAAAAAGACATGACTTTTGGGAGGGGCTGTGGTAGAATGATGCGGTTTGGCTCTCTGTCCCCAGAGAGGGGACAGAGAGCTCTCAGTTCAAATCTCATGTTGAACTGTAATTCCAAATGTTGTGGGAAGAACCTGGTGGGAGGTGATTGGATCATGGATGTGGATTTCCATCATGTTCTCCTCATCATAGTGAGTGAGTTATCATGAGATCTGATGGTTTAAAAGTGTATGGCACCACCCCCTTGCTCTCTGTTTCTCCTGCCTCCATGTGGAAAAGGTGCTTGCTTCCCCTTCACCTTCTGCCATGATTATAAGTTTCCTGAGGCCTCTCAGCCATGCTTCCTGTACAGCCTGCAGAACTGTGAGTCAATTAAACTCCTTCTCTTCATAAATTATCCAGCCTAGGGTAGTTCTTAATAACAGTGTGAGAATGAACTAATACACCTACCAATACGTGAAAATTAAACAACACACTCTTAACAACCAGAAAATATCAGAAATCACAAAGAAAATGTGAAAATATCTTGAGAAAAATAAAAGTGAAAGCATAACATACAAAAACTTAAGTAATGAAACGAAAGCAGTGATAACAGGAAAATGTATAACTGTAAAAGTCTACATTAAAAAATGAAAGACCTTGGCCAGTCATGGTGACTCATGCCTGTACTCCCAGCACTTTGGGAGGCTGAGACAAGAGGATCACTTGAGCCCAGGGGTTCATGACTGTCCTGGACAACATAGCAAGACCCTGTCTCTACAAAACAACAACAACAAAAAATAGCTGGACATGGTGGCATATCCCTGTGGTCCTAGCTACTCAGCAGGCTGGGGCAGGAGGATCACTTAAGCCCAGGCATTTGAGGCTGCAGTGAGCTATGATCACATCACTGGACTTCAGCCTGGGTGACAGAGTGTGATCCTGTCTCTAAGAAAAAAAAAAAAAGGATGAAGAAAAGTCTCAAATTAAAAACCTAAACTTACAATGTAAGAAACTAGAAAAAGAATTCAACACAAAGCTACCAGAAGGAAACAAATAATAAAGATTAGAGCAGTAGTAAAAAAAAAAAACAGAGAATAGAAAATATCAGAGAAAATTGATGAAAGCAAGAGTTGATTTCATAAAAAAAAATCAACTAAATGAAGAAACCTTTAGCTAGATTGACTAAGAAAGTGAAGGAAACCCAAATTACTAAAATCAGAAATGAAGAGAGGACATTGCTATCAATTTTACAGAAACAAAAAGGATTATAAGAAAGTATTTTGAACAATTGTATACAAAAAATAGATAACATAGATAAAATGAACAAATTTCTAAAAATGCACATTCTACCAAGATTAAAATATGAAGTATCAGAAAATATAAACAGGCCTATAACTAATAAGGGGATCAATAATTTTTAAAAAACCCTTAAAAAACAAAAGCCCAGGATCAGATGACCACTGAGTAATTCTATCAAACATTTAAAAACAAATATGAATTCTTCTCAAACTCTTCCAAAAAGTGACAGAAGAGAGAACAGTTCTAAACTTATTCTATGAGGTTGGCACTAACCTGATTCCAAACCAGAAAAAGAAACTACAGATACACATCTCTGATGAACATAGATGCAAAATTTCACAACAAAACACTGGCAAACTAGATTCAGCATCCCACTGAAAAGAGTATACACAATGAATAAGAGGGATTTATTTCTGGAATTCAAGAATGGTTTAAAAGGTGGAAATCAATCCATGTAATTCCACATTAATAAAATTAAGGTAAAAACTCACATCATCTCAAATGATGCTGAAAAAACATTTGACAAAATTTGTCACCTTTTGATGATTTAAAAAAGTCAAAAAACTAGGAACTGAGGGAAACTATCTCAACATAATAAAGTATATTGAAAATATAATGAAAAGTGTAATGAAAAGCCCATGGTTAACATCATAGTTAATGGTTAAATGATGAAAGCTTTTTATCTAAGATTAGGAACCAGATCAAAATGTCACCTTTTGCCACTTATAGTCAACAAAGTACTGGAAGGAAGTCCTTGCCAGAGCAATTAGGCAAACAACAGAAATAAAATGCATCAAAATTAGGAAGGAAAAACAAAATCACCTCTGTTCATGGATACCATGATCTTATATGTAGAAAACCCTAAGTGTTCCTCACACCAAAAAAAAACTGTTAAAGCTAATATTTAAATTTTACAAAGTTACAGGATAAAAATCAACACAGGATTTCATTGTATTTCTTTCTTTCCTTATTTTTTTAATTGGCAAGTCAAATTGTATGTATTTATGGTATACAACATGATGTTTAATACATGCATACATTGTGGAATGACTAAATCAAAATATTTAACACATACATGACTTCATATACTGATCATTTTTGTGTATGTAATGAGAACATTTAAAATTCACTCTTCTATCAATTTTCAAGTGTAAAATATATTATTAACTACAGTCATCATAACATACAATAGATATCTTGAACTTATTCCTCCATCTAACTTAAATTTTGTGTCCTTTGACCAACATACCTAAACTCCCCCACCCCCAACTCTAAAGTGACCACTATTTTACTATCTTTCTATGAGTTCTGCTTCTTAGATTTCACATATCAGAATGATCATGTGGTATTTGTCATTCTGTGCCTAGTTTGTTTAACTTAATATAAGGTCTGTCAGGTTCATTCATGTAGATGTCCTTTTTAAAGGCTGGATAATATTTCATTGTGTATATATATGAGACATTTACTTTATTCATTCATCTGTTGATAGACACTTAGGTTGATTCTAGACTTTGGCTATGTGCATGTGCTGCAATAGGCATAGGAGTTCAAATGTCTCTTGATATACTGATGATTATATATCCTTTGAAATATATATACACAGTAGTGGGAACTCTGGATCATATGTTGGTACTATTTTTAATTGTTTGAGGAACCTTTATACTGTTTTTCATAATGGCCACATTAATTTACATTCCTATCAATAATGTGCAAGGCTTTTCTTTTCTCCACATTCTTGCTAGCAGTTATTGTTCATTGTTTTGATAATAGCCATCCTAACAAGTATGAGGTGATATCTTGTGATTTTACTTTGCAATTCCCATCATAATTACTGACGTTGAACATTGTTTCATATACCTATTGGCCACCTGTATGTCTTCTTTTGAGAAATGTCTGTTTTGGTCCCTTGCCCTTTTTAAAATCAGGTTGCTTTCTTACTCTTGAATTGTTTGAGTTCCTTATACATTTTTTGTATTAACTTATTATCAGATATAGAGTTTGCAAATATATTCCACTATTATTCCATATTGAATTTATCTTTGTATATGGTGTGAGGTAAGGGTCTAATTTCATTCTACTGCATTTGTATATCATTCTCCTAGCACCATTTAAGAGACCGTCATTTCCTCATTGTGTGTTCTTGGCATTTTTTTGAATATCAATTGACAATAAATGCATTGATATATTTCTGGATTTCCTACTTTGTTGTGTTAATCTATGTGTTTATTTTTATGACAGTTTTATGCTTTTAAAAAAATTGTTATAGCTTTCTTACAGACGTTAACATGAGGTAGGATAATGCCTCTAGCTTAGCTCTTTATACTCAAGAATGCTTTGGCTATCTGGGGGTCTTTTGTGGTTCCATATGAAGTTTAGGATTTTTTTCTGTGAAAAATGTCATTAGAATTTTTATAAGGATCGCATTGAATCTATAGAATGTTTTGGGTGGAGAAAATTTTAATAACATTTTGATAATATTAATTCTTTTGGTGTATAAAAACAGAAAATATATTTTCATTTGTATTTGTACCTTCTTCAATATTTCATCAATGCTTTATAATTTTCAACGTACAGGTCTTTCACCTCCTTTGCTAAATTTATTCCTAAGTATTCTATACATTTTTTGCTGTTGTAATTGGGTGGTTTCCATGTATTTTTCAGATAGTTCACTGATAGTGCATAGAAATGGTACTGATTATGTATGTTGATTTTTCAGTAGAATATTATTCATCATTGAGAAGAAAGAAAATTCTGGCATATGCTACATCATGGGTGAATCTTGAGGACGTTATACTAAGTGAAATAAGCTAGTCATAAAAGGACAAATGCTGTATGATTCCACTTATATGAAGTATTTACAGTAGTCAAATTTATAAGAACAGATGTAGAATGGTGTTTTTAAGAGGCTGGGGGAAAGGGGTAATGGAACACTATTGTTTAATGGTATAGTATTTCAGTTATGCAAAATGAAAAGTGTTCTAGAGGCCGAGGCGGGCAGATCACCTGAGGTCGGGAGTTCGAGACCAGCCTGATCAAACGTGGAGAAACCCCGTCTCTACTAAAAAAACAAAATTATCCAGATGTGGTGGCACATGCCTGTAATCCTAGTTACTCAGAAGGCTGAGGCAGGAGAATCGCTTGAACCTGGGAGGCAGAGATTGTGATGAACCGAGATTGTGCAATTGCATTCCAGTCTGGGCAACGAGCGAAACTCCGTCTCAAAAAAAAAAAAGGTGTTCTGGAGATGGATAGAGGTGGTGATGGTTGCACAGAAATGTGAATGTACTTAATGCCACTAAGTTGTATACTTTAAAATGCTGATAATTATGTTTTATGTATATTTTACCCTAATAAATTACAAATAAATTATAAAGCCATGAAAAATATGGATAAATTTTAAATGCACATTGCTCAGCAAAAGAAGCCAGCTCTATACTCTATGATCCCAACTATATGATATTCTAGCAAATCAAAAGTATGAAGATAATGAGCAAATTTATGGTTTCTTTTTTCCAAGATGGTAAATTAGAGGATTTTAGCATACCTCATCCACTTGAAATTTGCAAACTAGTGCGTAAAGTTCAACACTATGAGCTTTCATACAAGAAGCAATATGAGAATTCATCTGAAAAGCAAAGGACACTCCAAATCCCAGAGAAGAGAAGGTTGGCAAGCAGCCTGCATGATGGCATATTACTGAAAAAAGTGAATGAAGCTCCAGTTACATGATGGAGGCAAAGAGACTCCCTCTGTGATTCACTTTTCCAGTAGGGGTCTGTGCCACCCAGGTCACAGGAGAGCACCTTGTTTCTCCTAAGTCTTGGAGATAACTTGGGGATAGGTTGGGAGAATGTGAGAGGGAAAGACACAGGAAAACACTGAAGGCATTTTCCCAGACCCAGGACTAAGAGGAGGATGTCATTTTCAAATGGACTCATACAAAGTAAGTCATAGTTTGGTGACCAGGAAGTGACAGCTGCTGCAGGCATTTTAGTCTCCAGCTGGATATTGGAGCACTTGTTCTGGAGTAGGGGAAAGCCTCCATGGCCAGAATTCAGTGATGAGTGTGGAGTGCACCCCAGCATTAGGTGCTAAAAATGGGCTCTCTCCTATCCCCGGACTAGAGCCCAGGAGAGTCACTGAGGTCACAGTTTCTCCTGGGAAATGTGATTTGTAGCCAGATTTATGGGCTGGGACTGGTCTACAAGTGTCATTGCTGGATGCCCCCACCTGTTCCCTCGATCAGTCAGAGAAGCATGGCCCACCAGTTGCAAGGAGTGGGAGGGAAGCAAACCCCATTCTTGCTCACCAGGATTGGGAGGATGGGGCACATCCTCCTTCTATGGCAAAGAACTTGGTGCAGCGATGCCCCCTCTGCTCCGTGACTGGACATATTTCCAGGCACTTAGCACACCTATTGACATGGAATAGGTGCCTGAGTTGCCCTTCCCTCTCCATGCAAAGACCTTGTTGCAGCAGCAATTAATCCACACTGCAGCAGTTACTTTACTTCTCACTGTGGCATGTATTTATAGGCATTTGGTGCACCCAATTGCCAGGATTAAGAGCCTGAGTAATCCTTCCATTTCTATGCAGAGTTCTTGGTGCAAGGGCTTCCCCTCCGCTCCACACCCAGGCATAATTCCAAGCATTCAACACACCCGCTTGACTGGATCAGGGACCTGGGTCACCTCTCCCTTCCTGTGCGGAGTTCTTAGTGCATTGACTCCCTCTCCTATTCACACCCAGGTATAATTCCAAGTATCCAGTGCACCTGCTTCCTTCAAATAAGAGCCTCACTGCCCCTCCATTTTCATGCAGAGATGAACGACTTCTCTGTTTTTGCTAGAGATCTAGATATCCAGATATAAGAATCCTAGAGAACTCCTGGAAATAAATTTCAAGAAGAACCTCAACATGGCAATGTCGACATGAAAGAAAGAATAGTAAAAGTGACAAGAGTGAAGCATCAAAGCACCTATAAAGGAAATCTCATCAGATAAACAGCAGCAATTTCTGCAGAACCCATCCAAGCCATAAGAAAGTGGGGCCCTATTTTCTGTCTTTTTAGAAAAAAAATACCAGCCAAGAATTTTGAATCCTGCTAAACTAAGCTTCAAAAATGAAGGACAAATAAAGTCTTTCCTAGAGAAACAAACACTAAAGAAATTGGTAACCACTAGACAGATCCTACAAGAAATGCTCAAATGAGTTTAAAACTTGGAAACAAGAGGATGATAGTCATTAACATGAAAACACATGAAAGTATAAAACTCACATGTCTTAGAAAGCAATTACACAATCAAGACAACAAAGCAATTAAGTAAACATTATAATGATAAAAACAAAACCTCACATGTCAATATTAATCTTAAAAGTAAATGGACTAAATGCTCTACTTAAAAGATAGAGGCTGGCAGAATAGATTTAAAAAATGATCCAATGATACACTGTATACAAGAAAGCCACCTAACCGGTAAAGACACTTACAGACTCAAAATAAAGGAGAGGAAAAAGATAATCCATGCAAACAGAAACCCAAAGGGAACAGGAGTAGCTATATTTATATCAGACAAAACAATAAATGGTGCTGGGAATATTGTGTAGTCACATGCAGAAGAAAACTAGATCCCTCTATCTCACCACATGCAAAAATTAACTCAAGATATATTAAAGACTTAAATGTAAGACCTGAAAATATAAAAATCCTAGAAGAGTTGAAAAACTCATCAGGGCATTCATGTAGGCAAAGAATTTATGACTAATCCTCAAAAGGAAATGCAACAAAAACAAAAATAAACAAATAAGACTTAATTGAACTAAAAACTTTTTGCACCACAGAAGAAATAATCAACAGAGTAAATAGACAACCTACAGAATGGGAAAAAAAATTGCAAACAATTAATCTAACAAAAGACTAATATTCAGAATCTACAAGGCAGCCAAACAACTCAATAAGACAAAAACAAACAACCCTACTAAAAAATGGGCAAAGGACATGAACAGTCATTTGTGAAGAGTAGATATACAAATGGCCAACAAACTTGTGAAAAAATGTTCAATATCATTAATCATCAGAGTTATGCAAATTAAAACCACAGTGAGATACCATCTTACACCAGTCAGAATGACTATTAAAAAGTCAAAAAAAAAATAGATGTTGGCAATGTTGCAGAGAAAAGCGTATTCTTACACACTGTTTCTGGAAATGTAAATTAGTACAACCTTTATGGGAAACAGTATAAAAATTTTTCAGAGAACTAAAATAGAACAACTCTTTGATCCAGCAATCTCAGTACTGCATATCTACCCATAGGAAAAGAAATCATTTTATCAAAACAATATCTGCATTTGTATGTTTATAACAGCACTATTCACAATAGCAAAGTCATGGAATCAACCTGTGTCCATCGAAGGATGATTGAATTTAAATGTGGTAGATATACAACATGGACTACTACTCAGCCATGAAAAAGAATGAAATCGTGTCTTTTGTAGCACATGAATGAATTGAAGCTTATTACTCTTAGACAAATGACTCGGAAACAGAAACTCTGAGAACCACATGTTCTCATTTATAAGTGGGAGCTAAACAATAAGTACTCATAGACATACAGACCAGAGAAATATACATTAGAGAGTCCAAAAAATGGGTAGGTGAGAGATGAAAAACTACGTTTAGGGTACAATGTACACTATTTGGTGATGGGTACCCTAAAAGCCCAGACTTCACCACTACACAATGTATGCATGTAACATAACTGCAGTTATACTCCTAAATCCATACAAATTTAAAAAAAATCAAAAAAAGAAAAGAAAACAGGATGATAAAAATACACACACAAATTACCCTTCTACTGTATTCTTCATCTGGCTAGATTTCCTGGTACCCTGCATATTTCACAAGTTCCCATTTATTATGTGAGAGTCAACTTAAAAATACTAGTTTTCCTATTATAAAAGTAACTAAAAATAGTAATATGTGGTTGTTGTACCAAATTTAGAAAAAAAAGGACCAGCAAAATGAAAATGAGTAAAAATAACCTGTAACCTCACTAGCTATAACCTTTTTTAGCATATAAATATATATATTTATTATCATGAAAATAGAATACACATTAGGTTGGTGCAAAAGTAATTGCTGTTAATATAAACAGTATTTTAAAATCTCTTATTCTCTTTACAGTTTAGCATATGTATGTTTTTTATCATTGAACACACAAACATCATTTTAATGACATCATTGTATAGACCTACGATTGTCTCTTAAAACAATCCTCTGTCTGTCAGTGTGATGGAAAAATCTATATATTTGAGCACAAATACAAATATCATTTTTTTTGTGATAGAAAAGAAGAAAAAAAAATACATCAATGGTTGCCAGGAGATTGGGTGGAGGGGAAGACGGGTGAATAATTGAAGTATAGAAGATATTTTATGGTAGGAAAACTATTTTGTATGATACCATATTAGCCATAGAAATCTCTGCCCACTGGGAATATTTCTCTTCACCACATTTTTAGAGCTTCTTCAGGGTAGGACTGTAAAGGATTGGCTGCCACTTCTAGCTAGTGCCAAGACACTATGCAGCTGCATTCATAAATCAGGCCTCAGTTTTTTCTTCTTCTTTAATTAGTCATAGGTAACTTTGACTTTGTATGGGACCAAAGGTATGAGTTGAAGAAGAACCAGCACAGCAGAGGAAGCAGATATGAAGTCTGAGCCACCTGCCAGTGCTGTTTACTCATTCCTTCTGATCCTGCTCAGTCTCCGTCTTTTACATACCATTTCCATTTTACAGCAGAATGCTGCTATGCACATTCAATTTTATGGTTGGGTAGATCAGATAATATTCAGTTCATAATGGGCAATTGGGGGTGCATAGTCACTTTGTGTTCCAGTAGCAAACGAAGAACTGCTTTTAATGAACAAAATTTATTGTCAGAATAGGATATGGCCTTCCTACAAATGCCTCAGACACTGGGCTATTATTCTAATATTGACTCCTGCTATACAGTATCTACCACAGACACTTGGAACTTCCAGCTCATAATCCCCAAGTGTCAGAGTAGCTTATACTGCAGCCATATGTCATGCAGACCCATTTCTTGCTCTGAGAAGTATAAAAACCAGCAGCCTTATAAAACATCCAGAAAATAGGTCAGAGTCATACGACAAATATTCTATGCATTGTCTCTAAAATCCAAAGAGGTCCATCAAGTGTTGTATTTATTTTCTATTAACATACATTTTGAAAGAATATGTCAACATGCTGAAGACCACTGGGTACTTACAAACCACAGTTGTGCCATGGCCCTGTATTTTCACAGAAATTATGTTTCCATCTCTTGCACATGTGCCTTACAAGCATCTGGGATGTTTGCTCTTTCCTGTCCACCAGTTACAACTGAAATAATATCATAAATGTAATGAACCAATGTGTTGTTCTGTTGAATATAATGATAATCAAGACAGCACTTAACTATATTATGAAAGAAAGCCAGAGAGCTAACATAGCCTCAAGCTAAGACAATAAAGGAGACTTGTATCTGCCCCATTAATACAAAATGCATCTGATTTTCTTTAGTGATAGGTATGGGATAAATACAAAGCACTTTAGGATTTATACACTAGGCATCAAGGCTGATGTTGATTGGCTCTAGTTAGAATATCACATCTGGAACAAGGAATATTGACACTACTACCTGATTAAACTGTTTTAAACTATCGCAAGAACAAAAAACCAAACACCGCATATTCTCACTCATAGGTGGGAACTGAACAATGAGATCACATGGACACAGGAAGGGGAATATCACACTCTGGGGACTGTGGTGGGGTGGGGGGAGGGGGGAGGGATAGCATTGGGAGATATACCTAATGCTAGATGACGAGTTAGTGGGTGCAGCGCACCAGCATGGCACATGTATACATATGTAACTAACCTGCACAATGTGCACATGTACCCTAAAACTTAAAGTATAATAATAAAAAAAATATATATAGTCAGTCTTCATCACTCATTGCTTAAGTAGAGGCCAAAAGGCAAGGTGATTAGAAACACCAGGCCTGCATAATCTAATCAACCTCCCTAGAGATGCGGTATTTATTTATCTGTAGCAGAGATTGTTCTAGGAACTCCCACTTAACAATTCATGTTATAATAGTTCCACATTCAAAAATTAGGGAAACAACGTGTATATTTTACTAGGCACCCAGTACATCCTTTTCCACTAAATATTCTGGACCTGGAGAATAATCAGAAGCTGAGACAATAGTTCTACTGAACTTTCCATGAGAAGGAGAAGGACTTAAGCCAATAATTCATCTATAGCCTCGCCTCTATAAGCCCACAGTCAGACTGACAGACCATATTTGCATTTTGGTCTCCAGGTATTAGCAACAGTTCAGAGCCAGTATCTAATACTGCCTAGAAGTTCTGTGTATTTTCTTTTCCCCAGTGCACAATTTCCCTGGTAAATAGCTTCAAATCACCACTAGAAATCCTTGTGGGGCAATTCATGATTTATACATATAGCCACATTCCAGAAGCCCTCAATATCTCTCTCTGCTCTGGCTCTCTCTCTCTTTCTCTCTCTCTCTATCTCTCTGACAAAGTAACATCCATATAATGTTACTGTCTTAATCCTTTTTGTGTTGCTATAAAAGAATATTTAAGACTGAGTAATTTATAAAGAAAAGAGGTTTATTTAGCTTATGTTTCTGCTGGTTGGAAAGTTCTAAATTGAGCACCTGGTGAGGGCCTTATATGGTAAGAAAGGAAGAAAAAGAGGTTGGGAGAATGCCAGGCCCTTTGTAACAACCATCTCTTACAGGAACTAATAGAGTGAGAACTCACTTGCCTCCAATTAGGGAGGGCACTAATCTATTCATGATGGATCCACCCTCAAGAGCCAAACACCTACCATAGGCCCCACTTCCCAACACCACCACAATGGGGATCCAATTTCAACATGAGATTTGTTGGGGACAAACAAATCATATCCAAACTACAGTAGTTACCAAAAAGAAAAAAGATAATGAGAATCATAACATTTTGACTAATAAAAATGTCCCTACATAAAAACATGAGGCAATAGAAATCTGTAACATAGCACTCCAATTTAAATTAATTATCTTAACAAGTATTTTAAAATATGAGTTAAAGCATTTCATATCAGAAAATAAAAAGCTCAGAACAGACACAGATATTAAAAGCTATATTATAAAAAGAGATCTGATTCAACCTGAAAGAATCTTAAGAAAAAATTCAAAATTATCAAAGAAATGAAGTCTTAATTACCACATGCCAATAAGATAATAGATTTAGCTAATAGTATAAAAGGGAACTTGAAGAAATAAACAAAAATAGTCAAGTTAGTGAAAATGAAAAAAAATATATTTTTTAAATGATCAATGAGAAAGTGATCAATAAAGAAGCTAAGCAAAGAAATTCAGCATACACTTCATTAGAATGCCCAAATAAGAAAAACACAACATAAGGCAACCTTAGTTTAAAATGTAATCTAAGATAACTTTCTGAAAATGAAAGAAGGTCTGATTTATGTATTAAAGGGTAACATGCCCACCTGGGATTCAAGAAAGTTAGAAGTTTCTCTCTGTTGGTTAATTGGTGCAAAAATCAGCATTCATTTACATTGTTTGTGAAGTGCCAAAATAGTGGAATCCCTTTCAAAGAGAATTTGATAATATCTAGAAAAGCATTTTTTTTTGCATTTACTTTTTGCATTTTTATGCATTTACTTTTTGATGCAGAAATAACCTTGCTAGAAATTTACCTTAAAGACAGAGCCTGGAATATATGTGAGGTAAGTCAGGCACAGAAAGATAAATATTGCACCTTCTCATTCATATGTGGGACATGAAAAAAATTGAGCTCATGGAAGTAAAGAATCAAATAGTGGGTATTAGAGGCGGTGAAGAGTATTTAGGAGGGGAGAATGATGAGAGTTTGCTTAACAGATAAAATATTACTGGTAGATAGGAGGAATGAGTTCTGGTGTTCAACAACACAAGGGTAAAATGGTTAGTTTTAATGTATTGTATATTTTCAAACAGCTAGAAGAGAGGGTTTTGAGTGTTCACAACTCAAAGAAATGATAAATGTTGGCCTGTGTATCTGTTTTGAGGTGATACATGTGCTAATTACCATAATTTGATCATTATACATTGTACACGCTTATAGAAATATCACACTGTATTCCAAAAAGATGTACAATCATTGTGTCACCTAAAAATAAAAGGGGTAAAAATGGAAAGAAAATGCATTAATATACAGCCTCTTGATCGTGGAAATAATCAGCAGACTAATGTAACAAGACTCAGCAACAGAAGAATTAATTAGGCTGAAATTGATTAAAGAAAAGGGGGTAAAAATCTGTCTGGGATAATTCAGGTTTCAATTAAACTTAAGAAGAAAGAAGAAAAATATTCTTTTGTTCCATTATTGTTTTGACAGCATTATATGGACTTGTCCACAGAATGTTAATCAAATTAGATTTTTTTTTTTTTTAAAGAAGGAAGGGGTTTATTCGGCCGGGGGCATTGGCAAGGCTTCTGTCTCAAGAGCCAAGCAAATTAGATTTTGTTGTTGTCGTTTGGTTAGCCTTTGTGTGTGTGTGTGTGTGTGTTTTCTTCCTCTTTAATAATAGGATAGTAAATTTCAACTGCTAACAAGTCATTAGGGGTTTGCTAACTTCAGGCAGCAACCTTTCATGAAAGCTGTTCTTACCATAATTGTCGTGAAATGTTACTGTTACCACCTCATGCCCAGCCAGCTATTGTTGAGACACCACTGAGTTTTAAGGTACATCAAATATGGGAAACACAACTGAGATCCAAGGACAAATGATATTACAAAGGCAATTGTGCTGTACACATTGTAGCACTATATCAAGGGTATATATTTATTTTATAGCTGTTGGCATGTTTCTTAGACCTTTCAAATTTCATAGCTCTTTACACATTGGAACAGTTTAGAGAAATTAAGCATTTTTATAGTTAAAAGTCCCCAAATGTTTACATCATAAACATTGTGTAAAACTACGGTTATAATCATTAAATTAATTTGATAATTAAGTAGTCAATTTTAGCATAGTAATGTCAAGCCCAAATTATAAATGTTCTCATTAGTCTTCTAAATTGGTGCTTCATTAAGCACCATGAAAAATCTGGGCAAACTAACATTGCAATGTAAAGCCAATAGGAATTTCTGACCTTTCCTTCCTACCAGTTCTGACATGGCTATGTATATTAACATGCCCCTTTTTTTTTTTTTTTTTTTTTTTTTTTTTTTTGAGACGGAGTCTCGCTCTGTCGCCCAGGCTGGAGTGCAGTGGCGGGATCTCGGCTCACTGCAAGCTCCGCCTCCCGGGTTCACGCCATTCTCCTGCCTCAGCCTCCCCAGTAGCTGGGACTACAGGCGCCCGCCACTACGCCCGGCTAATTTTTTGTATTTTTAGTAGAGACGGGGTTTCACCCTTTTTAGCCGGGATGGTCTCGATCTCCTGACCTCGTGATCCGCCCGCCTCGGCCTCCCAAAGTGCTGGGATTACAGGCGTGAGCCACCGCGCCCGGCCTAACATGCCCCTTTTAAACATACAAGTGTTTAAAGGGAAAAGGATGTAAAGAAAACTTGAGGGGGATGGTTAGATAATTACTGAAGTAGAACAATTAGGTTTGCAGCTGCTGAGCATTTAAAACCAGATTTTATTTTTGTCAGTAGTTGTTTTTCTCAGATATAAAACATTTATTTGTCAGAACACATTTGAATTTATATAATGTTCGACACCTGATTTTCTACGTGTGAATTTATCTTCTCTTCCATTGTTAAGTATCTTGAATGTGCCATACATGCCTACTGCCTCTTTCTCTTACTTATTATCTCACCATTGACTAGAGACTCTTTTTCATTACTCAGCTATGGACTTCTCAAAATACTCTCCCTTCCTCTTTTAGCACGATAGTAATCATCTGTTACCAGCTGTAAGAGAATTATATTAATCTGCTCTCTCCCTAACCCATGTTTAAACTAAATCACATGCTCCATCTCAATTATCTATCCCCTTATGGTGTTTATGATGCTATACCATTCTGAGTCATTTTTTATTTCTCTGTCTAATATCATAAGAATAAATAATTGCAGTTATGTAACTTGCAGTATATTTGCTTTAAAGCCTTCCTTTCCTAAGGCTTTGTGTGAGGAAAGATGAGGGTGAATATTTCTAAAAACTAGACCTTTGTTCAGCTTTGGGTTTCATAGTTGACTTCCTGGACTTCTTTAGCAAGATAGTAATCATAAGAACCTGGCTTTGTCAAAAAAGGAAAAGGATTTCTTAGTGCATTCACTCTTAACAAGAACTAGGCCTGAATTCACTCTTAAGATAACAAGTACTAGGCCTGAATGACAAGACCACTGATGTAAGGTAGGTGAGTCCCAGCAAAAAGTGGAAGGGAGAGTATTGTGGGAGGCATTGGGCCAAAGTAGATATGTATGTGTATGGGAGGTGTTCTCAATATAATCTAGCAAAAATGTGGAACCAACCCAAGTGCCCATACACACACACACACACACACACACACACACACACACACACACAAACACATATATATACACATAATGGAATACTACTCAGCCATAAAACGGGATGAATTAATGGCATTCACAGCAACCTGGATGGGATTGGAGACTATTATTCTAAGTGAAATAACTCATGAATGGAAATCTAAACATCATATGTTTTCACTCATAAGTGGGAGCTAAGCTATGAGGATGTGAAGGCATAAGAATGACACAATACTCTTTGGGGAATCAAGGGGAAAGTGTAGGAAGGGGACGAGGGATAAAACACTACTAATTGAGTGCCGTGTATACTGCTTGGGTGATGGGTGCAACAAAATCTCATGAATCACCACTAAAGAACTCACCAATTCCAAAATAACCTATGGAAATAAAAATATTTAAAAAATATAAAGACTTACATAAAGAAATAACAAAAAAAGCAAAGAAAAAACAAAGCAGAGATAAGCTTGGAGGCAGTATAGCACAGTGATTAGAATGAGGATCTAATCTTAGCCCCACTACTTATTAGACCCATGGCCTGAGTCAAATTATTCTGAGATTCAGTTTCCTCATTACCAACCCCATTATTATCCGTGATATTAGTAATAGTAATACCTACCTTTTAAGTTGCTTTCTTATAAGATGGTTGTAAACATTAAGTGCCAAAGCAATTGAATATAAAGCACTTAAAACCATGCCTGGTAGACAGTAAGTGCTCTGATCGTGTTTGTCAAATACATTTATGTCTACATCCTTCCCTTTTCTGGGCTTGATTCCTAAAGAAGGGAGGTTTCTCAGATACGTTTTTCACCAATTAAGACTCTGGGGAACTGCTTCAGAGGCTGCCACTTCAGAATAATCTTGGCAGGATAGCATGGTTATCTGAGGGAGGACTGACTTTAGCTTCCTCTGTTGAGATGCTCTTGGTCCCAGGCATGTCACCTGAAGAATCATAGAGAGTTATTCCTCAGTATCCTTAGAGGATTGGTTCTAAGACCCCTGAAGATACCAAAATCCATGGATGCTCAAGTGCCTTATATAAAATGGCATAGTATTTGCATATAACCTACACACATCTTCCCATATAGTTTAAATCATTTCCAGATTATGTCTAATATCTAATATAATGTAAAGGCTATGCAAATAATTTTTGTACTGTATTGTTTCTTATTTGTATTACTTCGTATTCTTGTATTACCACTATTTTACTTTTAAAAATATTTTTGATCTGAGGCTGATTGAACCTGCAGGATACAGAAGGCCAACTGTACACTGCAAGGTGGTGGCATGGAAGTGAGCTGAAGTATTGGCTGGGCTACTGGCTCCAGGAGAGTCACACCCTTAAGGGTAAAATAGCTCTCATTCAAGATCACAACCAACCTCAGTGTCCACAACATGAGCAAGAGCCAAGAGAAGCAGTAAGAAAGATGGTTAGCTAGTTCTTGCCCCTTCTACCAGAAAAAAATAGGTCACAAGTTACATTGTCTCCAGGCTAATGTAGAAGGCAAAGCAGAGTGTTTGGAACTATGGACTGTTAGATGCATGTGAGAATATTAGTGTTGGAGAGAAAACAAAGGGAATAAGTGACCTTATTCACATTAAATAGTGAATTCTCAGAGCTCAAGCCCTACGCCCCCATCAAGTTCTCAGAATCCTGGATGCAGAATCAATCCGGCAGAAACTAAAAAATATTTTGTTGGTGAATTCACAAGACCAAGATTAAAGACCTAAATATATTGACATTGATTGTTACCAACACTACCACCACCAGAACAACAAAAAGCCTAGTCAGAGAACTCTTTAGCAAGATTATATTGAGAACAGCTCCCCCCACACACACATACTTATCCATGACTCCCAGTCAACTCTTTTCAGACTTTTAAACACGAGAAAACAATAAAGAATAATCAAATAACCTAAGAAAGCATACAACATGTAAAGTATAGAGGAGCCTGAACAAGCAACTAAACAAAAAACATAATTAATCTTAGAGGACAAGGAATTATATTCAAAAGAAAGAACAGAGCATTAGGATTAGCATTATCAGTGAGACAAGACATGGCAATTTATCCATTTCACATGATGGAGTGATTTAAAGAAATAAACATTAAGAGAATAAGGAAAAACTTTTGCAATTTAAAATTATCATAATAGAAAGTAAAATTCTGATAGGAGGTTAGGAAGATAAAATTGAGAAAATTTCCCAGAAATGAAATTTAAAAATCATATAGATGGAAGAAAGAAGTACAATAGTCCGAGGAGTTCTTGAAAGACAGAAAAGAAAAAATCAGAAGGGATTTTATCAGAGAAAGAATTTGAGAAACTTTTATAGAACTGATAAACAGTTGCCAGGTTGAGTGCCTAGCATGATGAATGGAAATAGATCTACACATTGCAGGTTTTCTAAACACTGATGATAAAATGAGAGTATACAAGTTCATGGAGAGAGATTTATAAAAACACAGATCATATATAAAGTATTAAGAATCAGAATGAGTCCAATTGCAGCACTAGAATAACAAAGATATTGGAGTTTCAAATTATGAAGAAAACTCTATACCCAATAAAGGCAAATGTCAAATAATACTTTTAAGCACACACGGTTCTTTAGAAAATTATCTCATATACATCTTTTCTTAAAACACCACTGAAGATGTGTTCTTTCAGAACTAGAATACAGACAAGAAAGCAAAAGACATGGACTGCATAAAGAGGAGAGCAAACAAGGATATTCTATTGAATTTCCCAGACGGATAGAGAATAAAGAGCCACAAACCGATATATAGGATTATGGGCCCACATTTATACCCGGTGACTTAAGAAACAGATCTGATGAGGGCTATTCTCACCAAGTCCCCTTTGCCATTTTAGGTACTAGCTTTGTAACCTCAGAACAAAATGCCATGGTAAACTTGACTCAAATTCATATCTTCACTTGGCTTATCTAACCTTTTGTTAATGAAGTTCCTACTCTGTTGTTTATATCCTGTTGCTTGGATCAGTTGATGACTCTCATTTCTCCCACACAGATGTCTGCTTTGAGCTATACTGAAGAGCAGGAGGTAGGACATTGGAGCTTAGAAGCAGGAGACTCCATATTACCTATGAAATTTCAAAACTTAGCCTATATTCTAGGCCTGTCATATGGCCCAATGTTGCTAAGCTATATGTTTCTCAGAACCTTTTTATGTCCTTACCCACTGACTTTCCAAGAATATCTTTGAAACTCTCAAAGGAGATGAAGTCAGACTATGATCCAGAGACTCTGTTCAGCTTACCGTCTCCTGGACTCTTTTAACAGTCCTTTAATAGCTGTGATATTGTCATTCTCTTTTGCAACTAGGTTTGTCTTTGTCGTATGCTTTTCAAAATCAACCGTTATGCTATTAAGGATATGTACATAGTTAGAAACAGTACAAAGAAAAGAAGGAGACAGGTGGCAATATGATTAAATAAGGGCACATAGGAGCTTCTAAAATACAGGCAATTAACTATGCTTTATCTTGGGTAGGTAGGATGTTAAGTAGATTACCACTTTTGCTATTACTATTAATTTGTAAACTGCATATAGAACATGTGATACGTTTCAAAAGTAGATAATGTCAACAGCATCAATCAATAAGAAAGAAAAAAAGGAAGGAAGGAAGGAAAGAGGAAGGAAGGAAGGAGGGAAAATAATAGCAGTGTGAACGTTGTTATTCATTCTTTCTTGTTTAGTTAATATATATGCATTTACTGTGCATTAATTACAAATAGATTATTGATGACCCTCTCTTTCCAGCATCTTGGAAACTTTACCTTGCTATATTTTAGTTATGTTATTAAAATTTACATTAACCTGATTGAATGTAGAGTAAGGGCATCTTTTAACATTTTGGTAGAGAACATACTATATAATTTTGCCTTACACTTTTACGTTTCCAAGGATGTAAATATATGGAGAAGGTTTACTTAATTAGAGTTTCCATATCCAGGAATTTAAAATACCTACACATTTAATTTTCAAATATATTCAATGAAGTCTTTATACTTGTTCCTGAGGGAAGAGAGAAATCCAGTCAGAGCCAGATTTACCACTATAGATGTTTAATGCTTATAATTTATCTGTTTTATATAATTTATCTATATTAATATTAAATGTAGTTGAAACATATATGTTGTAATTAAGTTTTAGTTAGAACATTAAAAAATCCTCCTAAATGCTTTTAAAAATATATCAATGGTTTAATTGGATAAAATATTTCTATCTTTTAAGTGCAAATGACCATTGAAATAAATTGACAATTCAGTATAAATTTGTACAATGTATATTTCTTCTAACATGGGATCAGCAAATTATCACCTAATCATAATCATTATTGTCTAATATTAACTGACATCCAGTATATACCACATAGTGTGCCAAGATATTGATATGTATTCTAATTAATCCAAAAATAAACTTCAAAGGGTGGATATTTTAATTTTAATTTTCAGAGAAAAAATTGAGACCCAGAAACCTTACATTACTTACTCAAATCATAAGAATAAGGCAATAACAAGAACATGAGTTTCTAATTAGATCTGGTTGATTTTAAAACCTGATCTCTTTATAGGAGAAACAAAAGAAATAAAAAAATAATTTCTGGCATGGTATGTGTCTTGTGTTACTATAAAGGAATACCTGAAGCTCGGTAATTTATTTTTATTTATTTATTTATTTACTTAAAACAGGCTTATTTGGCTCATGGTTCTGCAGGCTACACAAAAAGCCTGGAGCCAACATTTGCTTCTGGTGAGGGCATCAGGCTGCTTCCATTCATGGGAAAAGACAAAGGAGAGCCAGCATGCAGAGATCACATGATAAGAGAGTGGAAGCAAAAGTGCGATGGGGGGAAGTGACAGGCTCTCTTTAATGACCAGCTCTCAAGAGAACTCTTACGGGAACTAGTGGAGTGAGAACTCACTTATTACTGGGAGGACAGCACCAAGCCATTCATGAGGAATCCACTCCCATTACTCAACCACATCCCACCAGGCCCCACCTCCAACAGTGGGGATTAATAACCACTTAAGACTTGGTGAGGCCAAACAAACCATATCCAAACCATAGCAGTGTGGTTAGGTTAATAAGCCATAATTAGGAGTTCAGATAGCATCAGAGTCCTGTGACAGGAAAAACTGGCAAACATACACACACACATGAAACATTCTTGAGAAGTAGGGAGGATAGAAAAGAAATTTACAAAAACTATACAACTAGACTTTCAGTTTCTCATTGTGCATATAAGGAGCTTTGATTGCCACTCTGCCCAAACAAAAAGTAAATGAAGAGACTGATAAATCAACAATTCTTGCACTTGTAAGAGAGGTGAAGACATAGGGCAATCCACTGCCCTCAAGATATGAGAGATAAACATGTGATGAACACAGGAAGTCATGGCTTATGAAAGCAGAGACTCACAGAAATACCATGAGAACTATTTCGAGGATAGAAAAACCTTAACTGTAATAGACAAATTACTGGAGGCTCAGTGTGGACAAGCCTGAGGGTTAAAAATTCCAGGAGAACCAAGTTATGGGGGCAGGGGGAGGTGTACAAACTTTTATGAATTGTACTTCCAGGAGCTGAGCCAAGTTCTCAAAATAAACAGAAGAAAAAAAATAATAAGAATTAGACTAGGAATCAGTAACATTGAACACAGAAACTCAATAAAGAAAGTCAATAAAAACAAAAGCTGGTTCTTTGAAAAGATCTATAAAATTGATAAGCATCTGGCTTTGCTAACTAAAAAAGAGAGAGAGTGAGGACAAAAATTAATAATATCAAACATAAAAGAGAGAACATCACCACATGGCTAAAATCAGAAATGAAAAAGGGAACATCACTACACATTCCATGGACACAAAAAGGATAATATAGGAATACAATGAACAACTCTATGCCCACAAATTTGTTAACCTAGATGAAATAGACAAATTTGTTGAGAAAAACAATCTTTTAAAACTCACATAAGAAGAAATACACAACCTTAGTAGGCCTATGTGCATTAAAGAAGTTGAATCAACAATTAATAATCTTCCAAAATGGAAAGCACAAACTCCAGATCAGTTTATTAGTAAATTTTACCAAATATTTAAAAAATAAATTATACCAATTCTTGATCATCTCTTTCAGAAGACAGAAGCAAAGGGAAGATTTCCTAACTCATTCTGTGAGTCCAGTATTATCCTAATAACAAAAACTGATAAAGGCCTTGGAAGACAATAAAACTACAGACCAATATTTGTCATGAACATAGATGCAAAAGTCTTCAACAAAATAGTAGTTTTGAATCCAACAAATGTATTAAATTGTAAGTAAATTGAACCTGACAATGTATTAAAAAATGCCAGGATCAATCAATACAAGTATAGAAATATATACATTTGTCTCAGGTATGTAAGACTGCTTCAATACTTGAAAATTAGTTAATACAATTCATCATATATACAGATTGCAAAAGAGTAACCACATGATCATATCAACAAATACAGAAAAAGCATTTGACAAAATCCAGTAGCCATTAATAATAAAAACTCTTAATAATCTAGGAGGAGAGATGAACTTTCTCATCTTGATAAAAAATATTTACATACATACACACACAAACTACAGCTAATAACATATTCAATGGTAAGAAACTGGAAGCTTCCCCATTAAGATTGGGAAAAAGGCAAGGGTGCACCCTCTCTTCACTTTGTTTCAGCATTGTACAGCAAGTCCTAGCTAATGTAGTAAAATAAAAAAGGAAATATAAAGACTGGGAAGGAAGAAAGAAAACTGTCTTTGTTCACAGATGATACGATTGTCTCTGAAGACAATATTAAAGAATTGGCAAAAACAAAGAAGGAGGAGGTGGAGCAAGATGGCTGAACAGAAATCTCCACCAATCCTTCCCCTGCAAGAGCAGCAAGTTAACAACTATCTCCACAGAAAAAACACCTTCATTAGAACAAAATATCAGGTGAGCACACATACCACCTGGTTTAACTTTGTATGGCTGAAAGAGGCACTGAAGAGATGGAAGAAACAGTCCTGAATCCCCTCTCCCAACTCCTCAGAGTAGCTGTGTGGTACAGAGAGAGCATCTCTGGGCCCTGAGGAATGGGGAATGCAGCAATTGTGAGGCAATTAACAGGGCTATTCTGTTAGAACACTTAGAAATGCTAGATCAACAGGAGTTCAAGCCTCCTGGCTAACATGAAGAAATTCTGTCTCTACTAAAAATACAAAAATTAACTGGGCATCGTGGCAGGGGCCTGTAATCCCAGCTACTCAGGAGGCTGAGGCAGGAGAATCACTTGAACCTGGGAGGTGGAGGTTGCACTGAGCTGAGTCTTGCCACTGCACTCCAGCCTGGGTAACAGAGCAAGACTCCATCTCAAAGAAAGAATAAAAAATGTGAAAAGAAATACTGGACCAGGTTCAGCTGGCATCCAGCCACAGAGGGAGCATTTAAACCAGCCCTATCCAGAGGGGAATTGCCAATCCCAGCCATCAGAACTTGAGTGCCCGCAAACTTCATGCCACCTAAAGCCAGAGTGCTCTTGGTCTCTAAGTAAACTTGAAAGGCAGTCTAGGCCATAAGGACTGAAACTCTTAGGCAAGTCCTAGGGGTGAACTAGGCCCAGAGGCAGTGGACTGGGAGGGTATATGACATACTGAGACACTAGCAGGGGCAGCCAAGGGAGTGCTGGCATCACCCCTCCTCTAGCTCCAGGCTGTAGTTTGCAACTCCAAAATAGACCCCTTCTTTCCACTTGAAGAGACGAGAGGGAAGAATGGGGAGGACTTTGTCTTGCATCTTGGATACCAGCTCAGCCAGAGCGGGAGATGGCACCAATCAGAGTCACGAGGTCCCCATTCCAGGCCTTAGCTCCCAGACAACATTTCTAGACCAGATCCCAGGCCAGAAGAGAACCCGCTGCCTTGAAGGAAAGGATTCAGTTCTAGCAACACTCATCACCTGCTAACTGAAGAGACTGTGGGCCCTGAATAACAAGAAACAATACCCAGCTACTATATCAAGTGTTGTGAGTGAGCATCTGAGAATTGCTGGCTTCAGGTGAGACATAGCATGTTACCTGCTATGATAGTTAAAGGGAAAAATTCCTTCTGCTTGAGAAAAGCAGAGGGAAAAATAAAGGGGAATTTGTCTTGCACCTTAGGTACCAACACAACAACAGGGAGTAAAGAACCAAGCATGCTCTTGAGGTCTCTGATTCCAGGACTTGACTCTTGAATGGCATTTGTAGACCTGCCCTGGGCTAGAGAAAAGCCCGCTGCCCTGAAGGGTAAGTCCCAGGCCAGGCAGCATTCACCCCAAGTTAACTTAAGAGACCTTGGGCCTAAAGGGAACATTGGTGGTAGTCTGGCAGTACTCCTTGTAGCCAAGGGTTGTTGGTGGCCACAGGGTGAGGCTCCTGTGCCTTTGGAAAGGGGAGGGAAAAGTGGGAAAGACTGCCTCTTGTGTGGTGAGTGACAGCTCAGCTGCACTACCATAAAATACCAGGTAGAATTCTAGGTTTTTCATTTAAGTCCCTGACTCCTGAACAGCACTTCTGGACCCACCCAGGACTTGGGGGACCTCACTGCTCTGAAGGGAAGGACACAGGCCTGGCTGGCTTTACCCCCTGCCTATTATACAGCCCCTGGACCTTGAACAAAAACATAGACAGTAGCCAGGGAGTGGTTACAGCAGGCCTTGGGCAAGACCCAGTGCTATCCTGGATTTATGTCTGGCCCAGTGCAATAATAGTGGTAGTGGCCACACAGGTGCTTGTGTCACTCCACTCTGAGCTTCAGGTGACTCAGAACAGAGAAAGAGACTTGTATGTTTGGAAGAAAGTAAGACAAGAGAACAAGAGTCTCTGCCTGGTAATCCAGAGAATTCCAGATCTTGTCTAAGACCATTAAGGCAGTACCTCTATGAATCTGTACTGGGCCTGGGGAACCCCCTAAAGCAGAAGCAAATTAGATCACAACACTCAAGACCTTTCAAATTCCTGAAAAATCTTCTCAAGAAGGACAGTCGCAAATAAGCCAAGACAGTAAAGACTAAAATAAATGACTAACAGTTCAATGCCCAGACACCAGAGAACATGTATTAGCATCAACAACATCCAGAAAAACATGACCACATCAAATGAACTAAATAAGGTACCAGTGACCAATCCTGGAAAAACAGAGATATGTGACCTTTCAGACATAATTCAAAATAGCTGTGTTGAGGAAACTCAAAGAAATTCAAGAGAATATAGAGAAGAAATCTGATATTCCATCAGATAAATTTAACAGAGATTGAAATAATTTAAAAGAATCAAGCAGAAATTCTGGAGCTGAAAAATGCAATTAACATACTGAAGAATGCATCAGAGTCCTTTAATAAAACAATAGATCAAGCAGAAGAAAGGATTAGTGAGCTTGAAGACAGGCTATTTGAAAATACACAGTCAGAGGAGACAAAAGAAAAAAGATTTAAAAAGATGAAGCAAACCTACAGGATCTAGAAAATAACTGCAAAAAGGGCAAATCTAAGAGTTGTTGGCCTTAAAGAGGAGGTAAAGAAAGAGATACGGGTAGAAATGTCATTCAAAGGGATAATAGAGAATTTTCCAAACCCAGAGAAAAATATCAATATTCAAGTACAAGAAAGTTATCAAACACAAAGCAGTTTAATCTAAAGAAGATTACCTCAAGGTATTTAATAATCAAACTCCCAAAGGCCAAAGATAAGAAAGGATCCTAAAAGCAGCAAGAGAAAATAAACAAATAACATACAATGAAGCTCCAATTCATCTGGCACCAGCCTTTTCAGTGGAAACCTTACAGGCCAGGAGAGAGTGGCATAACATATTTAAAGTGCTGAAGGAAAAAAATCTTTTTCCCTAGAATGGTATGTGCAGTGAAAGTATTCTTCAAACATGAAGGAGGAGAAGTTCCCAACAAACGAAAGCTGAGGAATGTCATCAACACTAGACCCATCCTACAAGAAATGCTAAAGACAGCACTTTAGTCAGAAAGAAAAGGACATTAATGAGCAATAAATAATCACCAGAGGTACAAAACTTATTGATAAAAGTCAGTACACAGAAAAACACAAAATATTATAACATTGTAACTGTGGTGTGAAACGACTCTGTGGAAACACTAAACAATAAACCAATTAAAAAGAATAACTACAACAACTTTTCAAGTCATAGTAAAACATAATATTTATAGAAACAACAAAATGTTAAAAAGCAGGGGGACAAAGTTAAGGAGAGTTTTTGTTAGTTTAAGCAAATGGTGTTAAGTTGTTATCAGGTTAAAATAATAGGTTAAAAGATAGTATTACAATGCTCATGGTAACCTCAAGTCAAAAAACATACAACAGATAAACAAAAAAATAAGAAGCTAAACCAGCTGGCGCGGTGGCCTATGCCTGTAATCCCAGCAGTTTGGGAGGCTGAGGCAGGTGGATTACCTGAGGTCAGGAGTTCGAGACCAGCCTGACCAACATGGTGAAACCCTGTCTCTACTAAAAATACAAAAAATTATGTGGGTGTGGTGGCAGGTGCCTTTAATCCCAGCTACTTGGGAGGCTAAGGCAGGAGAATCTCTTGAGCCTGGGAGGTGAAGGTTGCAGTGAGCCGAGATCATGCCATTGCACTCCAGCCTGGGCAACAAGAGCGAAACTGTTTCAAAAAAAGAAAAAGAAAAAAAAGAAACTAAACCATATCACCAGAGAAAATCAGCTTTACTAAAGAAAGACAGAAAGGAAAGTAAGAAGAGAAGACCACAAAACAACCACAAAACAAATACTAAAATGGCAGGAGTAAGTTCTTACTTATCAATAATAACAATGAATGCAAACAGGCTAAATTCTTCAATCAAAAGAAATAGACTAGCTGAATGGATGAAAAAACAAGACCCATTGATCTGCTGCCTTCAAGAAACACACTTCACATATAAAGACACAAACACACTGAAAACAAAGGGATGGAAAAAGATATTCTATGCCAATGGAAACCAAAAAAGAGCAGGAGTATTTATACTTACAACAGCCAACATAGATTTCAAGACACAAACTGTAAGAAGAGGCAAAAAAAGTCATTATATAATGATAAAGGAGTCAATTTAACAAGAGGATATAGCAATTTTAAATATACTGAAGACCCAGATATATAAAGACGGTGTTATTAAAGCTAAAGAAACACTGAAGCACCCAGATATATAAAGGAAAATGTTATTAGAGCTAAAGAAAGAGATGAGCCCCAATACAATAGTTACTGGAGACTTCAACACCCTACTCTCAGCATTGGACAGATCTTGCAGACAGAAAATTAACAAAGAAACATCAGACTTAATCTGCACTATAAACCAAACAGATCTAATAGATATTTACAGAACATTTCATTCAAGAGCTGCAGAATATACATTTTTTTTCCTCAGCACATGGATCATTCTCAAGGATAGATCATATGTAGGTCACAAAAAATTATTATGACATTCAAAAAATGAAATAATATTAAGCATCTTCTCTTACCACAATGGAATTAAGCTAGAAATTAATAATAAGAGAAATTTTGGAAACTATACAAATACATGAAAATTAAACAATATGTTCCTGATGGAACAGTAAGCCAATGAAGAAATTAAGGAGGAAATTGAAAAATTCTTAGAAACAAATCATAACAGAAACACAACATATCCAAACCTTTGTAATAAAGCAAAAACAGTACTAAGAGGAAAGTTTATAGCTGTAAGTGCCTACATCAAAAAAGAGGAAAACCTTCAAATAAACAATTAAATGATGCACCTTAAAAAACTATAAAAGCAAGAGCAAACAAAACCCAAAATTAGTAGAAGAAAAGAAATAATAAAGATCAGAGCAGAAACAAATGAAATTGAAATGAAAAAAAACCACAAATATGAATGAACCAAAAAGCTTTTCTTGAAAAGTTAAACAAAATTGACAAAACTTTCTCCAGACTAACTAAGAAAAAAAGAGAGAAGATCCAAATAAATAAAATCAGAGATGAAAAAGGAGATATTGCAATTGATACTGCAGAAATTCAAAGCATCATTAGTGGCTACTATGAGCAATTATATGATAATAAATTGGAAAATCTAGAAGAAATGGAAAAGTTCCTAGATACATACAACCTACCAAGACTGAGCCAGGAAGAAATCCAAAACCTGAACAAACCAATAACAAGTAATGAGATCAAAGCTGTAATAAAAATTTTCCCAGTAAAGGAAAGCCTGAGTTCCTATGTTTTCACTGCTGAATGCTACCAACCATTTAAAGAACTAATACCAACCCCTCCAAAAAACAGAGGAGGAGGGAATACTTCCAAACTTACTCTACAAGAGCAGTATCACCCTGATACTAAAACCAAAGACATAACAAAAAAGAAAAAAATAAGAAAACTGAAGGCCAATATATCTGGTAAATATTGATGTAAAAATCCTCAACAAAATACTAGCAAACTGAATTTGATAATACATTAGAATGGCCATTCATCATGACCAAATGGGATTTATTCTTGGGATACAAAGATAGTTCGACATATGTAAATCAATCAATGTGATACATCACAGCAACAGAATGAAGAATTAAAAACTGATCATTTCAATTTATGCCAAAATAGCATTTGATAAAATTCGACATAACTTCATGATAAAAATCCTCAGAAAACTGCATATATAAGGAACATACCTCAACCTAATAAAAGCCATATAAGACAAACTCAAAGTTAATATTATACTTAATGGGAAAAAACTGAAAGCCTTTTCTCTAAGATATGGAACATTACAAGGATAGCCACTGTCACCACTGTTATTCAACATAGTACTGAAAGTACTAGCTAGAACAATCCGACAAGAGAAAGATATAAAGGGCTTCCAGATTGGAAGGAAGAAGTCAAAACATTCTTATTTGGAGATGATATGATCTTATACTTGGAAAAACCTAACACTCCACAAGAAAACTACTAAAGCTAATAAACAAATGAGGTAAAGTTGCAGGATACAAAATCAACATACAAAAATCAGTAGCATTTCCATATGTCAACCATAAACAATCTGAAAAAGAAATAAAAAAGTAATCCCACTTAAAATGGCCACAAATAAAATTGAATACCTAGGAATTAACCAAAGAAGTGAAAGATCTCTATAACAAAACTATAAAACACTGATAAAAGAAATTGAAGAGGACAATAAAAAATGGAAAAATATTTTATGTTTAGGGATTTGAAGAACCAATATTCTTAAAATATCCATACTACCCAAAGCAATCTGCAAACTCAGTGTAATCCCTATCAAAATAATGACAGTCTTCACAGAAACAGAAACGACTATCCTAAAATTTATATGGAACCACAAAAACCCATCATAGCCAAAGCTATCCTAAGCAATAAGAACAAAATGGAAGGAATTACATTACCTGACTTTAAAAACTACAGAGCTATAGTAACCAAACAGCATGGTACTGCCATGCAAACAGACACATAGACCAATGGAGCAGAATAAAGAACCCAGAAACGAATCCACATACCTATAGTGAGTTCATTTTCAACAAAGGTGCCAAGATCATACACTGTGGAAAAGAGAGTCTCTTCAATCAAATGGTGCTTGGAAAACTGGATATCTATATGCAGAAAAATGAAATGAATGAAACTAGATCCCTATGTCTTCTCATATACAAAAATCAAGTCAAAATGAATTAAAGACTTAAATTTAAGACCTCAAACTATGAAACTACCTCAAGGAAACATTGAGGAAAATCTTCAGGACATTTGTCTGGGCAAATATTTCTTGAGATGCTTTGATCTCATTACCCACAAACACAGGCAACCTAAGCAAAAGTGAACAAATGGGATCAAGTCAAGTGAAAGGGTTTCTGCATAGCAAAGGTTACAGTCAACAAAGTGAAGAGACAACTCATGGAATGCAAGAAAATATTTGCAAACTACCCATCTGACAAGGGATTAATAACCAGAATATACAAGGATCTCAAACAACTCTATAGGAAAATATCTAATAATCCAATCAAATTGGGCAAAAGATTTGAATAGACATTTCTCAAAAGAAGACATAAAAATGGCAAACAGGCATATAAAAAGGTGCCCAATATCACTGATCATCAGAGAAATGCAAATCAAAACTACAATGAGATATCATCTTACCACAGGTAAAATGGCTTTTGTCCAAAACAGGCAATAACAAAGGCTGGAGAGGATGTGGAGAAAAAAGGAACCCTTGTACACTGTTGCTTGGAATGTAAATTAGTACTGTCACTATGAAGAACAGTTTGTAGGTTCCTCACAAAACTAAAAATTGAGCTACTATATGATCCCACAGTCTCACTGCTGGGTATATACCCAAAAGAAAGGGAACCCGTATATCAAAGAGATATCTGCACTCCTATGTTTGTTGCAGTACTGTTTATTATAGCTAAGATTTGGAAGCAACGTAAGTGTCCATCAACAGACGAATGGATGAAAAAAATGTGGTACATATACACAATGAAGTATATTCAGCCATAAAAAAGAATGAGATCCAGTCATTTGCAAAAACATGGATGGAACTGGTGATCATTAGGTTAAGTGAATTAAGCCAGGCACAGAAAGGCAAACACTGTATGTTCTCACTTATTTGTGGGATCTAAAAATCAAAACAATTGAACTCATGGACATAGAGAGTAGAAAAATGGTTACCAGAAGCTGGGAAGGGTGGTGAGGGTCTAATGGGGAGGTGGCAATGGTTAATGGGTACAAAAAAAAATAGTTAGAAAGAATGAATAAGACCTAGTGTTTTCTAGTACAACATGGTGACTATAGTCAATAATAATTTAACTGTACATTTTATATCGCATAGAGTAATCACAACAAAAAATGGAAAAATATTTTTCCATGTTTGGAATATTGGTATATTGGATTATGTTGGAATATTGGTATATTTGGAATATTAGTATAATTGGATTGTTTGCAACTCAATGGACAAATGCTTCATAATGTGTTTCTTTTATATTGCATGCCCGTATCAAAATATCTCATGTACCCCATAAATATATACACCATATACCCACAAAAATTAAAAATAAAAAAACCTAAGAAGTGATTATAGCAAGGTTGCAGGATATAAGGTTAATATAGAAAAATCAATAATTTACCTAAATTTCTAGCAATGAAGAAGTAAAATTTGAAATGAAAAACACAATACCATCTACATTGACACCCCCCAAAATGAAATACTTAGCTATGTATCTAACAAAATATGTACAAGATCTATATAAGGAAAATTACAAATACTCTGATGAAGGAAATCCAAGAACTAAATAAATGTAGAGACTGTCTATGTTCACAGATAGGAAGAGTCAGCATTGTCAATATGTCAATTCATCCCAACTTGATCTATAGATTCAATGTAATTCCCAATCAAAATACCAGCAAGTTAAGTTGTGGATATCAACAAACCAATTCTAAAGTTTCTACAGAGAAGCAAAAGACCCAGGATAGCCAAAACAATGGTGAAAGAGAATGAAAAAAAATGTCGGAGGCCTGACACTACCCTACTTTAAGCCATATCGGTGTTACGCTGGCAAAAGGTAGATAAACAGCTTGGTGTAACAGAATAGAGAGCCCAGAAATAGACTTGTACACAGATATAATTAACTGGTCTTTGACAAAAACACAAAGGCAAAACAATGGAGCAAAGATCATTTTAAACAAATGGTGCTAGAATTATGGGACATTCACATGTTAAAAGAGAAAGAATAAAAAGAAAAGAAAAAAGGGAGGGAGGAAGGGACGGAGGGAAAGAAAAGGAAAAAAAGGAAATGAAGGAAGGAAAGATGGAAGGAAGGAGGGAAGGAGGGAACGAGGGAAGGAGGGAGGGAAGGAGGGAGGGAAGGAGGGAGGGAAGGAGGGAGGGAAGGAGGGAGGGAAGGAGGGAGGGAAGGAGGGAGGGAGGGAAGGAGGGAGGGAGAGAGGGAGGGAGAGAGGGAAGGAAGAAAGGAAAGAAGGGAGGGAGGGAGGAGGGAGAAAAGAAAAAATAAATCTAGTCACAGAAGTTACATTCTTCACAAAAATTAACTCCAAATTGATCATAGACCTAAATGCAGCACACAAAACTTTAAATAAGAACTCCTAATAGACAACGTAAGAGAAATCCTAGATGACCTTGAGTATGAGGGTGACTTTTTAGATACAACATAAAAGGCATGATTCATGAAAGAAATAATTAATAAGCTTGATTTCAGTAAAATTAGAAACTTCTGGGTGGGGGCAGTGGCTCACGCCTGTAATCCCAGCACTTTGGGAGGCCGAGGTGGGTGGATCATGAGGTCAGGAGATCGAGACCATCCTGGCTAACACAGGGAAACCCCATCTCTACTAAAAATACAAAAAAATAGCTGGATGTGGTGGTGCACGCCTGTAGTCCCAGCTACTCGGGAGGCTGAGGCAGGAGAATCACTTGAACCAGGAATGTGGAGATTGCAGTGAGCTAAGATCGCGCCACTGCATTCCAGCATGGGAAACAGAGCGAGAGTCCGTCTCAAAAAAAAAAATTAGAAGCTTCAGCTATGTGAAAGACAATAGAATGATAAGACCAACTGTAGACTGGGAAAAAATATTTGCAAAAGACACTTGTGATAAAGGACTGTTATTTGAAACATACAACACACTCTTAAAACTTCACAGTAAAAAAAAAAAAAAAAAAACAAGAAAAGAAAACAAAAAAAACTGATTGAAAAGTGGCCAAAGGCCTTAACAGATACCACATCAAAGAAGATACACAGATGGCAAATGAGCATATAAAAGATGCTCCATATCATATGTTATCAGGAAAATTAAAATTAAAACAACAGTGAAATACCACTACACATCTATTAAAATGGACAAAATCCAGAATCTTGACAACACCAAATGCTGGCAATGATGTAGAATAGCAGAAACTCTCACTCATTGGTCATGAGAATGCAAAATGGTACAACCTCTTTCAATGACTGTTTCTCACAAAACTAAACCTCTTCTTACCAAAGAATCCAGTAATTGCACTCGGTATTTACCCAAAAGACTGGAAAACATAGGTCTTCACAAAAACCTGCACACAGATGTTTACAGCAGCTTTATGCATAAGTTCCCAAATTTGGAAGCAACCAAGATGTCCATCAGTAGATGAACAGAGATACTGTGATACATCCAGGCAATGAAATATTATTCAATGCTAAAAATAAATGAGCTGTCCAGCCATGATAAAACAAGGAGGAACTTAAATGTATATTACTAAGTGAAAGAAGCCAATCAGAAAAGACTACATACTGTATATTCCCAACTACATTAGATTCTTAAAAAGGCAAAACTGAGGAGACAGTGAAAAGAATCACTGCCTTCCAGGGTTTGGTGTGACAGCAGGGAGGGATAAATAGGAGGAGCGGAGGGCAGTGAAAATACTGCGTATGATACTATAATGGTGGATACATGTTATCATACGTTTGTCCCAACCCACAGAATGCATGAAATTGACAGTGAACTCTAATGTAAACTATGAATTTTGGGTGATAGTGATGTGTCAATGTAGGCTCCACTCCTGTGGGGGTTATTGATAATGAGGAAGGCTGTGCATGTGTGGGGTCAGGGGGAATATGGGAAATTTCTGTAACTTCCTTTCCACTTTTCTGTAAACCTAAAACTGCTCTTAAAAAATAATCTCCAATTTAAAAAATGCACAACTTTGTTTACTATTATTCACAGTTATGAAAATTGCAAGGTGTTTTAATAATACTTTTCCAAACACTAATCAATTATGAACAATTACCTTTTTAACTCAGACTCCTCTTGGCATAGCTCAGGTTTTATAACACAGACTTTACAAATGTCTTTCATTTTATACTCATAGATATCTTTCAACTGTTCTCCCCAACCAATTTCATATAAAATTGGAAATATTTGATCATTTAAATAGGTAAATATTGTATGTAAAAAAACCCTATTATCTCCATATCCCTATCTATTCAGGGATTTTTGTCATATTAAGTGCCCTATTATGATCAAACTTTAGCCACTCTATTTTTCCCTTCACCTGCAATTGAATGATATACTCTTCGCCTGCAATTGAATTATATACTTTTGATCTCAAATTTGAGTCTGTTTGCTTTATGTTACCATTTACTTTTCATTTTTCCTGTTTTCCACCGCTTCTACTTTGTATTTCTGACTACAGTTGGTTCAAATCTCTACAGGGATTTCAGCTGAGTCATTTGGGGCTTATACTTCCACACCTTTCTCAGCAAGTTCAGTGCTGCTAGATCTCTTGAAAGCTTTTCTAAGCCTTGTTTTTAGTTCACTAACATTTCTCTCAATTGACTAGTTCCTATGTCAGTGACAGATGTGTGGAGCACATTAGCTCTAGGCCTATCTCTGTATGATAAAATACCTCTTTTTTTTGGACAGTGCAACACAATGTCTAGAAAGAAAAAATAAGTCTGAAACAAATGTTGATATGTGCTTTAATGTTAAAGCATCCTTAAGTTCTTCAAATAGTTCTCTATAATATCACAAAATTCCCTCTATTTAGGGTGAAACAGACTATAATAGGGGGTCATACAGTCACTTTCCACAAAAGGCTTTGTTTTTGAAAAACAGGTATCTTTCAGTTTAGTCTCTTCTTCATGGGTATTCAGGAAATTTGAGTCATAGCACCACACATCTGTGATCCTGTGATGAATGTACATGAGTCCACAATAATCCATTGCAATGTATCAAGTCATCTAACATAAATTATTGGAGCAACTTATTTAATAACTCTCTAAGTCTGAGATTCATCATCCCCAAAATGGTGATAGTAACAGATTTGAATTCAGGATGTTGTTGTAGAAATTATTTGAGATAATTTATGTAAAGCAATTACCACACTGCCTATATTTTTGTAAGTTTTGTAAATTTAGCACTTAATTTTTATGATTAAATTCATGTACAAAAATATTTATCTAAATTAGTTTAACTTTTAAAATGTACACTTTTATATTTCAAAGAGTAGTGACAATAGAGACTAATCTAGGAAAAATATTTGTAAGTGATAGGGTTGAGGCAACAATGTAAAGAATCAAAAGATTTATCATTATAATAAAATTTTTTTATTATACTTTAAGTTCTGGGATACATGTGCAGCACATGCAGGTTTGTTACATAGGTATACACGTGCCATGGTGGTTTGCTGCACCCATCAACCCGTCATCTACATTAGGTATTTCTCCTAATGCTATCCCTCCCCTAGCCCCCAACCCCCCACAGGCCCTGGTGTGTGATGTTCCCCTCCCTGTGCCCCTGTGTTAAACTTCCACTTATGAGTGAGAACATGTGGTGTTTGGTTTTCTGTTCTTGTGTTAGTTTGCTGAGAATGCTGGTTTCCAGCTTCATCCATGTCCCTGCAAAGGACATGAACTCATCATTTTTTATGGCTGCATAGTATTCCATGGTGTATAGGTGCCACATTTTCTTAATCCAGTCTATCATTGTTGGACATTTGGGTTGGTTCCAAGTCTTTGCTATTGTGAATAGTGCTGCAATAAATATACATGTGCATGTGTCTTTATAGCCGCATGATTTATAATCCTTTGGGTATATACCCAGTAATGGGATGGCTGGGTCAAATGGTATTTCTAGTTCTAGATCCCTGAGGAATCACAATGACTTCCACAATGGTTGAACTAGTTTACAGTCCCACCAACAGTGTAAAAGTGTTCCTATTTCTCCACATCCTCTCCAGCACCTGTTGTTTCCTGACTTTTTAATGATCACCATTCTAACTGGTGTGAGATGGTATCTCATTGTGGTTTTGATTTGCATTTCTCTGATGGCCAGTGATGATGAGCATTTTTTCATGTGTCTTTTGGCTGCATAAATGTCTTCTTTTGAGAAGTGTCTGTTCATATCTTTTGCCCACTTGTTGATGGGGTTGTTTGTCTTTTTCTTGTAAATTTGTTTGAGTTCTTTGTAGATTCTGGATATTAGCCCTTTGTCATATGAGCAGATTGCAAAAATTTTCTCCCATTCTGTAGGTTGCCTGTTCACTATGATAGTAGTTTCCTTTGCTGTGCAGAAGCTCTTTAGTTTAATTAGATCCCATTTGTCAATTTTAGCTTTTGTTGCCATTGCTTTTGGTGTTTTAGACATGAAGGCCTTGCCCATGCCTATGTCCTGAATAGTATTGCCTAGGTTTTCTTCTAGGGTTTTTATGGTTTTAAGTCTAACATATAGGTCTTTAATCCATCTTGAATTAATTTTTGTGTAACGTGTAAGGAAGGGATCCAGTTTCAGCTTTCCACATATGTCTAGCTAGTTTTCCCAGCACCATTTGTTAAATAGGGAATCCTTTCCCCATTTCTTGTTTTTGTCAGGTTTGTCAAAGATCAGATGGTTGTAGGTGTGCGGTATTATTTCTGAGGCCTCTGCTCTGTTCCACTGGTCTATATCTCTGTTTTGGTACCAGTACCATGCTGTTTTGGTTACTGTAGCCTTGTAGTATAGTTTGAAGTCAGGTAGCGTGATGCCTCCAGCTTTGTTCTTTTGGCTTAGGATTGACTTGGCGATGCAGGCTCTTTTTTGGTTCCATATGAACTTTAAAGTAGTTTTTTCCAATTCTGTGAAGAAAGTCATTGGTAGCTTGATGGGGATGGCATTGAATCTGTAAATTACCTTGGGCAGTATGGCCATTTTCACGATATTGATTCTTCCTACCCATAAGCATGGAATGTTCTTCCATTTCTTTGTATCCTCTTTTATTTCCTTGAGCAGTGGTTTGTAGTTCTCCTTGAAGAGGTCCTTCACATCCCTTGTAAGTTGGATTCCTAGGTATTTTATTCTCTTTGTAGCAATTGTGAATGGGAGTTCACTCATGATTTGGCTCTCTGTTTGTCTGTTATTGGTGTATAAGAATGCTTGTGATTTTTGCACATTGATTTTGTATCCTGAGACTTTGCTGAAGTTGCCTATCAGCTTAAGGAGATTTTGGGCTGAGATGATGGGGTTTTCTAGATATACAATCATGTCATCTGCAAACAGGGACAATTTGACTTCCTCTTTTCCTAATTGAATACCCTTTATTTCTTTCTCCTGCCTGATTGCCCTGGCCAGAACTTCCAACACTATGTTGAATAGGAGTGGTGAGAGAGGGTATCCCTGTCTTGTGCCAGTTTTCAAAGGGAATGCTTCCAGTTTTTGCCCATTCAGTATGATATTGGCTGTGGGTTTGTCATAAATAGCTCTTATTATTTTGAGTATGTCTCATCAATACCTAATGTATTGAGAGTTTTTAGCATGAAGGGCTGTTGAATTTTTTAAAGGCCTTTTCTGCATCTATTGAGATAATCATGGGTTTTTGTCTTTGGTTCTGTTTATATGCTGGATTACGTTTATTGATTTGAGTATGTTGAACCAGTCTTGCCTGGACTTTTTTTGGTAGGTAAGCTATTAATTATTGCCTCAATTTCAGAGCCTGTTATTTGTCTCTTCAGAGATTCAACTTCCTGGTTTAGTCTTGGGAGGGTGTATATGTCAAGGAATTTATCCATTTCTGCTAGATTTTCTAGTTTATTTGTGTAGAAGTGTTTATAGTATTCTCTGATGGTAATTTGTATTTCTGTGGGATTGGTGGTGATCTCCCCTTTATCCTTTTTTGTTGTGTCTATTTGATTCTTCTCTCTTTTCTTCTTTATTAGTCTTGCTAGTGGTCTATCGATTTTGTTGATCTTTTCAAAAAACCAGCTCCTGGATTCATTGATTTTTTGAAGGGTTTTTTTGTGACACTATCTCCTTCAGTTCTGCTCTGATCTTGGTTATTTCTTGCCTTCTGCTAGCTTTTGAATGTGTTTGCTCTTGCTTCTCTAGTTCTTTTAATTGTGATGTTATGATGTTAATTTTAGATCTTTCCTGCTTTCTCTTGTGGGCATTTAGTGCTATAAATTTCCCTCTATACTCTGCTTTAAATGTGTCCCAAAAATTCTGGTATGTTGTGTCTTTGTTCTTGTTGGTTTCAAAGAACATCTTTATTTGTGCCTTCATTTCGTTATGTACCCAGTAGTCATTCAGGAGCAGGTTGTTCAGTTTCCATGTAGTTGAGCAGTTTTGAGTGAGTTTCTTAATCCTGAGTTCTAGTTTGATTGCACTGTGGTCTGAGAGACAGTTTGTTATAATTTCCGTTCTTTTACATTTGCTGAGGAGTGCTTTACTTCCAACTATGTGGTCAATTTTGGAGTAAGTGGGATGTGGTGCTGAGAAGAATGTATATTCTGTTGATTTGGGGTGGAAGTTCTGTAGATGTCTATTAGGTCTGCTTGGTGCAGAGCTGAGTTCAATTCCTGGATATCCTTGTTAACTTTCTGTCTAGTGGATCTGTCTCATGTTGACAGTGGGGTGTTAAAGTCTCCCACTATTATTGTGTGGGAATCTAAGTCTGTTTGTAGGTCTCTAAGGACTTGCTTTATGAATCTGGGTGCTCCTGTATTGGACGCATATATATCTAGGATAGTTAAAAGTTAAAAATCTTGAAAAAAGATTAGACGAATGGCTTAAACTAGAATAACCAATGTAGAGAAGGCCTTAAATGACCTGATGGAGCCGAAAACGATGGCATGAGAACTATGTGACGAATGCACAAGTTTCAGTAGCCGATTCAATCAGCTTGAAGAAAGGGTATCAGTGATTGAAGATCAAATGAATGAAATGAAGACAGAAGAGATGTTTAGAGAAAAAAAGAATAAAAAGAAACAAACAAAGCCTCCAAGAAATATGAGACGATGTGAAAAGACCAAATCTACGTCTGATTTGTGTACCTGAAAGTGACAGGGAGAATGGAACCAAGTTGGAAAACACTCTGCAGGATATTATCCAGGAGAACTTCCCCAACCTAGCAAGGAACGCCAACATTCAAATTCAGGAAATACAAAGAATGCCACAAAGATACTCCTCGAGAAGAGCAACTCCAAGACACATAATGGTCAGATTCACCAAAGTTGAAATGAAGGAAAAAATGTTAAGGGCAGCCAGAGAGAAAGGTCGGGTTACCCACAAAGGGAAGTCCATCAGACTAACAGCTGATCTCTCAACAGAAACTCTACAAGCCAGAAGAGAGTGGGGGCCAATATTCAACATTCTTAAAGAAAAGAATTTTCAACCCAGAATTTCATATCCAGCCAAACTAAGCTTCATAAGTGAAGGAGAAATAAAATCCTTTACAGACAAACAAATGCTGAGAGATTTTGTCACCGCCAGGCCTGCCCTATAAGTGCTCCTGAAGGAAGCACTAAACATGAAAAGGAATAACTGGTACCAGCCACTGCAAAAACATGCCAAATTGTAAAGACCATCAATGCTAGGAAGAAACTGCATAAACTAACGAGCAAAATAACCAGCTAACATCATAATGACAGGATCAAATTCACACATAACAATATTAACCTTAAATGTAAATGAGCTAAATGCTCCAATTAAAAGACACAGACTGGCAAATTGGATAGTGAAGACCCATCAGTGTGCTGTGTTCAGGAGACCATCTCACGTGCAGAGACACACATAGGCTCAAAATAAAGGGATGGAGGAAGATCTACCAAGCAAATGGAAAACAAAAAAAGGCATGGGTTGCAATCCTAGTCTCTGATAAAACAGACTTTAAACCAACAAAGATCAAAAGAGACAAAGAAGGCCATTACATAATGGTAAAGGGAACAAACGTGTAATTTTCAATACGTAGAGATAGATATAGACATGAATATAGATATGTATATATATGTTTGTATATATAAATATATATGTATGTGTATACATATGTGTTTGTGTATATATATGTGTGTATATATTTAGCTCTGATCACCCTGGTAGCAATGAGCATAACTGAGACAAAGAAGGACTAAGGAAGTCCTACATCCAGTGTGGGGCAAAACCAGGCAAAACTATGAACCCATATATTTGAACTCCATGTACTTCACTATTTAACCACAATGTTATAGAAGTGAAGGGAGATGTGACCAGTGAGTGGAACTTTAGAAAGAATTTTTACCTCCAAAACACACATACATACACACACAGACACAAAACACTTTTTTTCCCTGAAGACTCCAATAAAACAACAGATGCTTGAGAGGATGTGGAGAAATAGGAATGCTTTTACACTGTTGGCGGGAGTGTAAATTAGTTCAACCATTGTGGAAGTCGTTGTGGTGATTCCTCAAGGATCTTGAACCAGAAATACCATTTGATCCAGCAATTCCATTTCTGGGTATATACCCAAAGGATTATAAATCCTTCTAATATAAAGACACATGCATGTAAATGACTAGTTAATGACACATGTAATGACATGTAAATGACACATGTAAATGACTAGTTAATGGGTGCAGCACACCAACATGGCACATATATACATATGGAACAAACCTGCACGTTGTGCACATGTACCCTAGAACTTAAAGTATAATAAAAGTATATATTAAAAAAAAGAAAATTACGTGTTTGTACCAATACCACTAATTCCATTTCAACACCGTAGAGTTCATTCTAGCTTTCACTCTTTCATATTTGTAACTTCCTTCTCCAATAGTGAGAAGCCAGCCTCCCATTATTTCAACATATTTACCTATTTGCTCAATCTTCATCAATGTAGACAATCTGCAGACCCTACCATGTAGCCCTATTGATCAGAAGCTCCCCTCTTATGAACTCTGCCAGACTATCATGCCTCTCTGTATCAATGCACACAGTGATTCTTACCCTCTCTTTTGCATCATGAACTCTTTTGGGAAGCTGACATAAGCTACATACCCTTTCCCCAGATAATGCACATAAGCAAATCTGCATAAAATTATATAATTTCAAGGCGTGGTGGCTCACGCCTGTAATCCCAGCACTTTGGAAGGCCGAGGCAGGCAGATCAGTCAAGGTCAGGAGTTTGAAACCAGCCTGGCCAACATGGCAAAACACTGTCTCTACTACAAATAAAAAAAAAAATTAGTTGGGCATGGTGGCGCATGCCTGTAATCCCAGCTACTCGGGAGGCTGAGGCAGGAGAATCACTTGAACCCGGGAGACAGAGGTTGCAGTGAGCCAAGACTGAGCCACTACATTCCAGCCTGGGCGACAGAGTGAGTGAGATTTCATCTAAAAAATAACTAAATAAATAAAAAAGAAGTCATGTATGTTAACTAATTAATATATAAAACATTCAAAATAGTACTAATCATTTATATTTTTATATTGGAATGCTTTTGTCTTAGCTGTTCATATTTTATTTCTTTTCTCCTGTGAATGTTTTTCTCTAGCTATCTGGTAACTGAAGTCTCATTCATCCTTCAACAATCATTTCAACTGTACCTCATCCCCAGTGATTTTTTTGGTTATTTTGAGAAATTGTATTCTTTATGTTTCCCTCATGTTTCTTTCTCCCACACATACCACTCAGACGGATGTATCTTGACTTAATAGTGTAATGTAGCTGCATTTATCAGGGTTAGGTATAAGAATCATTCATTGCAATTGCTATATACTAGTATTTATAAAAGATTAGCCAAAGATGTTGTCTACTTTTACATGCATTACAGCTTACAAGAAGATTCATAAGAGAAATCCCATGGAAAATTTAGCTCTAGAGAAGAGCTTACATTTGCTATTGAATGATATGTATGTTGTCTTTCACTGGAGGTTAAGTGGAATAGAATAATTGTGGGCTTTGTCAAACATGTTCAAATCCTGGCTTTGCCATCTTCTAGCTCTGTGAATTTGGATGATACACTTAATCTCCTTGAGTCTCGTGTTGCTATTTTGTGAACTAAGGATAATATTTCTTCTGCCACGAATTTAATTTAAGATTAAATCAGAATCCATATACAAGGAGCTTAAAAAATATGCTAAGATAATAAGATAGGCTAGCTCCCCACCTTTGTCCTTGACCGTTTCTTCTAATTCATTTATTTTTTCTCCTCAACTGTTTTAATACTTAGAGCTAAGTTAGATGTCTCTTTGTAGGTAACTTAAAAGTTCTAATATGATGATTTTATTCATTTTTTAATCCAAAAATGACTTTAGGGTTTAACTTTTAGAAGTTACTTACTAAATAAGTAAAATAAGTTATTTACTAAATTAATAAGTTACTAAATAAGTAAAATAAAAATGTGCATGTTTATTCAAATGAATCAGTTTTTCTATTCTGTTTATTTTTTATTTTTAAATTTACACATTGTAATTATACATATTCTGGGGTAAAATTGATCTTTTCATATATATATGTATGTTGTATAATAATCAAATCAGGGTAGTTAATATATCCATCACTTCATGCATTTATTATTTCCTTGTGGTGAGAACATTCCAAAGCGTGTCTTCTAGATATTTTGTAACATATAATACCTTGCTATTAACTCATCATCACCCTACTGTGCAATAGAACACCAAAACTTATTCCTTCTATGTACTTGTAAATTTATTGCTGTTAACCAACTTTTCCCATTCTCCCTCCCTCTTCTCCTCCCATGTCTGGTAAGTACTGTTCTACTCTCTGCTTCTATAAGATGAACCTTTTGCTTTCATTTTTAGATTCCATATATGAGTGAGATCATGTGGTATTTGTCTTTCTGTGCCTGCCTTATTTCACTTAATATGGTGTCCTCCAGGTTCATCCATTATTGTCACAAGTGACAGGATTTCATTCTTTTTTATAACTGAATAGTACTCCATTGTGTATATATAACACATTCTCCATCTATTCACAAATTGTTGACTACTGAGGTTGGTTCCATATCTTGGCTATTATAAATTATGCTGCGATAAATATGAGAGTGAAGATATCTCTTCAACATTCTGATTTCATTTCCTTTGGATGTATACCCAGTAGTTGGATCACTGGATCATATAGTAGTTCTATTTTTAATTTTTTGAGGAAGTGCCATATTGTTTTCCATAATGGCTGAACTTTTTACAATCCCACCAACAATGTTTAAGTCTTCTCTTTTCTTCACATCCACAACACTTGCTTCCTTTTTATTTTTGATAATAGCCATTCCAACTGGAGTGAGGTGGTATCACATTGTGGTTTTTGTTTGTATTTTCCTGATGATTAATGATATTGAATTTTTTCCATATACCTTTTGGACATTTGTATGTCTTCTTTTGAGAAAAGTCTATTTAGATCTTTAGCTCATTTAAAATCAGATTATTTGTTTTTTTGCTATTGAGTTGTTTGAGTTTCTTACATATTCTGAATATTAAGCCCTGGACAGATGTACAGTTTGCAAATATTTTCTCCCATTTCAGTAGGTTGTCTCTTCACTCTGTTTTCTTTGCTGTGCAGAAGCTTTTTATTTTGATATAACCCCAAGGTCTACTTTTCTTTTGTTGCCTGTGCTTTTGAGGCATTATGTAAAAAAAACTCTTCCTCAGCCTAATGCTATGAAGTGTTTCCCCTAAATTTTGTTCTAGCAGTTTCATAGTTTTGGGTTTTACGTTGAAACCTATAATCCACATTGAGTTGATTTTTGTATATGGTGAGAGTTGGGAGTCTAATCTCATTCTTCTGCATATGGATATTTAATTTTCCCAGCACTATTTACTGAGATATTTCCCAAATGTGTTTTCTTGCCACCTTCGTTGGAAATCAGTTGACTGTAGGTGCATGAATTTATTTCTGGGCTTTCTATTCTGTTCCATTGGCCTATGTGCCTATTTCTATGCCAGTATCATCCTCTTTTGGTTACTATAACTTGGTAGCATATTTTGAAATCAGGTAATGTGATGTCTCCAGCTTTGTTCTTTTTGCTCAGGGTTGCATTTGCTATTCAGGGTCTTTTGTGGTTCCATATGAATTTTAGAATTATTTCTATTCATGTCAAGAATGCCATTTATATTTGATAGAGGTTTCATTAAATCTATAGATTACTTTAGGTAGTATGACCATTTTAACAATAGTAATTTTTCCAGTCCCTGCACATGGGATATCTTTCCATTTGTTTGTGTCTCTTCAATTGCTTTCATTGACGTTTTATAGTTTTCATTGGGGAGACCTTTCACTTCCTTATCTAAGTTTATTTCTACATATCTTATTATTTTTGTAGCAATTATAAATGGAATTTTTTTATTTATTTCAGATAGTTCAATGGTAGAATATAAAAGCACTAGTGATTTTTATATATTCATTTTTTACTTACAATTTTTCTCAATGTCAGTAATTATAATAGTGTTTTGGTGAAGTTTTCAGGGTTTTCTATATAGAAGATCATGCTATCTGCAAACGGGCAACTTGACTTCCTATTTTCCAACTTGAATGTCTTTTATGTCTTCCTTTTGTCTAATTGCTCTGGCTAGGACTTCTAGTACTATGTTGAATAGAAATGGTGAAAGTGGGCATCCTTGTCATATTTCTGATCTTAGAGAAAAAGATTTCTGCTATCCTTGTTAAGTATGATATTAGCTGTGGGACTGTCATAAATGGCCTTTATTGTGTTGAGGTACATACTTTTTATACATAACTGTTGAGAGTTTTCAGCGTGAAGGAATGTTGAATTTTGTCAAATGCTTTTTCTGAATCTATTAATATTTTAATACTGTTTTTGTCTTTCTTCCTATTAATGATATATCACATTTGTTTATTTGCATGTGGTAAACCACCCTTGCAGCCTTGGGATGAATCCCACTTGATCATCTCAAATTATCTTTTCAACGTGCTGTTGAATTTGGCTTGCTAGTATCTTATTGAAAATGTTTCCGTCTATATTCATGAGGGATATTGGCCTGTAGATTTTTGTTGTTGTTGTTGTTGTGTGTGTGTCTGGTTTAGAATTAGGGTAATGTGGGCCTCATAAAATGAATTTGAAAGTAGTCCCCCCTCTTCAATTTTCTGAAATAGTTTAAGGAGAATTTATATTAGTTATTTAAATGTTTGGTAGAATTGACCAGTAAAGCCACCAGGTCTTGGGCTTTTCTGTGATGGAAAGCTTTTTACTTCTGTTTCAATTTAGTCACTCATTATTGTTTTGTTCAAATTTTCTATTTCTTCACAGTTTAATATTGATAGGCAACATATATCCAGGAATTTATTCATTTTTCTCTATATTATTAAATTTGTTGGTTTATAGATGTTCATAATAGTCTCTTATGATCCCTAGTATTTCTGTGGTACCAGTTGTAATGTCTCCTTTTTCAGCTGTAAGTTTATTTGAGTTCTTTCTCTTTTTTCTTAGTTATTCTTGCTAAAAGCTCATAATTTCTTTTTATCTTTTCAAAAATCCTACTCTTTATTTTGTTGGCTTTTTAAATTTTTTTAAGTCACTATTTCACTTATTTTGCTCTGAGCTTTACTATTTCCTTCCTTTTACCAATTTTGGGTTTAGTTTTTTCTTGATATTCTAATTTCTTGAGGGGCATTGCTAGGTTATTTATTAGAAATCTTTCTTCTTTTTTGATGTGAGTGTTTATTGCTATAAACTTTCCTCTTAGAACTGCTTTTGCTGTGGTCCACAGGTTTGGGTATGATGTATTTCCATTCTTTTTGTCTCAAAAAAATTCTTAATTTCCCTTTTAAAATTTCATTTACCCATTCGTTACTTAAAAGCATGTTGTGGCCGGGCGCAGTGGCTCATGCCTGTAATCCCAGCACTTTGGGAGGATGAGGCAGGCAAATCACCTGAGGTCAGGAGTTCAAGGCTACCCTGGTCAACATGGTGAAACTCTGTCTCTACTAAAAATACAAAAATTAGCCAGATGTTGTGGCAGTTGCCTGTAATCCCAGCTACTTGGGATGCTGAGGCAGGAAAATCACTTGAACCCAGGAGGTGAAGGTTGCAGTGAGCCAAGGTCACACCATTTCTGTCCAGCCTGGGCAACAGGAGTGAAACTCTGCCTAAAAAAAAAAAATGTTGGTTAATTTCCATATATTTGTGTACTTTTGAAAGTTCTTCTTGTTGATTCCAAGTTTTATACCATTACAAACTAAGTCTTACCTAGCTTGTAAGACTTGTTCTGTGTCCTAACACATTATCTATTCTGAAGAATATTCCATGTGCAGTAGAGAAGAATGTGTATTCTGCAGCTATTGGATGGAATGTTCTGTAGCTATCTGTTAAAAATCATGGTTTTAGGAGTTAACTAATGTGTACCTATAGTCTATGTTGAGTGCTTAGACCACTTAGTCTTAGAGTTTAAGTTCAATGTTTCTTTGTTGATTTTCTGTCTAAATGATCTGTCCATGTTGAAAATGGGGTGTTTAAGTTCCCTACTATTATTATATTGCAGTGTATCTCTGCCTTTCTCATTATAAAATACCTTCTTTGTCACTTCTCTAAGTTTTTTGCTTAAAGTCTTTTGTATTTAAGTATGATTAATCCTGTTTGCTTTTGGTTTCCATTTTTTTTTCATCCCTTCAATTTCAGTCTGCTTGTCTTTAATGGTTAGGCAAGTCTCTTTTAGGAAGTTTAGCTGGGACTTTTTTTATTGTTTCAGTTACTCTACATCTTTTATTAGAGAACTTAATCCATTTACATCCAAGGTTATTATTCATAGGTAAGGACTTACTTTTGCCATTTAAAAAAAATTATTTCTAGTTGTCTTGTAGATTCTATGTTTCTTTCTTTATCTCTTGTTATTTTATTCTGTGGCTTGGTGGTTTTCCGTGATGCTAAGCTTTGTTTCCTTTCTCTTTCCCATTCATGTATCTGCTGTAATTTATTTCTTGGTAGATAACATGAAGGTAACATAACACATCTTGTAGTTATCATAAACTATATCAAGATAACAAAAACTTAACTTTGATTGCATAAAAATATTCTAGATATTTCCCTCCTCCCTACAACTTATATTTTGGTTGCCTCAATTTACATCTTTATCTATTGTGTGTTATTTAGCCACTAACTGTAACTGTTGTTGGTTTTTTTGAAAAATTTTCATAGTACCATTACAGCATTGGGTATTCTGAGTTTGATTATAAATTTACATCTACTGGTGAGTTTTATACTTTCATGTGTTTTCATGATAGTAATTATTGCCTTTTGTTTCCAGTTGTAACACTCCCTGAAGCATTCTTGCAAGGCCAGTGAAGTAGTGATGAATTCCCTCAGCTTTTGCTTTTCTGGCAAAGTCTTTATTTCTCCTTCATTTCTGAAGAATAGCTTTGCTGGATGTAGTGTTGTTGGCTGACAGTGTAGTGGAATTTTTTTTTCTTTTAGCACTTTGAATATGTCATCTCATTCTTTCCTGGCATGAGAAGTTTCTGCTGAGAAATCTGCTGATAGTCTAATAGGTATTGCCTTATATTTAACTTGGTGCTATTCTCTTCCAGCTTTTAGAATTCTCTTTGTCTTTGACTTTTGAACAGGTCTGCTTGTTTCCCAGGGGGTGGGATGCCATATGGGTTCAGATGGCAGTTTCTTGGTCATTCCATCAGGCTCAGGATTCAGTCAGCTGAAGTAGTGGCACTGCATGGACCCATGTTAAGATTGTGTAATGATGACAGGGCCTCAGTGATGGAGAGATGCCGTGGCTACTGGCTCCCAGAGCAGGATGCATTCTAGCTGTGGGACTGGTTTAAGATGGTGCCATGCCATAGCAGCTTAGGTCATGAGGGAGAGGTACAGAAGTGTCTCTGAGGCCATGCAGCTGTGTGAACTACTGGCAATTCTCCCAACTGTATTTGTAGCCTGTAAGAACTGGGGGTTCTTCTGCAGAAGGACCAATAGCATCTGTTTCAGCAATGGCAACTACTGGGGATCTCCAGCTTACTTTTATCCTGTGGGAAGCAGCTGCCCTTACTCTGAGCTGATCCCAAAGGAACAGACTGTTGCAGAGGCAGGATGTTTTAACCCCTTCTCTATGGTGCTATCCTGGGCTTCCATGTTCCCCAGGGATTTGCTTGCTCCTGTGATGGAACAGAATATTTCCTCAGTTATTCCAGTTGAAATATATTTGTTTATTCATTATTTTGGTCCCTTTTGTTGGGGAAACTAGTGTCAGGCAACTCTAGTTGGCCATCCTGGTGATGTTTCTCCCAGATGAATTATTTTTAATTTTGTACAAAGATAAAAGCCAAATCATATATTTACTATCCTTTCTACATATATGTAAGAATCTAAAATAAATTGAGAGTACTTTATTGATGTTTCATTATTAAAACTATTCTTAGTAAACCTGGAGATCTATTTTTTATGTTAGAATCATGGTTTTAGGAGTTAATCAATGTGTAACTTGGGCAAATTACTTAACTGCTCTGTGCCTTTTCCTCTTCTGTAAAATGGGAAAAATATAACATCTACCTATCTACAGTTTTTGAGTTTTGTGAAGATTAAATAAAATGTGCAATATGTTTAAATAGTGCATGGCACAGACTTACAGAAACACTACGTAAGTTTCAGCAAAAATTTTTTAAAAACGCTTCTTTACAATTAGCCTATTAAAATCATATGCTATAATATTGTATAACCATTTAAATATCAATGCTGCATCTATACAAACAATAATATAGACATCCTAAGGGTATTCTGATTCTATATTGAGCTAAATTATCAGTCTTGTACTGGCACATAAAAGATTGACCAGAATATCTGGTTTTCTTCATTTCTACATAAAGTTTTATTATATGGTTGGTGAAATTAATAGAGGTCAGCAAAGTTCTCAGAACCTCATTGTCGCGTGTATGTGATCACAGACTAAAACCTAAATCTCAAATTTGAAGTTAGTTCAGTCAAATCTATGAAAATGGATGAAGGAAATAAAGTAGTCTACATCTGTTATGTGGCCAATGGATATCCATTTTGACTGATTTCTGTTATTTTTTCAATTGGTTGTCTTGGCATTTTGGAGTGGCTTTACTATAAACATTTAAGAAGTGAATATAACACTTATCTACCTCACTATTCAGACTGATGATTGTAGTTTGACAATCTAAGATTTTAAAAAATCTATTTTGAGTGCAAATAGTTATTACTATGAATTGTGAGTGTTTTCAAAGATAAAAATAACATACAATTTTAGGGCCATAAAAATTGGTTCAATCACTAGTATTTTCATGTGTGTGATTATGTTTCAAAGGTATCTTAATCATAAAATATAGTTAAAAAAAAAACCACGCCATTTGTGTTCTCCATGCTCGGACTACTTCTGAAGCTACAGATGCAGTGTTTATCAGAATTGTTTGTCTTGTAAAGGTGAGGATGACATTTCTAGACCACTAGCTACATATTTAGGATTGGTCTGTCAGAGAGTCAAGTCTATAAATAAGAACTGGAAGCAGCTGGAAGAGAATTGAATTCCTCTGGATAATTGGCATAAGTGTCACCCAGGAAAAAGCAAGCACTCTGTCTAAAATAATGTTGACTGATGAGATAGGGCACATCTTCCTACAAATACCACACATTTTCACGGAACAAATATCCAGTGTCCAGAGAGACATTTTAAATTTCATGACTTGTACTTTAAAATCAAATGAGACAGTTTCTTGAAACCTTAGTGAAAGGAGTCAAGATGTCAAACTACTTTTATAATTAATCTCAGGCTCATGCTTTAAAAGCTGCTTGTTCCACAAAGTACAACAGCATATAAATAAACAGTTCAAGTAGAAAGATCTCAATCATATTTATGAAATGTCTGCCTTTGAGTTAATTACATAACACTGTTCAGATTTAGTAGTGGGAAAATATCTCACTGGTTTCTGTAGGGTGTCTCTTTACATAAAGGAAAATAATGAATATATTAAGAAAGTGCTTTGGAAAGTGGTAAAGCATGCATCAGTTAATCAGAATAATCTATAAATGGCCTTATTCAACATTCATATTTATAAAATCAAACACAAAGTTAAATACCATCATGAAATCAATTTTTGATGCCGGTATATTTGTGAAAATACCCAGTCACCTTCTCTGAAACACCAAAAAATGTAGTACATTTTAGGTATCTCATATAAGTGGTGTCATGCAGTATTTCTCCTGCTGTGACTGGCTTATTTTACTTAGTATAAGGTCCTCCAGGTTCATCCATGTTACCACAAATGGTAGGATTTCCATCTGTTTAAGGTTGAGTAATGTTCAATTATAATACACATTTTATTTTTCCATTCATCTGTTGAAGGACACTTGGGTTTCTACTATATCATATCTATTGTAAATAATGTAGCAACAAGCATGAGAATACAGATTTCTCTTTTATTATGATTTAAATTCTTTTGGATAAATATCCAGAAGTGAGATTTCTGGATCCCATGGTAGTCCTGCTTTTAATCTTTTGAGGAACCTTTACAGTATTTTCCACAGTGGCTGCACCATTTTACATTCCTACCAAGAGTGTTCAAGGATTCCAATTTTTCTACATCCTCATTAACACATTTTTAAATAATAGCCATCAACAGGTGTGAGATAATATCTTATTGCAACTCTGATTTACATTTCTCTGAGGATTAGCCATGTTGATGATCTTTTTTATATACCTGTTGGTCATTTGTATGTCTTCTTGGGAGAAATGTCCATTCAAGCTATTTACCCGTTTAAAAATCAGGTTATTTGCTTTTTTGTTATTGAGTTATAAATGTTTTTATATATATTTTGAATAATTTCCTCTTACATATATGGTTTGAAAATATTTCTCCCATTCCATAGGCTTTCCTTTCATTCTGTTCATTGCTTCCATTGCTGTGCAGAACTTTTTCATTTGATGTAGTCCCACTTGTCCATTTTTGCTTTTATTACCTGAGCTTTTGGTATCATATCCAAGAAATCATTGCCAAGACCAATGTCAAGAAGCTTCTGTTTTATGTCTTCTTCTAGAAGTTTTACAGTTTCAGGTTATGCATTTAAATCTCTATTCACAGAAGCAGAGAATAGATTGGTGGTTGCCATGTGATGGGGAAGAACAACATGGGGAATTGTGGTTCAGTGGGTTTAAAGTCTTAATTATACCCATTGAACCACAACTTCTCATTTGAGTTAAATACTGTATTGTATTTACAGTACTGTATTGTACATTCAAATTTGTTAAGAAGGTAGATCTAATGTTGAGTGTTCTTATTAAAAAATAAGTAAAAAAGCAAAAGGAAACTTTTAGAAATAATGAATAACTATGTCTATTATTTTAATTATGTTGATTGTTGATGGTTTCACAAGTATATGCATATGTCCAAACTCATCAAATTTTATGCATGAAATGTGTGTTGTTTTTGGTAATCAATTATATTTTAATATAGGATTTTAAAATGTAGTACAGAAAAAGACAAAATATTACCTCAATAAATAATACCTACTTAAAAAACGTATCCCAGTTGAGAAAGTCTGTTCTATATTCAAAAATTATTCATTTCTTTTGGCCCTTAGAAGTACACATAACTGAAACTGAAGTTAGCATTAATTTTTGTTCATCTGAGATTCTAATTTATAAGCTACATTAATCATGGAATGTAATAGAGGAAGAAAAATAACTAGGACTACCTAAAAGAACTAAGAAAAAAATACTAAGAATAAAAATTTGGGAGACATAAGTCTAAAGTTATGATATGGGACTAAGAAATTCTGCATTTAATAATTTTTAATCCCTTCTGAATATGTGGGATATTGAACAAAATATGAAATCTGAAGCACTTTCATTCATTTTTTTCCATAATAATCATACAATTATTCATTGTAATTAATCTCTATCTGGAAGAAGCAATAAGTATATAAAAATAAAATACAGTGCTAGTATGTGCCCAGCATTGTAATAGTGACTATATTTTGTACATCATTTAAAAATGCTCCCGCATAAAGGTTAGAACTCCAATTTGCTTGTAAAAGAAACTGAGGCCAAGAAAGGCTTACTAACTTGTTTAACACCCGGAATTCAAACCAAGATAAATATTGTTGCTAAGCTTTTTCAGGTATACTGATTGCATATAGCTACACTTCAAGAGGAAATATCTAATTTAACAAACCTGTTTTCATAATAGAGAGGTAGGAGAAATCATTCTTGTAGTCATCTATCTTTCTGTTCTGCTTCACTCACCATAATTAAAAATACAACTTTTCAAGATAGAGCACTGATCAAATTTAACTATTAATAATCCACTCCACTGTCATTTTTAGAAAATTAACCATACAAATGAAACCAACCTTAGAATTCTTATGAGTTTAGAGAACTAGCTATACTAGTTATTGTTTTATTTTTAGATAAACTATTGTCACTTTTAAAATATCATGTTTCCTACAAATGCAGTATTTAAAAATAACTCATTAGCTATGGTTTATAGGTTCTATGTGGACTTGTCAATAAAGATTTAACTTATGAAGGTAATAATTATAGCCAGAAGGATGGTTGTGGTTGACATCATACAGGACAACTAAGATTGTGTTTTAGTCCATTTTCTTGCTTCTTTAATAATACCACAGATGGGGTAATTTACAACGAACAGAATTTATTGGCTCACAGTTCCAAAGGCTGAGAAGCCTAAGATTGAGAAACCAGTACCTGGTAAAGTCCTTATTGTTGAGTCCTAAAATGGTGGAAGGCATCATATCGCAGAAGGGCAAGAGAGAAAGACAGTATGGGAGAGCAAGAGAGAGCAAACTCACTCCTGCAATAACAAACCCACCCTTATAATAACAGCATTAGTTCACTCATGAAGGCTCTGCCCTCATGACATAACACCTCCTAAAGGTCTCACCTCCCAACATCATTTCAATGGCAATTAAATTTCAACATGTGTTTTGGAGTGAACAAACATTCAAACCATAGCACTCTCATAGCAAATCCTCAGCCTTTCTGGCCTTAGGATCCAGGGGACAAAGTGCATAATAACCACAGTCATTGGAAAGTCTTGGAAAAAATCCAGAAAAGAGAGGCAAGGAGGAGTAGTGTAAATTCTATTTTAAAAATTTGCCGAAATCTTTTTTTGACTGTGGAACTATGCACGTATGATTCAAAATATCCCAGTGATATGTTTGGATTTGTGTCCCCTCCCAAATCTCATGTCAAATTGTAATCTTCAATGTTGGATGGAAGTGGGGCCTGGTGGGACGTAACTGAATCACAGAGGTGTTTCTCATGTATCCCCTTGGTGCTGTTCTCATGATAGTGAGTAGTTCTCATGAGACCTGTTTGTTTGAAACTGTGTAGCACCTTCCCCCTCACTTTCTCTCTCTCGCTCCTGCTTCTGCCAGGTAAGATGCCTGCTTCCCCTTTGCCTTCTGCCATGAATGGAAGCTTACTGAGGCCTCCCCAGAAGCAGAAGCTGCTACACTTCCTGTACAGCCTGCAGAAAGGTGAGCCAATTAAGCCTCTTTTGTTTATAAATTACCCAGTCTCAGGTATCTCTTTATAACAATGTGAGAACAGACTAATACACCCAGTCAAGGATAAAAGATCTGAACTTTGATTTGAGTTCCTTTCCAAGCTACAGAGTTTGAGGCATAAATGTAACCATATTAATTGCTGGCTAAAACAAAAATTAAGACTCTTCAATGAATATAACAGAATTCTATTCCTCCACGAAATCACAATAACCATGTTCAGGATATAAGACAGGAAAATATTCTGCATTTTCAAGAGAAAATACAATAAATGGAGATCAACACTGAGATGAACCAGATGTTATAATTAGCAAACAAAAATTTAAAGCAGTTTTATAGCTAAATTCTATGATATAAAGGGAATTATTGTCATCATGAATAAAAGGATTGGAAATCTAAGCAGAGAGATATAAAATATAAAAAGGAACCAGATGAAAATAATAGAACTGAAAACTGCAATCTCTGAAATAAAAATGTCACTGGTTGTGTTTAACAGAGCGAAAATGAAAAGGAAAAGAGTCAGTAAATTTAAAAATAGATCAATAGATACATTCTAGTATAGAGATTATATATAATTTTTTTCAAGTTAATAATTGCAGCACAACAATCTCCATAGCCTTGGATCCTTTCTGAGATAATAATATTAGATTAATTATTCTCTACAATAGTATGGTTCTTAATGTTATGTTAGGACGAAAGGTATATAACTGTGTTAAACAAACAAACAAATTAAAAACACACACAAGAACTACAAATTTATTCATCCTCTGTACTACAGAAAGTGTGATTAGTTCCACAAGCTGACATTTTAACAACCTTAGTAGCTACTAAGTTTATTCAAAAATTTATTTTTAGCTCCAAATTAGGTGGAGATGTTGATATTAAATGTTCAGATTATGGCATGGTCATCAGTGGTCTAAATTCCTATTTGTCTATTATGCTTAGAGCTTAGGTGACTCAGTTTATTTTCTCAGCAAATTCCTCAATGATTTATTTATAAAGCAAAAATGACAGCTTTTAAAATGTATAATGAAAGATACACTAAATTTAGAGGAATGGTGATTTCTCCTGTGCCATTTTGTTTCCTATTATAAAGATACTTGAATAAAATAAATCAAAATTGGAAGCTTTGTAAGTTTTGGAATCATGCTAAAAATGTGGTGAGATTTTCATAAGGCAAGCACAGCTCAATAAACTACATTTATTCAAAATAACATATAACAACATTACTTTTTAAGATAAAATTGTCACTTATTGGCATTTGCTTTTTAGCATGATAATCTACCCAGTTTATTTAATATTTCCATTGGACTACTGACATAAAGTCACCTGAAGATTTTTATCTTTCTCTGTACTCTCAAACAACTTCCATATGGGAATTCAAAAGAATATTAGATTGTATACAAAAGAACCAGGATCAATATGTTAGAATCAGCACATTCTATTCTCCACAGAGCATGGAAACCCCCAGTTAAATTCCTATGCCCCAGTTCTTTGTCTTCTGGATTCAGAAATGATCAGTGATACATAATTTCCAAGCTGCACCATATTTCTAAAACCTTTTTAAAAAATTCTTCCTTAATGTAAAAGCCTCGTTAATTTTGTGGCAGTGTAGCCACTTGTAGTACATGTGCATGCTTCCACCTGTGATATGTTTCCCTTATTTCAACTCTTCACTGAATCACTTTATAATAATAAAAGCTCCTAGTATGCTTCTAATGTTCAGTTTGATGTTCACCTTAAAGACCCAGGCTGGTACTGGCTATTCCTGGAGTCCTACAGAATTAAAAATACTTTTATTTCTACAGGTTTAAGAGAACATTTCCTTGTGATGGAACCAAAAGAGCAGCAAAACCTAAAGCACTTTTATCTCATTTAATTTTTGTAGAGTTTTATTCTACATGACAGGTTAATTATCTGCTTCCCTGTATTTTTGACCAAATGAAAACAAAGAATAGAGATTGCTCATATGAAGAATAGTAATTTCACTTCACATTTTAACTCACAGTAACCCTAATGAATTCTTGTTATTGAACTGATAGATGATCAATTTTCTGAGTCAGAGAAGCAGTTCAAAAGTAGTTCTTCTACTTACAATTACTTCCCTAAATCCCCATCGTGATCATTTAGGCTTTCTTTTTTTCCCTTTTCTTCTAGAAAGAAATGAGTCTTTTGCACAAAAATAAAGGCCTGCTTTATCCTCATAAAAGACATTTGCATTTTGGATGCATGGGCATAATAATGATGGGGACTATATTAAATATGCACTACCCATGTAAATAGCCAACATTTCTCCTATATTTTCCTAATGCCATAAGCAGGAATTCACAAAGACTAGATTTTTCATGGTGCTGACAAAGTGAACTTGAGCAGTAGGAAACCTGAAAAGCTCTAACCACAGTGGTACTTTATATACTGTGAGTATTTTAAGATTTAAAATGTAGTTTTATCTCAGTGTGCAGCCAGTGTTAATAACTAGTCCTATTCAAGGGAAGCTTCAAGGATGAGGTAATTGAAACTTGCCCAATTGTGCATGGACTAACCTAACTTCAGAGTAGCACAATTCATCTTAGTCAGTATTTCAATCAAATAACCAAGTTTCAGTAAACAGCAAGAGCCTTTACTCCATGTATTATCAGCTTTGATGTCCTGAATGTGTTTCTGCTTTTGCAAATGATGGTACATGTAAATAGCATTCTGGCAGATTCTGATTACGAAGTCAGGCAGGCAGAAAAATTCATTTATGGTTAAAAGAACAGCAAATGTTAGAATTCTCAGTCTTCGGCAAAACAATAATCATTTTACCTACAGCTAAGTTATCCATTGCCATGACATACATTTTTTGCAAGTTAATTTTTTATGATTCTTTTGATTCATTCCTTTTTTACCAGAACACTGTTTTTCAGCTATCTTCATTTACATTCTATTTTCTGATTATTGGGATCTTGTGTGTTAAACTAATTACACTGGAGCAGCAAGTTCACTTAAAAATGAGAAATACAACTTCCATAATTGCATTTTCTATGTGAATGGTATGTAAATTTTCTGCCATGATCCCTGAGTATGTGCATTATAAAAATTTCTTTTAACTTTTGAGTGACAAGCCAGACCAAAAATATAAATAAATAAAACAGGATCTTCTCCATTGTTTCTCACAGTGTGATTCAGCCTTGTATTTGCTTCTCTTTGATCTACTTGACAAAACATTAATCTAAACCTCAGAATCATTTGGGCACATCTTGCAAATCTCCATCAAGTAGAAGTTAATAAATGTCTGCCTTCATGGCATCATTTAACATGTCCTTTAATTATTTAAGATTATCCTGGCACTATTATTTGTCTGAAAAATTTAGATTTATTATATATGTCAGTCCAAATTGTACAATTTAATATATTTTTTAACTCCTCTGAGCTAGGTCAACTCAAACATACAGGCTACTGTCTAACATTGTCACATGGATGTTCTTGAGCAAAAATTTCTTATTAGCTATTCAAATGTAATGTGCAGGCTGGAGTCTTGGCATGGTTGTTCCTATGCCCATCTGTCATCATTATTTTGCCCATTTGCATTGTGATATGCCAAGATGAACTAGAGACAGAAGCCAACAAGGTCTGAATGAGGGATCTAGCCTTCAGGACATACAACCAAACTTATTTTCCCCTGTGAAATGTTTTTTCACAGAGAGCAAATCAATGAGAACTTAGTCTCTTTAAGAATTTTCCTAAGAGCCATCTTCCAAAAGTCAAAAGTTTTTAAGTAATAAAATTTTGCTTGGACTTTCACTTTGGTGAGGTTCATGTTATATAACCTGATTTACAACTTCTGTTCTTACATCCTAGATTATCACGTGCAAATTTTTTTTATAATCTCTTACTCATTAGAAATTATGATCAAGGACAACTTGGCAGGTCAGTATTAAGGGATATCCAGTTTAATTAGAGGATGAGTCAATTCTGAAAGAATTGTTAATGCTGGTAATTCATAAAAAGAGAATGAAAGATCCATACTAAGGTGAGAAGGTGGTGGGAAAGGAAAAAAACCTAAGGTGCAGTGATAGAACCAAATTATGAACCAAAAAGTAAATTCAGGTGCCTAATTTCAGAGAAGAGGGGACAACAAGTATGGAGTAAGCTAGATAAATTTTTCCCAAATGCATCCTTATTTTGGTGCCTTAAATGCGCAATATTAAATAATTTGATTCCATCAGGGTAAATCTATCAGTTGAATAAATTCAAACTTTATAAAATTCCAGAAACAATGCTGCTTCAGGTACGGATGATTAAGCTAATTTAACAACTGCATAATACAGAGAAAAATTATCTTCCTTTCAGCATTTTCTCCTATTAGCTTGATACAATCTATAAAGTAAACTAATTGCTGAGTATATGTCAAATAGAAAGATGGAACATCCACTACTTTTTCCCAGTCTTAGTACTTTTAAGGCCAATTCATGTGGCATTAAACTGTAAAAAATCTTTCCAAGGGGGTGGATACAGATTAACAAAAATTTAGGAGGCAACATGTTATGCCTTCAAGAGTGAAAATAATCATTCTGCCTTAAAAAATTATGTCTTTGTTGATTTTCCTCACCATTTCCCATCCCTAAGCGTACACTGAAACACTAACATCTCTCCCTGGATTTACACAAAACTAATATCAGCATTGGTTATTCTCCTCATGGAAGTTACACCTAGAGACAGAAGCAAACACTTTTCCTCTAGTGAATTCTTCCCCTTAAATGTAATGGCAGGTTCCAATTTCTTCCGCATATTGTGCTAAAGTAAGTGATTTCAATGTGGGGTCCCAAAGGCTCTGTGGATAGAACTGAATCTCAATGTCTGATTTCCTTTGTGGTCTTATGGTTTTCATCCTACACATTTAAAAACATTATTCTTATAAAGGGCCCACAGACTTTACAAGACTGTCAAAGGGGTCTAAGACACGTTAAAGGTTAAAAAGACTCGTTCTGGAGCCTAGAGATAATGTGGATTTCATTGATAAGTGCTCACCAAAAATGGCATTTAAGATATCACCTTGATGCTAAAACAATAATGATCTCGGGTAAAACAAACAGTGAAATAGCAACTGATTATACTTCTCAGCCTGTTTAGTTGACATCAACAGATACATATCATTAATAATTGAAATAAACTGAATGCTTCCTTGTTAAATCTGGGTTCCATAACTGAATTCGTTTCACAACACACTGAATACAAAACAAACAAACAAGCAAACAAGCAAACAAAAGACCATTTAGTCTTCAGGATCACAATAGGACCATGTCACAAATGATTTCACTGAGTATCTGAACTGCCTACTAAAAAGGCCCTAAAATAGATTAATTGACCATTTTCAGATACTTCTAGCAGCCAAATTTGTTAAGTAAGAAAAATTAACAAATTCATGTAGTAGAGACAAATTGTAAGAATTTCCTTGCATAAGTTATGTGAATGAGGTTTGCAGTTCTGTGTCCTGTGCTTCATAGTTTAGAGATCTTTCATCTCCTATTTTATTGCTACTTAAAATGCCATCCTAAGAAATATTAAGCCACTATTTTAAGAAAGATAGAATCTGTTTATGATTTCATTTCTCCAAGACTGTAATACATGCTTTCACATCTTTAAAAATACATAATTTGACTTCACTTTCTGAAGAGTTTGAATGTATCTTTCATTATAAGTGGTGGCTTACGTTTACAAAAAGTCTATTGAATATTGGTTTTGGTTTTCTATAAAACAAAAAATTCAGGTTTGTAGCGTAAGTTTTGATTTCCTAGAAGGCTTCACCAACTTCAACAACCTTAAAAACAATATGTACAGAATACATATAGTGTTTGTATAGGGCTTTTTTTTTTTTTTTCTGAGACAGAGTCTCACTCTGTTGCACAGGTTGGAGTGCAGTGGTGTGATCTCAGTTCACTACAACCTCCACCTCCCAGGTTCAAGTGATTCTCGTGCCTCAGTATCCCGAGAGGGTGGGATTACAGGCACCCTCCACCATGCCTAGCTAATTTTTGTATTTTTTATAGAGACAGGGTTTCACCATGTTGGCCACACTGCTCTCAAATTCCTGGTCTCAAGTGATCTTCCCACCTCGGCCTCCCAAAGTGCTGGGATTACAGGCATGAGCCACCGTGCCCAGGCTTTATAGCGCTTTTAAGAGTTAAAGCTTCACTATAATCATCAGGGATGGAGTATTTTTATTACACAAGGCTCTGTAGTGCATTAGTCAGTCAGTTATCTTCCTGATGGTTAGTACCTCTTCATTGTGTCATTTGTCATGGCATTTATTCAATATGGTATTTTACATAAATAATAATCAAGGGGAAATAAAACTACACCTCCAGACCCTCCTTAGAGGTAATTATGTTGTCAAATGTTCCTAAACTTTGAATACATTCTGAGGTGGATTATAGAATGTTTGTTTGTGGGTTTTTGTTTTTTGTTTTCTTTTGGCTGTCTCAACATACATTTTTAGAGGTGAAGTTTCACACAATCAACAAATCACAAAGACAAACCTGAGGATGTGTTTGGAAACATAAAATTTAAAAGCTAGTAGAAAATGATTGATTGCTGAACTTGGAAAAATAAAATATTCTGTCGGCTAGGCTTAAAAGCAATATATGTCTAATATTACAGGGCATAATATGCAAGTAAAGTTAGTAGTCAGTACAGTTTCCTATCATGTGAAGGCCAGAAACCTGTGAAAATTTCCCTTTTTTAATCCAGAAATTAACCTCAAAATACCTGGCTACTTGGTAAGTTCTTGGAGTCTATACTGATGTGATCACCCTTCCCAAGAATTTAGAAATGAGGAAACTTGTGTTGTCCACTGAACATTGCAATGAAGAAACAGGAAACAATGAATCAGATGACGATAAATTACCGTTATGGGGCACAGTTGCATTTAGGGTTGATATGGTTAAGAAAGAAAATGTCTACTTTTTTAGTTGCTCAGGCCAAGGACTTTGACCTCATTATTTCCTGTTTGCCTGTATTTTACCTCCAATCCCATAGCAAATCCTACATCACTACCATCAAAATCCATCACCACCTCTATTGCCTAGATCCTTTTTCAAAGAAATGCATTTATCTTGCCCAGACTGTTGCAACAGCCTCCTGACTGGTTATCCTGCCTTTGCCTACTGTCTCTTCAGCTTATTGTCAACACAGCACCCAGAGGATACTGTTAAAAGGTATGTTAGCTCATATGTTCCTCTTCTCATCCCCTCCAAAGTCACTCACAAAAGAGGCCAATGTCTTTTGAATGACTGAAGCAGCCAGTAGGACTTCATACCCTTCATATTCTGCTTATGCCGCCGTCTTGTCAGTTCCCATCTCATCTTCTGCTACTCCTCTCCTTGCTCACTCTATTCTGGCCATAATGGCCACTTTGCTATTCATGGAACTCAAAAGGCCAGGTCTTGTCTCAGAACATTGCACCTGCCGTTCCCTTGGCTTGGAGCACTTTACTCCTTTTAGACTCTTGCTATGTTCCCTCACTTCCTGTAGACCTTGATTCCAATGCCACCTTCTCAGTATGGGCTCCCCTAAGGACCCTATTTAAAATGGCTTCACTAACCCCTCTTGACCCCTTCTCTCCAACACTTCATTCATTTTCTTTATTTGCCTCCATAGCACTTCCCGTTTATCCTACTATATATTTTACTTATTTTATTATCTGTTTCTTTATGTTAGAAAGTTCCTTTCAAATACAAATATTTATCTATTTTGTGTATTGCGGTATCCCAATACCTAGGTAATGCCTTGCACAGGGTAGAAGCTTGATAAGTATTTGATGAACAAATAATTAAGTGAAGAGATGAGTGAATCACTGGAAGAAGATCTATAAAGAAAAGATATGTGAAAACCTTAAAAATACAATATAGCTTCCATACTAAGACAAGCACAGATTTAATAAATTCACATATATGAAGAGAAAACAAAGGGAGAAGAGAGATAAGGAACAGCAACATGAAGGCATAAAGTCTCTGACACATAATTTGCCAGTGCTCTCTGCCTTATGAGAGAAGCTTTTGACAAGGACTTCAAGGATTCCCAGCCTCACTGCTGGGGTGGTGAACTGCATGTGTCAGACTATTTTAGCTTAATGTCATTAACACTAAATTCTTCCAATGACCCTTGTTCTGCTTCCACTTTCACCAATCAACCTCTGACCACCCCCCCCCCCAATTGGTCTGCTCACATAGTAAAAATGATCACATAAAAGAGGCTTGTGATTCAAATGTAACTTTTTATGTGATAAATTCATTGACAGAATGCACTTATCCTATGGCATCTAAAGAAGGAGTGTATGAAATTAATGAGCATGATTCTCCTTTTGTTTATCCTTACAGCAAAAACACTCTGTGGTGTGGTGACCAACCATCCCAATTTTCTCAGGACTGAGGCAGTTCTCCAAATGTGGGACTTCTGTGCCTAAACCAAGAAAGTGTTGGGCGACCAGAAACAGGTGATCACCCTAGCTACTACATGGCAGATGCTGTGATAAGTGCTAGGAATTTTTAAATAGGTATTATATATCCCCTTCTTTGAATACCTGAGACATTTTTTTACTCCAGTGTTTGCTAACAGGAATTTTTTTATTGCTCTCCAGCATATTAGTGAAGTTTAACAAATGTTTAAAAATATTGGTGGAGCTTCGCGGTCTCCGAGTGACTTCTTAGCTCCAGGTTAAATTATTTCTGAGTCTTTTACGAAGACATCTGCCCATCAAAAACAAATCATTAAGGGAGAAAAATGCTTTGCCCATTGAATATGTAACTCTTGCCCTTCATGCCTTTTTGGAGCTAGATGAAATCAGCCATTATCTATTTTTCTTAGTACCCAACCAAAGGGTCTAATTTTCCTAATTTTAGATGCAATGGCAAACCTATAGTTGACTATATCCATTTGTTTTAGAGAAAAAGAGAGAATAATTTTTATTAGAGGCATCAGAGAGTTAAGTCGCCTACAGAGAGACAATCTAACACTATGGAAACCAACTCATACTCTGCAGTCCCAGACAAACATCAGAAACTCTGGTTCTTTGCCTGTGTGTAGGTTGCTTTAGTCTCTGCTGCAGGCAATTTATGAAGTTCTATTACTACCATGGGCTCTGACTGGCCTTTGATGAAAATCATCTTTGTTCAGCTGCATTAGTTTCCCATTATCTTCTGGTGAGGCATGAGAGCCAAGGTCTAAACAAAAAAGAAAGACAATCACATGTCTTTATATATCCCAGCATTTAAAGACTTAGATCTCTTCCTCAGCAACAAACCTATAACAGCAGGTTTCAGGTAGGAATTGCAGCTTTTCTTTAGATCTGGAAAGAAAGATGCTTATGCAGCAACTTTTGTTAGAAATTCTTCATCCCACACATCATTAGAGACAACATGGTATAAACAGTCTTCAAAGCAAAGACACTAGTGGCTATTTTACAATTATAACCTCAAGTTTTTCTTCAGTTGTTTCTTCAAATGCTGCATTCTCAATTGCTACTGTCACTGTTTCTTAAGCTTCCATGGAGAAAGTTTCAGTCTGCAAATTTGTAGGCTTATCAAAAGGGTGATGAGAATATGTTACACAGCTTAATTTTAATCTCCAGTTGAAAAAGGGGCAGAGATATAATAAGACAGAAAGCACGTTGAGAAGGATTAAGGAATTTAAATAACATTTATGATTCCGATAAGCCCCCTCAAGAAAACAAATGGAACTGTCCAGAGTGCAACTTTTATCATTGACTATCAGAGTTTTAAACTGGAGATCTCCTTCTGGATATTCCAAAATCCTTCAATGTTAATATATCAAAAACGGAACTAATAAGCTCCTCCATAATCTGTCCCTTTTTCTACATTCCTGTTTCATTCTAATTAATGGAGCTACAAGTCATCTATATTAGGAACATGTGTGTTGTTACCAATTCTTCTGTCTTCCTCACAACCTCTGTGTAATTACTTACAGGTGACATTGGCCAATCAGTCCACAAGTATTGGAGAGACAGTCCACTAAGACCAAGTTTAAGTTTACACTCTTTCACTTTATCATTTAAACAGGCAATGAAAAGTGCAAATGTTATAGACAAGTTTAAGGACTCAAGTACATAGACACAACTGCCTGATAGCCTTCTTAATTCCTCCTGGATTTGTGCAAAAGATGGTAAATGCAGGCCCCACGGAATAAATTTTTTTTAAAAATCCACCAATTAGAAAAGCCCAGATTGGAGGATTATCTACATTTCATGGTATTTGGCCAGTGGAGAGACCATGACAGCACTCAAGGGTTTGCCATATTACCATATAAATAATTGTATTCTGCATCCCAGTGACATCCTTCTGTGATATTTTTCCTATTGCATCATCTGGTCTACTGAGATTCCAAGCCTATAGATGGGTCTAGGAACAACTCACCACAGCAATGCTGTCAATTCCATTTTTAAAAGAGCTATGACATCATCACCTTTTATCTATTTTCATTGTCATTACTTTAACACAGCCTTTGATCTTTCTTATCCTTAAGCCTCATCCCATGTGAACCCATCATCTGCAGTGCTGCTAGTTAGCTTTCTAAAATGTCAACATATTTATGTCACTTTTGGCTTAAAAACACTTTATGATTCTTTCCTTGAAAATGCCCAACCTCCTAACTGTAATTCCAAAGGCTTTTTGTGCCTTGGCCTGTAATCTTTTTCTCTGACATTATTTCCCAGCAGTGTCATTTCCAGCAAACGCCCACTACTGCTGCTCTGTGGCACCTGCTGCTTCACCCCATCCTTCCTTCACACATGTTATTCTCACCACATTCCTTAGTTATTTTACAATCATGTTTTTATTTTGTTAATGTTTTAATTTTTAATTTCTGTGGGTACATAGTAGGTGTATATATCTGTGGGGTAGATGAGATGCTTAGATACAGGCATGCAATGTGAGATAATCACATCATGGAGAATGGGTTATCCATTCCCACAGGAATTTATCCTTTGTGTTATGAATAATCCAATTACACCCTTTTAGTTATTTTACAATGTACAATTAAGTTATTATTGACTGTAGTCACTCTGTTGTGCCATCAGATAGTATGTCTGATTCATTCTTTCTGGGTTTTTTGTACCCATTAACCATTCCCACCTCCTCTCCAGCCCCCTACTACCCTTCCCAGCCTCTGGTAACCATCCTCCTACTCTGTGCCTATGAGTTCAATCATTTTAATTTTTAGATTCCACAAATAAGTGAGAACATGCAATGTTAGATAATCATGTTTTTAAAGCCCACTTTATGCCCAGTACGAGGCTAGGTGTTAAGAATCCAAGGTCAAGTGAGATACAGTCTTTTCTGAGGAGATTTTATAATTTGGGAGAAATTCAGGTACATAAATCAACAGTTATTTTACAATGTGATCAATTCTAATTTTTAATAAGAGCATACATGAACTGCTGTGGGAGCCCAGAGGAGCATCCACTAAGAGACAGAGGCGGAGAACACTGAGGTCTTGCTGATATTTCTAAGTTTTATAACTCAGGAATGGAAAACCAAACATTGTATGTTATCACTGATATGCGGGAGCTAACCTGTGAGGACACAAAGGCATAAGAATGATACAGTGGACTTTGGGGACGTGGGGGGAAATGGGGAGGAGGGCGAGGGATAAAAGACTACAAATAGGGTGTAGTGTATACTGCTTGGGTGATAGGTGTCCCAAAATCTCACAAATCACCACTAAAGAACTTACTCATGTAACCAAACACCACCTGTACCCCAATAACCTATGAAAAATTTTTTTAAAAATTGAAACAATATTGCAAAAAAAGAATAACTATAAGCTATTTATTAAATACAGTTTTGATTTTCTATGCTCTCAGGCTGAGGAGAAATTTTTGAATCGGTTCAAATACAGATGCTGGATTCTTTCTTATTTAGACTGCCACCTGTGCTTCTAGAGTGATAGGAGCATCATTTTCTAGTTTAGTAGGGGTTAGTGAGTGGTATGGACCTCTTAAAATGGGAGTTTTTCAACTGGGATTTGGCAAAGCCTTGAATACAATGGGAAAAAAAATCTGAGGAATGAAAAATAGATTTCACAGGAAGAACTTTCATGATGGCAGAATAGTCATAAAGTTTCTCAGATCCCATGACTGACAATCTACAGATACTGGTTTGGCTATCATGTAGAGAAGGACAATGGTATGGGTTCAGATGAAATCTGGCCATCTCTTTGTATCGAGTGTATAGCTCTTCACCTGTTACCTCCAAACATTGATCCATCATCTTGGGCATGTTAGCATTTTCCAGCAATGCACCTTGTCAGCTTTTTATCTCAGCTCCCCATCTAAACAACACCAACTGAATACACCTGGGTGTGATAATATTCCTTTCAAAGAGGGCACATAATGATAAATGGATGAATAAATGGATGGATGAATGGATAGGTGACTAGTTGGATGGAGGCATGCATATCTGAACTATCATTTATGAGATAATCTCCTTTCACTTCTTTCTGCTATAATAGTCCTAATTCCCCATGGGGTGATGGATAATTGACTCAATGCAGAAAGAAAATCAATGAAGGATATTTATATAAAGCTTTATTAAAACCACCATATGGCTGGGCGCTGTGGCTCAAGCCTGAAATTCCAGCACTTTGGGAGGCCGAGGCGGGTGGATCACGAGGTCAGGAGATTGAGACCATCCTGGCTAACACGGTGAAACCCTGTCTCTACTAAAAATACAAAAAACTAGCCGGGCGTGATGGCGGGCGCCTGTGGTCCCAGCTACTCGGGAGGCTGAGGCAAGAGAATGGCGTGAACCCGGGAGGCGGAGCTTGCAGTGAGCTGATACCACACCACTGCACTCCAGCCTGGGCAACAGAGCGAAACTCCATCTCAAAAAAAATAAATAAATAAATAAAATAAAATAAAATAAAATAAAAACCATATTTTGTAGCCCTTTCTTTTCTGGTAAGTGTCTATTATTCCTTCAAGATTCAATTTAATAATCTCTCTATGTAATAATCTCTCTCTTCTCCCAACTGACTCAATCATTCTCTCCTCTATGTTAAAACCATATTTTCTATGTACTTATAGTTTCACGTATCACACCATTATTTTTTACATGTCTCAGTAGAATGTGGGCACATCAAGGGCTGTGGCTTGTAGAGCTATAGGCATTTCAATACTCTGACTTTGCTAGGAGATACTTTGTTCCAGATGAGAACACATACTTAACACCTGAAATAATCAAAAGCATGTTTTTATTTCCAAACTATTACCACGCTGTCTTCCTAATCGGAGTGTACTGAGGTTAATTTTATCTGCCTTTTTGACTCATGGTCATTATTTACAACTGTTGTCACTGAGGTGTTTTTCAGGTCTGTTGATATTTGGAGTTATGCTTTCTTGAAATTTTTTACAATTATTTTTACACTTATTTCTTTTTCTCTCTGCCTTTGTCATGTGTTACAGCGTTCTCTTCTTGTTGTTAATGTGCCTGTCCTTAGGACATCTCCCATGCCAAAGTTTATCTGAATATATATATATATATATTTATATATAATTTTATATATATATTTATATATAATTTTATATATATATATATATAATTATTCTTCAAACTCAAGTCTCTAAATCTATTCTGAATGAGATAAGTCCTTCAGCTGAGTGAAGTCTGGAAGTGGATATTGTGGACCTGAATGCTGTAGTTAAAAAAATAAAATTGAAAAAAAGGGAAAAAAGAAAAATCAATAAACACAAAAAATTAGCCCCCAAAGTTACCACTGATAAAACTACTTAGACAAAAATATTAATTTTTGGAATTTGAAGCAACAGATACAAATCTTTTAAAGCCATGCATTTCTTGACCCAAATTTAATTTGGATCTATAATAATAACCTTTGAGGGAGAGAGAGAGAGTATGCACATGCTCTCAAGTGGCAAGTACACGTGTATAATCTAGTAAACCTGCTGCTGCTTTGTTGAGAGAGGAGTTAGTGAAAAGGAACAGAGGTAAAAAAATGCTGAGGGCATGTAGCAAGCAAGCCTAGAAATTTAGCAGCATCTTTGCTGGAGAAAATAGTATAATTTTTCTTCAATTCATTAAACTTTATTGGAAATTATCTTTTTACATCAGAGGAGACATTTGCTTCCATGATCTGTTGAACAATTTCTATGAGACATTTAAGCTTATTAAGTTTTCTTAATTCCTATGAAATTAATTCAAATTTTTAGCAGTAAAATACTGAGATGTTTTTCAATTGATGTTCTCCAATACAAAACAAAATGCCACTTTATTGTCTAGCAAACATATTCTAATTGTCACCACTGAGTAATACATATAAAATTCATGACAGCATGATAAAAATTATTTGTTATTTGCAAAGTACTTTAACAACATTAACTAATAATTATTTGTGCCTGATTTTGGATATACTAAGTTTTCTTAATAGGAACTAATCTATGGTGATTTTTTTATCTAGAAATAAAATTTAAATCCTGTTTTGTAAACCTATACACATCACCATTTCTTGTTACTGCAATTAAGAATAAATCTACATATGGTCCTTTAACTGTAAATGATTCATAATTCAAGCAAATACCCAATTCTTCAGGACTAGATGTTTCATCGTTATAATTTTATCATTGTCATTTGTAAAATATAATTCCTATAACAATTAAATGTATGTCTCATTAACAACTAGGTTAGGAAATAATTAAGTTGTCTAAATTTTACTATGACACCTAAAGAAATTTTTTCAAAAAACAGTCATCAGTTATTTCAACACCACCAATGAATAAAGTTAGCCTGCAATTACCAGTCACTAAGAGAGAAAGGGGTTTCTTATGCTGTGATGATTATTATTTGCATATAGTATCAGCAAGTGTTATTAGAAACTTCACAATGTTATTTACTTGTCATTTTAGTTTCTGTTTTTACTGTTTCTTTTCTCTATTCTCATATCATGATATAGAATTTGTAATCTCTTTGCTTTGTTTTTATATTTCATAAGGGATTTTAAAAATCTGGAACCTTGCTCTTCAAGATATGATTCCTAAATTAGAAGGATGAGCATAATCTGGAAGCTGCTTAGGGATGCAGAATCTCAGGCCCACTGAATGGGAATCTGTTCTTTAACAAGATCCCTAGGTGATTCATATGCATGCTAAAGAAATGCTATCCTAGCACATAACTCCCCTTAGCTCTAGCACATAAGTCCATGTGCATATTACTGGACTTTGTAATGTAAACATTCAATACTGAGTCTGAGAACTTTTATAACTGAATTTTTCAATTGAAAGAGAAAAATTATATTAAAATTATTGTGTTAACATAAAAAGCTATGTTGATGTTAGCAAACTTACCTTTCTTACATATTGTTACAATAAATAATACATAAGCAAACAAAATGAATTTAAAGAGAGTTGGGCATCTTCTTATTCCATGTGTCACTTATAGTATTTTTCGGATTCTTTATTCAATCAACAGTTTCAGGTGCTATGACTGTGGTAAAAAACTAATAAAGCAAAAATGTCCAAGAGACAGTCACTGCCCTCAGGTGGATTATGTTCTAGTGGGAAGTATAGATGAATAGAAGATGTCTATAAGTAAAATTTATAATCACAACCAGGTAGAATGGGCACAAGTAAAATTGATTATTCTGAAATAATACACTGTGTCAGAGAGAATTTGGATTATTATATTAAGATTATAAAGAGAAAAAAATTGAAAGAAGGTTGTTACTGTAATTGTTGTTTGTTGCTTTATCTTCTAACTAAACTTCAAAAATAAAAACCAAAAAGGGGTAAGTGGATCAGATTGGATTATATCACCTCTATAGACTGAAGAGGGTAAGAGGTTAAGGAGTGCTTCCATGTGCCTTTCAACCTCTAGATGGGAAAGCATAAGGAGATAGGTGTGGTGTGTAACCTCAGGAAGACAGAAATATGAAGTCTAGGCAGGGGCAAAATAAAGAAAAGAAGGTGGTCAACACAAGAATCACGAAATGCCATTCACATGGCAACACCTGGAAGTTGAGAGAAAACCCAGACAAGGCCTGCAGAATTGCTGAGTAGCTGATCTTCCAGCAGCTGTTGGAAGAGGCCCCTTCATCAACAGCTACCTGCAAGTGACTCTAAGTTTAGCTGAACAGCATGTTGACATTTTCCTTTATAATGGCCCAATACCACCATACCATAACAAAAGCAAAGAAATAACCAAATAAACAAAAAGGATGGATCACTTAACAACCAGAGAGATAGACCACCAAAGTGGCGTGGAAAAAAAACCCAGGACCTGGTTTTTAGGTGGGCCTGAACAATGTGTGTGCTTACTATGTACCAAGTGATGTGGACAGTGACTGGATTTTGTATTCACTACAACCTGGCAACATAGGCATTATTATTACTATTAGCTTCATTTAGAAATGAAGAAACTGATGTTCAGAAAAATAAAGTCAGTTGCTTGCTCAAGAATACAGATTTCAAATACTAAAAATGGCAGAGCCAAGATCTGTCTGATTCCTTAATTGTGTTTTTTTGTTGTTTGTCTGTTTGTTTTCTGTTTTTTGAGACTGAGTCTCGCTCTGTCGCCCAGTCTGGAGTGCAGTGGCGCGATCTCGGCTCACCGCAAGCTCCGCCTCCCGGGTTCATGCCATTCTCCTGCCTCAGCCTCCTCAGTAGCTGGGATCACGGGCGCCCGCCACCATGCCCGGCTAATTTTTTTTTTGTATTTTTTTAGTAGAGACGGGGTTTCACCGTGTTAGCCAGGATGGTCTCCTGACCTCGTGAGCCGCCCGCCTTGGCCTCCCAAAGTGCTGGGATTACAGGCGTGAGCCACCGTGCCCGGCCGTTATTATTATTATTTTTTTATTATTATACTTTAAGTCCTAGGATACATGTGCAGAAGGTGCAGGTTTGTTACATAGGTATACACATTCCATGCTGGTTTGCTGCACCCATTAACCCATCATCTACGTTAGCCATTTCTCCTAATGTTATCCCTCTCCTAGACCCCCACCCCCGACAGGCCCTGGTGTGTGATATTCCCTTCTCTGCGTCCATGTGTTCTCATTGTTCAACTCCCACTTATGAGTGAGAACATGCGGTGTTTGGTTTTCTGTTCCTGTGTTGTGGTTTTAATCTGCATGTTATAGAAGTCAACCATAAGAAAAAGATAATACATTATTATTGTAATATTACATAATACATAATATTGTGTAGATTTCTAATCTAATTCTGACTTGAAAAGAGAGAAAAAGAATGCTAGCAGAAGTGAAATCTGTGCTGTCTTCTGGATAAGAAGAGGTACTACTAAGACAAAATAGGCATTCACACAAATGGAACAGCATATAGACAAGCTTCAAGGACAGAAATAACCTGGACCATGGAGCTGGGGAGGGAGTAGATGATGATCCAGGGTTGCTGGAGCTGAGAGCAACAAGTGGGAGTCTGTAGAGTGATGAGGCTGAAGACATCAGGCTAGAGATCTATTTTACAATTTGTTAAATAATGTGACCTTTAAAATTTCAGAATAGAAAAGAACTGAAGTTCATTGATTTTTATCTTCTGTATTGTGATCTGTTCTTTTTCCATATGTTCAATATCTTTATTTTAAAAATTCATTGGAGCCATTGGAGTGTCTCCTTTCTGCATTGTTTCTATGAATTTCATGTTCTCATTTTTTTCTCTTTCTCTTTTGTCTCTTTCTTTCACTTTAAAAGTTTCTTCAAATCCTTAGTGACAATGATAGAAGCACTAAAAACAAAGTGACAACCCTGTATAAGGACAAGGTTTCTTGACTGATGGGCCTCACCCTCGGGCTGCTGAATGCTTTTAAAAATATCAATACATTGGTCTCAGTCCAGATACTGTGACTCAATTGATTTGAGGTATGACACAAGCATCAGGATACTTAAAATCTCCCTCAGATATTCTAAAATGCAGGCAAGTTTGAAAATATTTGCTCTAAGGTGATCTCGGAGAGACCCTTGCTATTACCTGGAGCTGGTTATTTTCCTCAATGAAGGAATCTTTAAAATTTCCTTGGCTTGGATACTGAAATGAAGAAGGAGGCAAGGATACCGATGAAATAAACTATCCATATCCAAGGAAAGAAGGGAGGAAAACAGGATGAAGCATGTTGGAGTCTTATCTTTATGTGAGTACATTTATATTACATCTCCTGCTTGCTGGAGGCCATTATCCTACGCAAATTAACTTAGGAACAGAAAACCAAATACTGCGTGTTCTCACTTAAAAATGGGAGATTAACATTGGGTACTCATGAACATAAAGATGGCAACAGTAGACACTGGAGACTACTAGAGGAGGAAGGGAGAAGGGCAAGGGTTGAAAAACTAACAGTAAGGTACTATGCTCAGTACCTGAGTAAGGGTATCATTTGTATGCCAAACCTCAGCAACATGCAACATACCCAAGTAACAAACCTGTACATGTACTCCGTGAATCTAAAGCATGCCCACCAATGGTGGACTGGAAAAAGGAAATGTGATAAATATACACCATGAAATACTACGCAAACATAAAAAATGAAAACATGTCCTTTCAAACAACATGGATGCAGCAGGAGGCCATTATCCTAAGCAAATTGATGCAGGAACAGAAACCCAAATGCCACATGTTCTCACTTACAAGTGGGAGCTAAACATTGAGTACACATGGACACAATGATGGGAACAATAGACCCCAGGGCCTACTGGGGAGGGTGGGAGGAGGATCAGGGTCGAAAAACTACCTGTCAGGTTCTATGCTCACTACCTGAGGGACAAATTATTTTGTACACCAAAGTCCAGTGACACAAAATCTACCCATGTAACAAACATGTACATGTACCCCCTTGATCCTAAAATAAAAGTTGAAAAAAAGATTTAAAAAAGAGGAATGAAGAAAACTGCAAATCCATCTGTTATGGTCATCATACCACCTTGTCTTACACTCTGATTACCTAAGAAAGAGGAAGGAAAAGTGGACTGGGCTCTTCCAGGAAGAACCAGACTATTATTAACTATAGAAAATATTCCTTATACTCTTTTCTCCCAGACAAACCTACTCCAATTCATAAGTTGAGGTGCAGTTACTTTTTCTGCTTTTTTTTGGGGGGGGGGTGGGGGGACAGAGTCTGATTCTGTCCCCAGGCTGGAGTTCAGTGGCATGATCTCGGCTCACTGCAACCTCCGCCTCCTGGGTTCAAGCGATTCTCCTGCCCCAGCCTCCCGAGCAGCTGGGACTACAGGCGTGTGCCACCACACCCAGCTAATTTTTTGTAGTTTTAGTAGAGACGGGGTTTCACCACATTAGAAAGGATGGTTTTGATCTCCTGACCTCGTGATCCACTCTCCTCGGCCTCCCAAAGTGCTGGGATTATAGGTGTGAGCCACGGCACGGCGCCCAGCCTTTTTCTCCCTATTTCTATCAAACTACATGTCGTATTCTCTAAATCAGTATCTTATCTAACTACTTCCACTAGACTCTGATTTCTTTGTGGAGAAGGATCAAGTATTAGTCATTTTTCTTGTTCAGCAACACCTATTACAGCCTAGTAAAGAGAAGGAATTTAATGATGTTTGTTGACTGATTGACTGATTGATGTACTACTAAATGAAGTGTAGCAGAAATAACAAAGGTAAACTTGAGGTTTGTAAAATATCTTTAGAAGGGACATTTCAGAATTTAAAAAAAGACAAAAAGAGGAGATCTCTTATGACAATTCTTGGTAAGGGATGTTCTATCTCTCTAAATCTTCTTGGCTGATATAGGTTATTATAAGACTTGAAGAATTACTAGAAGGTTTTCAAATTCTGCAAGGTTATTGGCAAACGTAGACTTTAAGAGACTACCTGTCTACTCTCGTGAATCCTGGGATATCCTCCCAAGTTACTCCTGTCTGAGTTTTCCTAAGTTGCTTAGCTAAGTATTGGCCACTGGTGTTCTATTCCTCCTACAAAGGTTATGCCCCAGTATCTCGTGAGGATCTTGTTAAAATACCAGTGTCAGGGCTCTTGCTCATAGTAACAAAGGGATGGCCTTAGATGGAAAATTCAATGTTTTACACTTCAAGCTTCTGATTTTTTTCATCATTCTAAAAGAAAGAAAAGAATATCTTAGGGTTGCCTGCCAGAGTAAATCTCCATGTTTATTTTCTCTAATTAATAAAATAAGATTCTTTTCCAATTGAATAAAGTAAAACAAACCTCTTGCTTTTAATAGCAAGTCTCACCTCCACCTTCTAATGAGTCTAGTGCCTCAAGTGCAAAACACATGTAATTTTACCATTCTAGACAGTAAAACTTCAGGTTTCTGCCAATGGGAAAGACAGAATCACCTGACTATGGGAAGTTAGGGAGGGGATCTGGAAATTTAAAGACATATCACACATCCCAGTTCCAGCCTCAACTTGTACACCTGCTCGTGCAGGTAACTGGTCATTCAAATTTAAGAGAGTCTTCTGGAGTTTTCTGCTTCAGCAAAGGAAACTTGCTTGTTTCCAATTTCCACCTCATCCCCAACAACATAAGATTTTTCATGTCTGTTGACTCTGTCAGCATGCATCATCTGCTTTTCAGTTTCTAGAAGGTTGACTTATTTTGTTAGCTCATCTCTCTTTGTTCTTATTTTGTCTTGGTGTGTTTGTGCCTTTTTGCTTCTTTATTTTGAATGTTTATAAAAGGAAATCCGGATAAATGCTTAATCATAAATCTCACTCCTATTGTTTCTAAATTCAACCAGGGATGATTGATGATGAATATGAAACTAGAAGCCACACACTAGCATCAAAATATGGAAGAAGATAGCAAATACTCTTGAGAAATATTGTTCATAATTCATCTATATTCAAACTCTAGGAAAAGATTTTAAGGAACTGCAGTTCCACAGCTATCAGCACATGTAGTCACTCTGTGATGACCTGGGCTACTAGATCTTCCAGTTTGACTATTTGCATACCATTTTATGAATTGTTTATTGGAGATATTCTTTTACATGTTGGCCTTAGTTATGGGGGCTGGATATGTGTTAACCACCATTCTATGCATTTTACAGATATTCTTTTTTAAATTGCTTACTAATCTTAACAGGTAGGAGATATTTCTCCAGCTTCGAGTTGAGATAGCTGAGGTATTGAGAGGACAAACAAGCTGCCAAAGTTCACAAAGTTAAAGTGAGTCTGGAATACATGGGCTGTGTTTGTTTGTTTGTTTTCTGATCTCCAAGCTTGTGTTTGTAGCACAATGTGACCTCATCTCGTGAGTCAGGAATGACACTATCAATTTGATATGGTTGTGTTTACCCCATCCACAAAGTCATACAGCAAATGAAGAATGTTTTCATGGGATGGAAATCAATTTGTGGAAATTAGGATTCACATTATTTGCTGGTCCATTTGTTCTTCAGCTCATTTTTAATGACCCTGGCATACTAACCAGAGCTACTTAAGTGTAATAGCCCCATAGAAACAAACTGTATCTAACCCAAATTCCTTCTTCTGCAATTTAAGCCCATTTCTTCCTCATTTATTCTCAGGAGAGAAGGGAAATATCTGATAATCTTGTTTCTTTTAATAAGCTGCTATGCTTTTGGAAAATTGTAATTTACAGTGTCTCTTGCATAGTAGCAAAAAAAAAAATTTCTCCCTATACTCAGCATTGACCAGCCTTTTATTATGCATGTATTCATTCTTTATTGGATTTATATAGTATCTTTTCCCTGAAGAGCTCAAGGTTCTATGTGAAAACTTTTAAGCAGCAAACATTATTTCAACATAATGAGCCTGACTCTGTCTCCCACAGAAAGAGAGCAGAATATCATAAACTTAGCCAGAAGAGGGCCACTAATCCTAAATAAGCCAAACCCAATTTATGAACGCAGAGTGTCCAGAGAGGGGCATCGTTCCTGGAAATAGAAGCAAGACTAGGAGCAGAATGAGAGGACAGCATTTTCATTGAGAGCCATCATGTAAAAGAGAAGCATCATCTTTTCTTTCAAATAAAGCTCATCTCTCGCAGTGTGTGGAGGAAAATGTGTGGATGAGGAGATGCTATGAAGGAAGAAAGGGGTCTGGATGGGAGAGGGAGGGCTGTAGCAGCAATTATGTAAAGAGAGCAGTTCCTTCTAAAGACAATTAACAGGCAAGAGAGATAAAGTGAAAGTTGAATGAAGTCAGTGACCTTTGAGGGTGAACTAGTAAGTGGGAGATTACGGTAACTTCTGGCCTTTACTTAAACTTGTCATTTTTCATTATTTAAATGCAATCATCAATGGCAAATGGGAGAAATTATCTTAGAGTGGTTCTCCAGAATACATATTTCTTTACATAAGCCTTATGTCAAACACACTAGAGTGATAAAGAAATTAACTGGATCATACGTTTAGGCTACAGTTTCATAACTTAAGAAAAACACCCACTTGTGAATAATTTCATGATTAGTGCGTGTATAATCTAAGTAAGAGCTTCGGCAGCCCAGAGACAAAAGCATGAATTTTCTCCATGTTTCTTTTTAGTTCCTAGGGCATTGGAATCTATGTCATAGGATTCATATACACTAAGTACATAGAAGACTTCATCAGATTCAAGATTTTAGCCCCTTTGTTTCTGCCCCTGTTTGCACCTGATGCAAACCAACGCCGGTTTCTGAAGTTTCTGGATCACCTAGTCACATTGCCCATATCAAAAGATCCTGTTAAAAAAAGTTATATTAAGCTTATATCATTCCAGAACAAGAAAGTCTTGTTTAAAAATCCCAGGAGAGTGCTAACAGTGTTGGAAGGAATATTTTGAAAAGCTACGGGGAATGTAGTTATAGGCTGAGAACCCCAAGTAAATGCATGAGTAATAAAAACATCACAAAAAATCCTTCTGAGAAGAGTAGGTTTTGTCATAGGAAGACAAAGTTTTTGTTTTGTTGAATATTGTTTCTCAGAATTACAGAAAAAGCAGAGAATTTCCTTTTCCACTCTTATGCTAACAGCATTAACAGCATTTAACCTGTCCCGCAAATAAATGTTAAACTAATATCTTTAGACTATCAATTTGACAGAATACCAAATTATTAACCTTTCTAAGGACACCAAATTATTTGTATGACTGGAGCAACTAAGTATCTCAATATGGCCTTGTTTCTGAATGCGTATTTGTATATATGTATATGTATGAGTGTGTGTGTGTATATATATATATATTATATATGTAATATGTAATTATATTAATGTAATTGACCAAATAGAGGGCAAGAAATTAAACTCTGGAGTCCTAAAAACCTGGTTTTGCTTCAGGCCTTGCCAATTAATCACTGGATGACTTTAGAAAGTTACCAAAATTGTTTAAGCCTCAATCTTAGCATTAGAAAAATGGGACTAGTAATAATATCTGCTTTGTAAAATTTTTGTGATAATCAAATGAGATAATGCATATGCCATTGTTGATATAATGCATGATTGCCTAGTAAGCTCTCAATAAACATATAGGTTTTATCAGTGTCATTATTATATTATTATAGATTCAAACTTTTATCTCCCAGCCAATACAAACATCCTTGACTTCTTATTTATCATTACATGCCCTGTGCCTAAACTTGCTTCTATTTTTAAGTGCTTTATTTTTCTTTTTAGCACTGTTAATATTTTAATTTTTATAATAATTACATTTTATTTGTATTCTCTTATTATATGAATCCCATACTGGAATATAAGCACCTGAAAAAGTCTGTATTGCTCACCCCTATGTCACCATCATCACCAGCCAAGGAACATTGTATATGCCAATAAGAGTCTGATAAAGAGTAACATAAGCTTGGCATATAGTGCATGATACACAAATCTTTAAGTTGATACATAAGAATATAAACAAATATGTGCATCCAAAGCATAGTTGGATACAACTCTGTTTGTATGTGTGAGTGGTCTTTCTTCTATTGGGCCATACAACAGGGAATGTATTGAGTGACAGCTGCTTTATTACTGATTGAAAACTAGTTAATGAATTATGACTGCTTAGCATAACAGAGAGGTGAGTAAATTTGAAGAGGTCCAGGTTGATCAGCAGAGTGATTTAAATGCTAGAAAATGGATTTAGAATGAGAAGCTAGGGGAATTGGGGTTATTTAGCCTGAAGAAGAGGATGGGAGGATGTTATACAGCAGGCAAAAGCCAGATGTTCTTCATTTCTAAAGACTAATCCATGTACTAAAATGCAGGAGGTGACATGTTAAAGTAAATTCACCAGGAGACTCAAGATTTTTTAACATAGATTTGTGTTATGACTTTGGGGAACTTTCAAATTTAAATTGTACTTGAAAAAAAATCTCACTGGAAATAGCCATAATTAGGTATTTGGGAATACATACATGGGTTTAAATTAAATCTAATACTATTCAAAATAGAAAATATACAAACCAACTGACTACCTCGATTGTATGCCTAGCCTTCACTTAACAAGTTTATTGTGCACTCATTTCCAGGATAATTATTTAAATTCAGTAAGATTTTGATTCAGATATGATTTGTCACAGGCCTTTTCTCAGGAAAGAAACTAATCCAGAACTTTATGTATAAAAGAAATATGCAGAATAATTAATACTGTAAAGTTGGAAATAATCTTGATTTGATAATGAAAGTACTGGGATTTGATGATTTGGAATAATCATTTTAACTTTCATCTCATTTTATGTAATTACAAAACATGTCACTTGTATTACATTATGAATGCATTAAAACAAATTGCAACTTCAAAATGTATCATTTGATGAATTTTTCAGTAAAGAATTATTTTGCAACTTAAAGTCATCTTTACAGAGATAATTCTGAAGTTATATATTTAATGAATTTCGGGGGGGTTGCCTATACAAAAATATATGTTCTAATTTTACTTGAAGGATGAATGTTTGCCTTAGTAATTTTCTGCACAGAACTTTCTCTTCTTACTGATGACCTAGAGTTTGCCTGTAGAATAACAATTACATTTTGTTAGATCCTTTCAGAAAATAACTATTTCCATATACTGAGTACTTACTGGATATAAACCCTATAAATGTATTATTTATATTTTTCACAACAGTCCTTAAAGTAAGCACTATTATTTTCCAGATATAGAAGCCTGTCCAAGATGACACCACTAATGGGTGGCATTACTGGCATTCTGTTCAAAGATGTAGGACTCTAGGACATATGCCACCCTTTCAAATGTGTTTATGAAAAGTAATTAACTACACAGAGGATTAAAAATGAAAAAGTTAAAATAATATATTCTATAAACTGAGGTCCAAATTTTAAACAAAATAGTTACAGAGCTATTATTATAGCATAGTGGTTAAGACAGTGAGATTTGGAATTAGATTCAAATATTGGCTCCCACTGTTTGCCATCACTAACCTCTATGAGGTCATCACTAGCTTCACTGTTTTCTATGACATGAATTTGATAAGAATAACACTTCCTAAAGCTATTGTAAGGATAAAGTAAAATCCTGAATGTTAAATACTTATTACAGTGCCAGGTATACAGTAGATGCTCAATAATTGTTAGTAGAGATGCTAAGTAGCACATCTTATGCAGACAAAGAAGGCACAATCTTCATGATTGCCTAGCAAAACAATGAAATTCTGAGTTTCATAGCCAGTGTCATACTGAATGGGAAAAGCTGGAAGCATTCCCTTTGAAAACCAGCACAAGACAAGGATGCCCTCTCTCATCACTCCTGTTCAACATAGTATTGGAAGTTCTGGCCAGAGCAATCAGGCAAGAGAAAGACATAAAGGGTATATAAATAGGAAATGAGAAAGTCAAATTGTCTCTGTTTGCAGACGACATGATTGTATATTTAGAAAACCCCATCGTCCCAGCCCAAAAACTCCTTAAGCTGATAAACAACTTCACCAAAGTCTCAGGATACAAAATTAATGTGCAAAAATCACAAGAATTCCTATACACCAATAATAGACAAGCAGAGAGCCAAATCATGAGTGAATTCTCATTCACAATTGCTACAAAAAAATACCTAGGAATACAACTTACAAGGATGTGAAAGACCTCTTCAAGAAGAACTACAAACTACTGCTCAAGGAAATAAGAGAGGACACAAATAAATGGAAAAAAAATTCCATGTTCATGGATAGGAATAATCAATTTCATGAAAATGGCCATACTGCCCAAATTAATTTATAGATTCAATTACTTTAAATTTCATATGGAACCAAAAAGAGCCCATAAAGTCAAGACAATCCTAAGCAAAAAGAACAAAGCTAGAGGCATCACGTTGCCTGACTTCGAACTACACTACAAGGCTACAGTAACCAAAACAGCATGGTACTGGTACCAAAACAGATCTATAGACCAATGGAACAGAACAGAGGCCTAAAAAATACACCACAAATCTACAACCATCTGATCTTCTACAAACTTGACAAAAACAAGCAGTGGGGAAAGAATTCCTTATTTAATAAATGGTTCTGGGAAAACTGGCTAGCTACATGCAGAAAACAGAAACTGAACCCCTTACTTAGACCTTATATAAAAATTAACTCAAGATGGATTAAAGACTTAAATGTAAAACCTAAAGCCATAAAAACCTTAGAAGAAAACCTAGGCAATACCATTCAGGACATAAGCTTGGGCAAAGAATTCATGACTAAAATACCAAAAGCAATTGCGTCAAAAGCCAAAATTGACAAATGGGATCTAATTAAACTAAAGAGCTTCTGCTCAGCAAAGGAAACTATCATCAGAGTGGACAGGCAACCTACAGAATGGGAGACAAATTTTGCAATCTATCTATCTGACAAAGGTCTAATATTCACAAGGAATATCTACAAGGAACTTAAACAAATTTGCAATAAAAAAAACCCATCAAAAAGTGGGCAAAAGATATGAACAGACATTTCTCAAAAGAAGATATTTATGCAGCCGACAAACATATGAAAAAAGCTCAACATGACAGGTTATTAGAGAAAGGAAAATCAAAACCACAATGAGATACCATCTCACATCAGTTAGAATGGCAATCATTAAAAAGTCTGTAAACAACAGATGCTGGCAAGGCTGTGGAGAAATAGGAACGTGTTTACCCTGTTGGCGGGAATGTAATTAGTTCAACCATTGTGGAAGACAGTGTGGTGATTCCTCAATGATCTAGAACTAGAAATACCATTTGACCTAGCAATCCCATTACTGGGTATATACCCAAAGGATTATAAATCCTTCTAATATAAAGACATATGCACACCTATGTATATTGCAGCACTATTTACAATATGAAAGACTTGGTGCCAGCCCAAATGCCCATCAATGATAGACTGGATTAAGAAAATGTGGCACATATACACCATGGAATACTATGCAGCCATAAAAAGGATGAGTTCATGTCCTTTGTAGGGACATGGATGAAGCTGGAAACCATCATTATCAGCAAATTAACACAGGAACAGAAAAACCAAACACCACATATTATCACTCATAATTGGGAGTTGAACAATGAGAACACATGGACACAGGGAGGGGAACATCACACATCAGGGCCTGTCATGAGGTGGGGGGAAGGGGGAGGGTTAGCATTAGGACAAATACCTAACTCATGCAGGACTTAAAACCTAAACGACAGGTTGATAGGTGCAGCAACCACCATGGCACATGTACACCTATGTAACAAACCTGTATGTTCAGCACATGTATACCAGAACTTAAAGTAAAATAATAATTAATTAATTAATTAATTAATTCTGAGTTTCAAAACGTAACTTTGATGTATCGTTTTACTATTTCCTTTTTTGTCCTTCTGATACTTTCATTCCAGCTTTGTTGTTGAAATAGAAGATAGTAAAATGGTTGCAGAATCTGGCATTTACTTACAAGTGCTTTAATTTGGCATGTTAACTCTCTTGTGAGAGCCTGCTGTTTAATAATACATTTCCAGGAGCATATCTTTTAAATTAAGTTGTTTACATTTCAAATGCAATATGGTAAAATGCAAGTATATTGCCATGATTCCACAGCCCTAGGTTTCATACCTTCAGATTCATGGAAATAATGTTGTGGTTTTTTTTCTTTACATCTCCCTTAACAATCTTAACAGATACATGAGTACCATCTTTTGGCAAAAATAAATCACGGATTTAAATTTTTGTAATGGTTATCTTTCAACTGTTATCTTGAATATGGTTATTCTAAACTTGACTCAATGCAGATAAAATTGAAACTGTTACATTGTCAATTTTTTTAAAGTGACTTTACCCTTGAATGAGTAATCTGAGCAACTTATTTATCTCTTTCCACAAGCACTCTAAAAATAAACAGCAGAGATATAGTTTTCAAATATGTTTTGTGGATCCAGGGTCATCCTACCTTTTTGCTCATGATATGCACCCATCCAAAAATGCCAGACTAATGTAAGAGCACTAACTCCCTAAGAATTGTGTTATGTGTGCTTGGAACTTGTTGCAAAACGACTCAAGATCCCTCCAGAATTGCCAGATAATGTCCCACTAATGACTGATGCTCCTGCACCCTGAATCATGCAGTTCCAAGGCTGGATCCAACCCTCTGCATTTCTCCACACTGCACACCTCTGCCAAGCTTTCTGCTCGCTCTTTTTCTACAGTGACTGAGATTGTGAAGCCCTTTGCTATTTACTACATTCCTGATGGTTTAATCATTTAAAAAATCAATATGCCAAAAATTTAAAATCCTGAATTTATATACATCCAACTTCTCAGAAGATTAAGTTGCATGATTTTAGTAAAGTCATTGTTTTATGTCCCTGGAGAGGCAATAAAATGAGAAAGAAAAACTTGTTATATTCTTATTTATGCATGTATTTGCATGCAACAAAATGTAGCGAAGACAATTTGTTTTTTGGAAACAATTAAGAACTTTACAATTATTATCTTTAAATGTTAAAATATGTTAACCACAATTCCTAGAAATATAAGATTTTCCCATATCTTGAAATGTATGTGTTAATTTTATTGGGAAGAGGAGGTGTGTCAGAAGCTAAATGTCATGCTCTTTCTTTTTTTTAATTTTGTCTTATCATAATATAAAAGAAAATTTGAAAAACATATTGGGGCATTAAGACATAGTTCAATGTATTGTTTTTAAGAGTTTGTACTTAATACAGTGTAATGACTTCTTAATAGAGCAGTATAAACTCAAATAAATTACCAACTCAAAAACAATACAAAAGGGTATATTCATAAGTAATATAATACTTGAGTAGAAGACACTTGATATGATTTTGTCTTAGGTAAGGCACTCTACCACCACGGTAAGGTAGAGATTTGTGAGCAACAAGTTTACTGAAGAGCACACTTGGGACCAAAATCTGAGAGTAAAAGGGGGAAGCAAGATTAGGCAGAGGAAGTGATCGAACTGTGATACAGTTTAACAGAGGTGCAAGCCAGGCCCTTGGAGAGCTGTGGAGAAGCAATGGATCCTCAGAGATGTCCCAATTTAGGCAAGGAAACTGGGTCATTGTACTGCCATATTTAATAGTCATCAGACATAGGCTGCCTCCAAAGAAAGAACATAATTTTGTGCAAAACAGCTCATTTTGACCAAGTGCAATTCCCACCATCTATCAGCAGTCAATACTCCCAGCATCTGATGAATGCATGCTTCTAACTTGAGGGGGCAATCTAGGTGGTACACTTCAATATTCATCACAATGCTATATAGTCAGATAAGGGAGGAATTTTTTGTTTATATTTTTAGCCTTAATTTTAGCCTTCCTCGCTAATCTGACATATACAATCCATCCTTTAAACTCAAATACCATATAATGCAGAAAGTTTTATATTTACAATAAAGTCTAAGATAAATCTTAAACAAAAAGACTCTTAGCTCACAGTAGCTTACAATTACCATGTCTTGAACATAACAATCAGTACAGGTCTTTGTGAAACAATACAGTTTTAATGACCTAATAAATTCCTATGGCATTATTTTCAGTGCCATTCTTTTAGCATCATGGTTCCCAAACTATGTGTCAAGGTATTCTAGAGCACTGCAGAAACTCCTTGGAGAATCATGAGATACTTTTAAATTGCTAGGAAAAGAGAGCAATGTCAGGCAGCATATGAACTACGACCTCAAGGGAGTTCACAGTTTTAACACTGGATTATAGTATATATATTTTTTTGATGATGCAGTACCTTTGCAGAGCTGGGTTTTCTGTGGTTTCTAGATGAAAAGCTGTTACCATGCAAAAATCATTGTGGAATGAGAAATGAGGGTGACAAGGCCCAATCCAATGCTAACCTTTGAGAAATTCTGTAACACCCAACAGAAGAACATATCCCATTGATAAGTAATGGTGATTATTTAAGAAAGAAATATGAAGTATTTTTTTGAACACAAGTGTATTTCTTTTTAAATGGCAACTGAGTTGTTAGTACATTAATATGTATGAGCACCCACAGACACTGTGAGAAATTACTGAGTCACTAAAGGTGGCATGAACCAAGAAATTTTGGAAACCTCTGTTTTTAGCATTTGATCACAGTGGGGAAGAGAGTGTTCCAAACCGAAGAAGCTGCATGTGCAATGGCCCTGCACTGGGGGAGTCCTTGACACACTTAAAAGCCAGTGTGTTTGTCCTATACAAGAGAACAGTACTAGTAGTATCCGTGGACTAGAACTGTTCAGTGCTAGTATCCATGTGATGATGGATTGGCACAAGACGATGTGGCAGAGCTAGAGCAGGCCAACTCTGAAGCACGTCATAGGCCTAGCTATTGATTTTACATTATACCTTGAAGGCAATAACAAGGATTTTAATTTAGGAAGGCACATGATCAGAGATGTGTTCAAAAAGATAATTCTGGATGTCTCTATCAATAATACTGCATACTTTATAAATATTTGAGACAATTTATTGTCCAAGAGAGACATCACGAGGAGCTAAACCAATATAAGTTTAGAGTTACAAGGTCAGATTTTATATATATTATTAAGAAGGACTGGGCCGGGCATGGTGGCTTATGCCTGTAATCCCAGTACTTTGGGAGGCTGAGGCGGGCAGATCACGAGGTCAGGAGATCAAGACCATCCTGGCTAACACGGTGAAACCCCATCTCTGCTAAAAATACAAAAAATTAGCCGGGCGTGGTGGCGGCCACCTGTAGACCCAGCTACTCGGGAGGCTGAGGCAGGAGAATGGCATGAACCCGGGAGGCAGAGCTTGCAGTGAGCTGAGATCATGCCACTGCACTCCAGCCTGGGTGACAGACTGAGACTCCATCCCAAAAAAAAAAAAAAAAAAAGAAGGATTGACCATAAATTGGATGTGAGACGTAAAGAAGAGAAATTCAAGAACCAGGTGCCCCTAACTCCCACATTACCCAAGGATCCACTGTACACAATAAAGTGTATTTAAAAAGAGAAACCTACACCCACACTACACTTCCTTCACATTTAGCTAGATGTTAGTCACAGGTAAGGCGACCAATTCATTTAGGTTTGCCTGGGATTTTTCCAGTTTTATTACTGAAACTCTCACATCACAGAAAATTCCTCACTTTTAGGCAAATCAGGATAGTTGTCTACCCTCGCCACATGGTCACATCTAGCTGGAAGAGAGAACAAGTAGTTTTTAAGCCTGTTGAACAATGAATCCAGATGAACACAGAAGTTCTGTTACCAAGGAGGAAGAGGAAAATGGATATGCAACTACCATACAGGAATGCAATAGATATGAGTAAACAATTAGCAATCTTCTGTAATGATTAGTGATCAAGGCGGGCATGCCAAATCTCACAAGGTAAGTAGAGAAAGAGAAGGTTATTAAGGAGATTGAAAAAGAACCATTTAAAATGTAGAAAAACAACAGCAGGTGAGGGAAATTATAACAGCAAATTTCAAGAGGATATATTCACCCTATAATCAAATGCTATAGAGAAAGCCTGTCAAGTATCCTCTCTTAAGTTTTATCTAAAAAGCAATACAACCATAGGATTAAGGTAGGTACCTAAGGAAGGTCATTGCAAAGACATGAAAAGAAGCACAGAAGAGGAGGGTAAGGGCAAATGAAAACAAACTTCATTTCCATAGAAAACTTATCAATATCAACATTGGATTTCATGCCAATCCTGAGAACAGGTGTGCTTCACAGTTTTCCAACACTAGCGCTTTAATACTCCCTGAGGACACACATTTTCTTCTCCTTGGAAACCTTCCTTCCTTTAGCAGAAAGCTTTCTACAATTTAGGTGGTCTGTCCTGGCTGCAGTTTTCTTCCTGGCAACCTCACATGGTACCTTATCTTTGTCTGTGGAAGGCACCGCCCACTGTCAACATCGGTTCAGTGAAAAAGAAAGATTCAGGAGCTTAATTCTCAAATTCTCATGTCTGTGGTCATAGATGCTTGACATGATGTAAAGAGACAGAGATTATGGTATTTGATGCCAAATGAAACATAATTTAATGGTTTAAAGAAGGACACTCAATTACTTCACCACACCAGTGTTTATCTTACCAAAATTTAGAGTCCTGCTGGTCCAGTGGCTCACACCTGTAATTCCAGCATTTTGGGAGGCCAATGTGGAGGATTGTTTGTGTCCAGAAGTTTGAGACCAGCCCGGGCAACACAGCGAGATCCTGTCTCCACAAAAAATCAAAAATTAGCTGGGTGTGGTAACACATGCCTATAGTTTCAGCTACACTGGAGGCTGAGGCGGGAGGATGTCTTGAGCCCAGGAGGACAAGGCTGCAGTGAGCCATGATTATGCCACTGCATGATCATGTTGGGATACCTTCCCACATCACCCACCATTTTAAATAATATTAAATCAATAATTAAAAAAAAATGAAAAATAAAGTTCATGGACTACCCTCAGCTTTTTTCTTATCTACTAGCTTCCTACCACCTTCACTTCTTTCTTCACTTCGTTTCCTGTTCAGCTTTGATTTCATGGCCCATTCACATCAACTACACTTTGTTTCCATATCCTGATCTCCCCTACTCCTTCTACTCCTGGCAAATCAGCACTGGAGCACTGCTAAAGAAACTCACATTAAACTCCTTGCCTATCTGCCCTTCACAGAAAGCTACTCTGTTCTCAAAATTTAGACCACTTCCTCCAGTCACCTGCATTGTAATCTCAGCCGGAAATCTCACCTTCCACCTCACAGATCAAAGAGAAGCTATCAAATAGGAGCTACCCAACCCCTGCACAGCTACAAAACCTGCCCGTAATCATGGAGGAGGTAGCTCGCCCATCTCCCCATGTGTGCACGCCACTCTATTTTCTTTGGCTTTGCCTCTTGCAATATTGTCAATAACCCTCTCCTGCACCCCATGTTACCTTTTTCCTTTCTTAATTGACATCCACGCATAAGCAGACAAAAATATCTCCATATACTTTAAAAAAAATCCTTTCTTGATTTTTTTGTTGCTAACCTATATACACAATCAAAGGTTTTGAATGAGTTTTTTATGTTCCCTATCTCAGTTCATGCTGCTCCCAATGATTCTGCAATTTACTCCAATCTGGATTCTGCTCCTATTACTGCACTGAAATGACTTTCAGTGTGGTCATCAGTGACCATTATTTTGCTGCAGCCAATAGCCAATGAATATGCCTTATATGCTGTTTGCTTACACTATGAGTCAGGACATGATAGAGATTAGAAGTCAAAGTATCCAAGTTCAGATCATGGCTTCACCATTTGCTACCTGTGTGACTATGGGCAAATTTGTTAACCTTTTAGTATTTTATTTTATTTTATCCATAAAATGAAAATAATAAAAGAACTTACCTAATAGAGTTGTTTTGACATGTTAATTAGAGAAAAGATAATTAGTATAGTGTACGGCACAAAATATATGTTGAATAGATAATAGTTTGTGTTGTAATTATTTTTATCCTTCCCTTGAGAGATAATTCTCCAGGGATTCCACACATTTTTGCACATCATGAAAGCAGAGGCACTGATAGTCTTTTGTTCTGGAATGTATTTTCAAGGATTTTTGTACATGGTATCTTCTTGGAATATAGGGACTCCTTTGAGAGGGGATCCATTATTTGCTGTCGCATAAAATAAAGATGTCCCCCTCCCAGGCAAATATGGGCATCTTTGCTTGCAGAAAAATACAAAAGACTAGGATTTCCTAAATCCATGAGCTGTGATGCAAGCTCTCTGTGTATGCCACACTCACTGAGGCCCACTCCTTACTGCCCCCGTGCTGCTTGAGCCTGCTCAGCCACAGATAATACAGTCCTTTGGCTCTGGCTCCAGAGTCTCATGTCTTTGGTTAGTACCCTTGAAATTGTGACTGAATAATCTGTTAACTTGCAAGTAGGTAAAATCTTCCATCCTTCACAGTTTTTGACACTTCTTGACACATTCCAGCTTTGGAAACTTGAGACATTAGTGAGACTCTCTGCTCTCAGAATCCATCATGGTGCAGTCTTTTTTTTTTTATATACTTTAAGTTTTAGGGTACATGTGCATAACGTGCAGGTTAGTTACATATGTATACATGTGCCATGTTGGTGTGCTGCACTCATTAACTCATCATTTAACATTAGGTATATCTCCTAATGCTATCCCTCCCCACTCCCCCCACCCCACAACAGCTCCAGTCTACAGCTCCCAGTGTGAGCGACGCAGAAGACAGGTGATTTCTGCATTTCCAACTGAGGTACTGGGTTCATCTCACTGGGAAGTGTCAGAAAGTGGGTGCAGGACAGTGGGTGCAGTGCACAGAGCGTGAGCCGAAGCAGGGCGAGGCATCGCCTCACCCGGGAAGCGCAAGGGGTCAGGGAATTCCCTTTCCTAGTCAAAGAAAGGGGTGACAGAGGGCACCTGGAAAATCAGATCACTCCCACCCTAATACCGCGCTTTTCCAATGGTCTTAGCAAACGGCACACCAGGAGATTATATCCTGCACCTGGCTCAGAGGGTCCTACGCCCACAGAGCCTCGCTCATTGCTAGCACAGCAGTCTGAGATCAAACTGCAAGGCGGCAGCATGCTGCAGTCTTGACAACTTCTCACTCTCACTCTTTCTTACTCTTGTTTGCTTTTTACCCTTAAAAAATAATCACGTCTGCAATGTGGGCATTTCTCAGAGTTTTGTCTCTCTTTATTTCTCCACCTTAACTCCCCTACACTGCCGGAAACACTCCTCTCTCCCTCTATGGCTTCAGTTAACATCTCTATGATAATGACTCTAAATCTGTATCCGCAATCCAGGTCTTTCTCCCAACCACAAAAATGTCTACCTAATTGATTGCTAGACATCCTGACTTGAATATCTCAGAGGTGCCTAAAACCCAACCTGCTGAAAACTGAATTTATCATTGTCTCTTGAAAAAATGCTTCTGCCTTAGTATCTTCTGTTTCAGTGATGGAGCTCCCCAGCAGCCTCCTATTCCCCAGGCCACAATATGAGTGTCATCCCTCCCATTCACCCATGCTGTCAATTACCAAGCCATTTATGCCTCCAAAGCAGATTCTGAATACAATCATTTTTTACTATCTATGCTGATGTCACCATAAACCAAACTACTGTTAATAGCCTCCTAAATTGTCTCCTTTTTTTCTTTCCTGTTCTATTCCATTTATTACATAGAAACACAGGAATCATTTTAAAATTTAAATCTTGTTTAAGTAAGTTTAAATGGTTTCCCATTGGCTTGATGTCAAAGTCCAATCTCTTCAAATTGGCTTACAAAGCCCCGAACTCTGTTCATTGCTTCTGCTGCTTCTTTCAACATTCTGCTCCTCAGACATACTGGACTTCTCTGGAATCTATAAATGTGCAAAGCTCTATCTTCCTCCAGGCCATTGTCCATGCTGTTGCTTCCTGGGATTTTCAGGTGTCCCATATTAATTAGATAATCTATTTTATATCATCCTATCCTATAAAGTAAAAATTTGAAGAGGGATGTATATGTTCATCCCCTATCATTAAACAACAGCTTTAATGTGCAACTATCTGCTTTGATAATGAACCTAAATAGTTACGTATTTTGTGACTAATATGTAAACAAATGGCCTTCATAATACTGACCAGAATGAGTTTCCTATCAGTATAAGGGGAAAAGCAGGAGTTGGTGTTTAGGGCAGATTCCTCTCCTGTTCTGCAAGTAAGTGTTCCGTGTGATGAGCTCTTTTGGTCATATAGACATATGTCTGTACTCAAAGTACATTAGGAGTCCAATGTCAAATATGGTAGAATACTAAGTAATGTAGATAACACTATTATTTTAAAAGTTAAAGGGGGAGGGTCTTTGCTTGTAGGTATGGTGAAGTAGCTACTACGAGACTAATACACCCACTGGAACAAAACAAAACACAAAACAGCTGTTTGAAAACATCAAAGAGTGGCAAAAGACAGTCAAAATTCCAGATAAAAGGGAAATTTATAGAGGTGAATAAGAGCTTCAGAAACATTTATAACTTTGAAGTGCTAGTCACAGGGACATACCAGAAAAAAAAAAAGTTGCCTAATAGTTGGAATAATCTCACTGACTTCAGGGAAAAAATTAATTAAGAGCTGTAAAATAGACAGATTTTGAGAATTCAAGATGCTGGAAAACAGAGAGAACCACAGATAAGTGAAACAAGCAATCTATATGAAATTGCCCTTAGAAGCATTTGTTGGTTTCCAAATTTCACATACACAAGGACAGTCTCCAAAAAAAAAAAGCGGCAAACAACTGTAAGAGACTAAAAATCAACAAATATTAGCAATTTCCCGATGTTGGAAATGGAGTCCAAGGTGCACTCATGAAAGGGGCTACGGTAGGCAGCCCAGATATTCAGTGAAAAACCTTAAAGGGCTAAACTCTAAGAATAAGGCAAACTCAAAAGGGACTTGACTTGACTAAACATGGTCTGACTGCCTTCTCTTCTCTTTAATAAAAAAATTAAATGCTCTTCAGAGGAGGAAAGTGTTACCTGGAGATTTTTAAATTGTCAACACACCATGTCCACTATTCAATAAAAAACAACCAAGCATACCAAGAAGTAGGCTAAATGACTAAAAATTAGAAAAATAGCAGAAAACATACATAGATCCACAGGGGACCTAAATATTACAGTTATCATACATGGACTTTAAAAAAACTCCATATATTTAAGCAAATATATATTAAAGTAGCTATTTAATATGGTTCAGGAAAATTGGGAAAAAATTGGAGAAGTTCAATGGAAAACTAAAATCCATAAGAAAATAATCAAATGAGAAAAATCACATAAATAAAAAAATGCAATAAATATAATAGCAGAAATGATACAGGACTAATAAAATGAATTTAAAACTTGATAAAAAGAAATTACAGTACAAAACATAAGAGGGTAGAAAATATAGAAAAGGGTTTAAGAGACATATGGGGACAGGGTAAATAGGTCTCACATAGATGTACTCATAGATCCAGGAGAGAGGAAAATTAATTAGAAAGAAGCAATATTCAAAGAAACTGTGCCTGATAAAATTGTATAACACTGATAAAAGACATCCAGCTTAAGATTTAAGAAGTTACCTGAACCTCAAACAGGAAAATTATTTAAAAGCCACACTTAAAAAAAAAAGAACAAAACAACAACAACAACAACAACAACAAAAACAGGCAAAAAGTTTGAAAAACACTTCATAAAGAAATATACCCAATCACCAGTAAGCACCTCATCATGGCCAGCAAGGCTCTGCATGGTTTACCCAAATCTACCTCTCAGATCTCACTTCCTACCACTCTCCACTTCAACCATGAACCTTCCTTCCGTTCTCAGAATAAATCCAAGTCCATTTCTGCCCTAAGCTCTACCAATATGCTTCTCCCCTTGTTTGGCGCATACTGCACCCACATCTTTATGTGACTGACTTCACATTAAGAGGCAGCTCGTCACTACCCAAGCTAATTAGCCTCCTTTCCCAGTCTCTCTCTGCCATATCACACTATTTAGTTTCTTCATAAACCTTCCACTATGTAATATCAGCTCCTTTGTCTACCAGTTTATTTCTTTATTGAGTGGCTCTCCTCAAGGCATGTAAACCTCATTTGAGCAAATATTGTCTGTCTTGTTCAACATCATATCTCAGAGTCTAAAAGTCTTTAGCCTGGCATGTAGTACATGCTCAATATTTGATGCTCATTTAAAAATGAACATAATACTAATCACCAACTTCAAGAGCTAAGACCTCCTCTATTTTATTGATCTGTACCCTTCAGGGTCCAGCTCTGTTTTGGTACCTATATAATTACTTCTTGACTAATTGAATCATCACTTATTTTTGTATTTACTGGATTCATGCAGCTTTAGAGCTTGACCGTCTATTTTATCACTTTATTTTATACTCAACCTACTGAGAATTAGAGGTCCAATTATTTGAATCTACATAAGGTTAAAAACTCCTTGAAAGTAGTCATGTTTATATCTACTATACCACATACAGTTTACTGAATTCTATTCATTGACTTACAGATTGATCAGTGATGGATTGAAAATAATAGATTAAAAAGAGGAAATATGGCAAAAACAATTTATAAATTAAGAAAAATGGTGATAACAGAAGGGAAGTTGTAGCTCTCTAAGCATTTGGGACATATCACTACAATTCTTTATAGGAACTCTCCTCATGTAGAGTTCTAAGGGTCATTTTCCAGTTCATTTTTTGTCTATCTTTTTTTCTGTATCTCCTCACTGAAAACAAATGGGACTTGATATGCTGGTGATTGTTAACGTCTGACTGCCTTTGAATCACTACAGTTTGGTCTGTCTCTAAAGCTGAATTGTTCTGTCTGAACCATAAGAGAAAGATTGTTGTGCTTGGCATTTTCTCACCTTTTAAAGTGATCCAAAGCCTATGAATTCTTTATGATCTGCTAAAATCTTTAGTCCTTCTAGTCTTCCCTGGATGATCTAGCCCCTATTGGTCTTCCCTCAACACTTCCTCTGTATCCTTTGAGTTCTTGGTATATAGATCAATAAATAACTTTTTAATATTCATTGACTAAATGATTTTTTTAAATTGCCAAGGTAATTTAGTATGTAAGTAAGAAAACAATATATTCAGAATCTAATGGACAACAAGTGTGTTTCAAGCATTTAAAAAAAGAAAATACAGAATCCATAAATAATAAGGAAGGCAAAAGATGAAAGATGAAAGACCCATGAAATTAAAATTGAAGCAAAATAAAAGGATATGGAATACAAATGGAAGAGCAGACAGACTATCACTTTAAAAACTGAATATAAAAAGAGTATTTACTATGGTTCTAAAAGGGAAAGTAAATCATTTGTTACAGCAAACATTATTTAACTTTGCTGTAACAACATGTGAAGGATTACAGAACAACATAATGCTCCTCAGATAGAAAGGCGACAAGAGGCAGTGAATACGAAGAAATTGAGATGTGAAATATGAGAGCTCATAATACAGAAAAACAAGTAAATGAAAAGAAAATAAACAAGAAACTAAGAGCAAAAACAAATCATTTATTGAAGGGGGAGATGAAACATAAGAACAACTGTGGAAAGAACATAAAATCTATCTGTCTCAAGAGTATAAAAAATAAAAGCAGACGTAGTTGAAGAAAGAATAAAAGTAACTGGAACCTGGTGAGCTACATAGGATGAAGGAACAAGACTGTTGATACACATGAGGTAGAAACTGAGATAAAGTAAAGCATCTGAGATACATAAACGGAATCAGTGATAACCTTGGGGTACATTTAAATAAAAGACTTAAAAAACAGGTGAGACACAAAGGGAATAAATAATCTGCAGACAAAAATATGGCTCTCGAACTGCCTCAAATGAGAACTGTGTTACTATGAAGCACATGTCAAAGAAATTACATTACATATAAAGTCAGGAAAGAGATTATAACGCATGTAATATGGACAAGGCAGGAGCTTGAACTTGCGTAAGTCCCCGAGATGGTAAACAATGTATTGGGCTCAAAGACAGTAAAAGTGACACACAGTGTAGGCAGAAAAAAGATACCCAAGGTAAAACCAACACCAAAACCAAACAAAAATCTGAGATTCACAAGAAGCCAACACGATGTTTCAGGGTTACAAGGGAAGTGGGACAGTGATGCAACCGAAAATGAATTTCAGAAAAATAATCTCTGACTGATGCAGGGAAAGGAAAGAGCTTAAGGAGATGTTGAAATAATAGTCACACAAAATGCAACATTCTCATTAGATTACCTTGGTAGAAAATCAAAATATCTTCACATCCTGGAGACAAACAATATAGCTTAAGGGTAAGATAACAAAGGGTGGGCAGGAGGGCAGGAGAAGGAAGATTTCCTTGTATAAATGCCAAAAGGGAATGCAGCTATATTCTGGATAGGAAAAAATAAATCCAGCCAGGAATCAAATGAAGAAAGTTGAATTAAGTTAAATAAATAAAATGTAAAGGGGAAAACAAATAAAGCTATGTAAACCTAAAAGTATTTTGCGCCTGTAAGTATTCTGCAAAAGAAACTTCAAATTTGTGATGAATAATAGATTATTTAAGAAAAAAATTCAGTTGGGACCATTCTGAGAAGATCAAAATCTCCCTACCTCATATCAAATACTCAATTCACTTCTAAATTTGGTAAATATTTAAATATTAAAAATTTAATTAAAAGAAAATATAGTGAATGTTTATCTAGTCTCAGATACAGAACACCCTTTCTGGGCTTATATGTAACAATAAATCCGTAAGTGGCTAAATAAAATGTTTGCATATCAAAAATCATCACAAAGAAATATAAAAGGCAAATTTACAGCAAACTAGGAAAGCTATTAACAATCTACATGATAAACATTACTAATTTCAATATAGAATTATCTCTCCAAAATAAAGTTTTTAATACCTTAGTCAAATGAGAACAATTTACAGAAGAAGAAACACAGCAGAGAATCCTTTAGGAAAGTTTAATGCCATTATTATTTTCAGGAAATATAAAGTTAAAAAAATAATATGATAGTCTATTATGCCTATCAATTTGGAAAAACCAAAAGTAAAAACATGAAAGACTCTGGAATATCAAGATCTCAAATGGTCATTCTCATATACCTGAGTGACATGTAAATGGAAGCATTGCTTTCTGGAAGACAATTTGGCAGCACTTAGCCTAGCCCAGATATCCAACTCAAGATGGGAATTTATCTAAAGTAAGAAACAAGGAATGTGAAACAAAAATTTTCTTCAGTGAGGCAAATTGCAGAATTGTAAGAGGAAAACATTAGAAACTAAGATTTAATAATCAAAGTTGATTTTAAATATCACTCAATATACATAGAAAAGAATGTTGTACAGATGTTTAAAATGACATAATGGAAAATATATAATGACCTGTAATGCAGTTCACAATATGTTGCATAGATGAAATTATAAACAGTGATTATCCTGGGTAGTTAGTTATAAGCAATTTTTATTTTGTCTCATTTACATATTTTCTAAATATTTAATCCAGTAAAAAAACACATTATTTCAGTAATATCACGAACAATATAATAAAAATGTTATAGTAGAGTACAATTTAATGCCATAAAAAGAATGAGTTAGAAAACAGTATGTATACTATACATTTGTGAAGAGAAACAGAGTATACATTCACACACACACACACACCCCGCCCCCCCATAATTAACTCTAGGAAATTGTATTGCATGTCAGGCTATTTTACTGGGTGATGTTTTTTAAATTGTTCACAAGAAATATCTATCACTTTTGTATTCAATATGAAAAATACTATAGAATAAAAAAGTCTGTTAAGGTAGAACAATTATTAAATTGATATTTGCAGAAAATCAAGGCACGTGAGCTGCAAATGCTGTCTTTGTCTGTGTGTGATGGTATGGAAGAGGAAAGTTAACTCAGAGAAAGGAAAAATGTTGAAGAAATAAGTTGGTGTAATTTAGTTATGAAGAGAAACAACTGCCTAGGAAATGTTTCAAGAAAAGTAAGTACACAGAAAATAAAACAAGGGACCAAAGTTAATTTCTCTGGGTCAACGGTGATAAATATTCTTCCCCAAAAAAGAAAGAGAAAGGAGCCCATCTGAACTGTACCCAAACATGGAACATCAAAGTTTCCAATAGGCTAAATAGTATAATTCAGGGCCTGGGATGGTGGCTTATGCCTATAATCCCAGCTCTTTGGGAGGCGGAGGCGGGTGGAACACTTGGGGTCAGGTGTTCGAGACCAGCCTGGCCAACATAGTGAAACCCCGTCTCTACTGAAAATACAAAAATTACCCGGGTCTGGTGGTGGGCACCTGTAGTCCCAACTACTTGGGAAGCTGAGACAGGAGAATCGCTTGAACCTGTAAGGCAGAGGTTTCAGTAAGCCGAGATTGCACCACTGCACTGCAGCCTGGGTGACAAAATGAGACTCCATCTAAAAAATAATAATATCAATAATAATTAATTTTTAATATACTATTGAGTCCTTACTTTGAGAAAAGCATTGCTTTAAAGTGTTTTGGTGAGCACAAAAAGAAAGAGAGAAAAAATATATCCCTAGGAGTTATCAATCTAGAATAAACAAGAATCATATAAATATAAACAGTGTATGTATTAGACAATATGGGTTAATATCAAGTAAGTAACATCAACCATGAGGAATAAAGCAGTTCAGAGAGGGCCAAAGAGTAAAAACCCAGAGTTATTCAGAAAGTTTTCATAGAAAAAGTGGGATTTCAAATATCTTTTGGATAGTAGAAGATGGGAAAGGCATTGTGATGGCGCACCTAGGGTGAATTTACAATAACATCACATTCCTCTTCCTTAGAGGAATAAACACCACCTAAAGTAAATGCACGTGAGAGAAACAACAGCACAATTATAAGTCCACACCCTCTTCCTTTTTAAATATGGGGCAAAGAGGAAAACACTATTTTTTCTTCAGTTATCAAGTAACACTGGACTAAATGGAATCCTTTCCAGTTCTGTAGATGGAGGATTCTACACTCACCTTGTACTCTGTTAGAGAGCTAACAGAGAGAAGCACGCAATTGAGGATGTATATAAAGTCAGTTGCATACAATTTGTCATGCCCCTGAGGTGAAAGTGTGCCAAAGGGAGACAAAGATAAAGTCAAGGTAGTGAGCAAGCAAAGATACACTGCCTCTAGCAGGTTCAGAGATAAAAGGTGACTTTCTGAGGAGAGTGAGCAAAAAGGTATGCTTCTCTGGAGAAGCCAACTTAAAAAAAAATAAGAATAAAAAAGGATAAATGGAACCTAAGTGCACAAGGGGAACATTTGATCTATGTTGTGCACCTAAAGCCATAAAAGAGCCAAGGAAGAAAGGAAACGGCTGGAAATCACAGAGAATGGTCCTGAAGTGTAGAAAGAGATAACATCCTTTCCTGTCATTCCTGCAGCAAACATTTGAATGCCCATGTCCTCTTGTGACTCAAAAATAAATAAGAAATGCAATGTTTTTAGAAAAATTGATATCCTAGGGGGTCCATCATCTTCACAGATGGGAGGAAACATTTATAATTGAGGACAAGGTGCCATGTTTCATGGGAAAAATTGTTGGGGAAAAAAAGAATATCATGAGAAAAAAAAGAAAGAGGAAAAAGGAAGGAAAAGGGAGGAAGGGAGGAAGGGAGGGATGGAGGGAAGGAAGGAAAGAAGGAAGGAAGGAAGGAAGATGAGAGAGAAGGAAAAGGGAGGGAGGGAGGCGTAGACCATTAGGGAAAGTCAGAGGCCTTTAGGAAAAGGAAAGAAGCAATAATACCTCTGGGACCTATGAGAAATAAAGATTGCATTTGGGGAAAGGCCTCACTCTGTGGGATTTGTGAAACTTAAAATGCCCTACATGGCTCTCCTTCATCTGAAACCCATCACCTCTCCAAACTCATCTCATAGAACTCTCCTCCTCACAATGCACTCCAGCCCCATGGACTTTCTCCAAGTTCCTCAAGCACATCAGTTCATAGTTCCAGGTGAGAGCATTTGAATTCCTACTCCCTTCACCTGAGATCATCTTCATTCAGATACCATCAGGGCTGACTCTCTCACTCCTCAAATGTGACCTTCTCAAGGAGGACTTCCCTGGGCCCCATCCAACACACACATGCCATTATACACATCTACACATTTCTTATCACTATTTCTTGCCGAGTCTTTTTCCCCACAAGCACTTACCATTCTTAATACTGTAAGCTGCATTTTACTTATTAATTTATTCCTGTATTTCTGCCTAAGATGTAAGATTTATAAAGACAGGAACTTTTGTTCACTTTTGTCTTATCAGGCCTGGAAGATTGCCTAGTACACAGTATGTGCTCAATAAATATCTGAAGGATGAATATTAAAAATATGAACAATATACTAGTCTAGTCTTTGAATTGAAAAAAGACTAAAGGTTTCATATTCTGAAGAACAAAGGAGAATTAAGCAGTGGGACAAATGAAGATAATATAGATGTTTTAGTCAGCTCACAACCAAATAAATGGTTCAAAGCTGACATGGGAGCAAGGATCCATAAAGATTTAACATTTAAAAAGAACAATTCCCCTAACAGCACTGTGGGGGATAATGATCATTGTTCATAGATATTTTCTGCAGCAGAGGGGAAAAGTTGCAGGGTTACAGGTATAATTATTATGAACTAAAGTACATTGGTAGAAGACCTGACTGAGAGACAGAAAAGTCAATTAATGCAATTTATATGTAATAATTCCTATGCAGACAATTACTCATAAGGCATATCATGGAGGATGAAAAGTAAGCATTTTGGTTATTTAAAGACAAACTGTAAGACTCTGAGTAGATCAAACAAATGTGCTCAACATGAGGGACTCTTTATATCACTCCAGCATTGTTTTGTCACACTAATGGGTGAACAATTGAATTGAGGTATGTTGAAGGAGCAGGTCTTCATGGAAAACAGGGAAGGAGGACAACTCAGTGCAATTAAACAAGGGCACTTCCAGAAAAAGTCAGAATAGCTAGTTTATGATGAGAAATACCTATATACTTTACGTAAAATGTAGACATATAGAGCCTTGTTCTGTGTGTTCTGATTGACACAAAAAGAATTGTATAAGAATTTTTTCCCATTTATCAGAAAGCTTAGAGACGAGATTATTCTGTATATAACAATTAACCCATTAACTATGTCTTCTTCATTCTGTTAAGCATAGGATTCAGCTCTAGACCTTGCTCTTAGTCAACTCTGAACCAGTATTTTCTTAACACAATAATAAATATAAATGAAAAGGCAAATGATGACCCCAGATTCTGTTTCAAAAGAAAGACACAACACTACATATTCCCACTGGAATGGAAGAGATTATGAGAAACCCTTACGATACCAAAGAGTAAATCCACATAACATGCCTCAGAAAAAAAGTCAGACATGCTTAAACTAAGAAAAATAGAAATGTCTTTTGTTCATCTAAAGCAAGAGAAGCAACTTGCTCCCTTAAAGCAAGCAATATTGATGGATGCTAGCAATGAGAAAATATAACACAGCTGGGCAGCATATGAGGTAAAAAGGTGTACCAGGGGCACGTAAAACAGCAATGATAAGAGAACAGAAGGTGAAGGAAGTATACATCTGTGCTGGGAAGAAGAAGAGCCATATGCACCTGTGGCACAATGGGGAAAAATACAACAGACTTGGACGTAAAGACAGAAAAATGACTCACGAGGGATGGCTTATAAAGATCCCGCATTTCCCTGGAAGAAAATACAAGGCATCTGGATTACACTGGGAACAGATGAAGCATATGGGGGGTAGAGGGAAGGTGCATCTGGAATTCACAGAGATGTATGTGGCAGGGCGGAGAGGGGAGGTGAAAGATGAGGTGTTGGAACCGATGTCGCTGGTAAATGCTATGCGCAAGGATGGTGCTCACGGGAACATTGATAAGATAAATATTCTTGAGTTCTACTAGGGAAAAGTGAGACACTCTGTGCTCCTTGACAGAAATGTAAACACTCTTCAGGGAAGCATTGTTATAAATGAAGCCTTGAGGAATATGTCAAGAATGAAAATAATAATTATAAAGATAAGGGAATCTCATATATATTGTGCATTGGTGATGGGTATGTAATAGACACTCCCTTTCAGCTGAGGGTTTTGAGCACGTAGAATGACAGATGAGAAAGATAACCATGGGGAACACGGTTTAAAAAAAGACAAGAAAAGGAAAAAAATGTCCACCTAGAGGAATAAAAGAGAACCCCAAAATAAAACTCTGGAATGTATGAGAAGGATATTTAAAACATCTGAATAACTTTGGAAGATAACTAAAAGTACTTCTAGCGACTAGGTAGAAAAGACAATACCCATGGGATTTACTGAGGGGGAAAATAAAGTGAGTTATGAGAGTGAACAGATGGTGCATCCCAGCTAAGGAAGACTATTATTAGGCTCTTCTAGGACACGGTAACCCAGATTCTACTTTTTAAAAAAAGATGGTGTTTAAGGATTTTTAAATGGGGAAAAATATAAAGTTTACATCAGTGCATTCTTGTATGAGTTTCACCAGGAAACTAGTTTTATGGCCTATTTCTGGGTTGGCATCCTACTTATCCTCACGGAATGCTTAGATATATCTGAGGCATAGAACCAATCACTTAACTAGAATGTTAATAAAACTGCTTAGCATAAAATAACACTGATTCAGCTTTGGGGGCATAAATATAACAAATCATGCTTATCCTGTGCCACCAAAATTTTGATTCTGTGGATCAGTCCCTGCATAAGGAGACTACATGAAAAGTCACTTCATGAGCTACAGGCTGCTGAGAATTGCACCACTGCAATTCGGAGATCTGCCACTTGCAGCTGCCCTGAATTGTTACTAGCTGCCTCAGCGGCATGTGAGCCTGTATTTCTTATACAGAAAAATATTATGTTGAACTACAAAACTGAAAGTGAGCAGCCTGAGGAAGCACAAGGCTTATGAGGTCAGGCTTTCTAATAGAATAGAACTCTGCATTTACAGTACAGAGAACAAATAAGGCTGACATGGAGTGTGCTGTTCTTCCTCCAGGGTAACCAGCCCAGCATGGTAGCTCATCCCCAAAGCCAGCAATTTACTCATCATCGTAGATGCTTCTCCTGCTCAGGTGCATGTCCATCTGGTCCATGTCCATCCTTTTCTTCTCCATCACCACTAATTTTGTTCAGCCTCTCCACATGTTTCTTCCGGACAATAGCCTCATAACTGGCCCTGCTGACTTTTGTCTTGCTACCACCTTCAGAACCCATGGGTTTACAGTGACCAAATCTTGTTCTATGTGACCAAATCATTTCCCCTTATTATATACCTTTTCTGGTTTCTTCTCACTTATAGACTGAAGTCTACATTCCAACTGAGAATGACAGGTAAGATATTTCATGACTTGCACCCATCTGCCTTTCCATCCTCATCTCTCACAGCTCACCCACATCAACCTAACCAGTTCCTGCTTTAGCAACATTGAATCACTTGTGGCCTCCACGAACCTTGTGGCTCCATGCTTAAACACTTTGTGCATGCCATTCCATCTATCAGGAATCTCTTCCTTCCTTGACTATATGAAGACCTACTACAGGCCTTAGCAGTGTTGCTTAGAGTCACCTGCCTCTGTAAAGCATTCCCCTATGTCTTCAGAGTTAATAATTCTCTCCTCTGTTCACTTATTACTTCTACTGCTATGTATATCACACTGGATTTTAATTATTGGCTTAAGCATATATTTCTCCTTCCAGATTGTAATTTTCTTGAGGGCAAAAATTGTATATTATGTAGCTTTTAAATGTCTAAAACACTATCATGTATGGTCAGATTATAGTATTTATTTTGGGGTCTATATATCACAGATTAATTGAATAAAAATAATCAGAAGAAACGAGAATATAATAAAGATACAAATAAAAATAATATAGAAAACAGATACTAGTGACAAAAATTAAATCATAGAAGTTAATATGCCCTGAGATATAAATAGCAATATGTGATAATTACCTATTAAAAAATGTGAGTAATCAAATTACTCATATTGTATCAAAAATTGTGATTGATTTATGTTTTAATAGGCAAACAAAATATCTAAACCTTTTGAATAATATTAAAAAGACTGTATAAAAAATTATATCTATGCAGATTAACATTCAGTAAAATATAATATCGCTGTGATATAGAAAAAGGAACAGTGATATATTGCCAAGATAATACAAAATAGCAACGTGGCTACTGACTATTTGAATGGGAGAATATAATGCATTCTGTCTGATGTGCCAAATGAAAAAAGAAGTTTTACAAGGTAGCAGAAGAAATGAAATGCTTATAAACTCTTAATCACACAAGGGTAAGTAAAATAGCCTCAAGTTATAAGGAGGAATCCAAACTGTAGACATAAATGTGAAATATGAAACTGATGAATAATAGATAGAAGTGCTGATAAATCTCATTTAACATAAGAGAAATTACAGTTCATCTCTTTGGCGGGAGGAAAAGACCATGTAACTTAGAACAAAAGGAAGTAAAAGCAATGGTTTAATACAATGAAAACAGAAAATAATTCTCTGAACTCTAATAGAGTTAATAAAGCATCATGTGCTGAGAGATAAAGGGAAGAATTTGCCCATGAGGCTCAAACAGTAGTAGCAAATGATGCTATAGAAAGACCATGTAGAAAGAAGGGTGCTGCTCCTGGGAGCCAAAAGACGAATGGCCAGAAAGAAAGAACTGACCCTCTGCAATGAAAGAAAAGACATCATGCATAGAAACAAAGAGTAGAGACTTCTGGCCTCATAAAAAACAAACAAACAACAAACAAACAAACAAAAAACAGGGTGTTGATAAGAAGGCAAGATACGTAGTATATAGAAGAAAGATATCAGACGTATAAAGGAAACACTTGAGTCTTTAGATACTATGTGAGAAATCCAGTGATAAAGTCATCAGAAAATTTGATACACCACACATATGAAAAGAAGAAAGAAAATCTTGTTCTTCTTGAACATCCACTGGGAAGGAGAAGAGAAACTTTTTTGGCTTAGGAAATGCATTGCTTTTCTGAGAAAAGGAATGAAACTTTTAGAAAACAGTTCTGAAAGAATGTATGGGAGATGGAAGCATAATTAAATAATAAAAGAGTATAAAGAGAAAATTACTATGAAATGTAATAAAGTAAAATAGGGACCATCTAATGTGTATAGAAAGAGACCTATAGAGTCTTACCTAAATGCAGGAATTCTCTAAATCAAGTTCCTTTAGCAGAGATGGGAAATGAAAGACAATGATGTTGGACAAAGGCATTATAGCCAGAGAAAGATGAACCCTTTCACCTTTCCCCATAAGTGCTTACGGGAAAACAAGGAATGTAAGTCACATTTGAATGAAGACTGAAGATGAATATATTGGCTTGGAAATTCTAATTCTTCTACATTTGAGAGTGTCTGTGAATAAAAATGACTTTATGGTGTTCTATTATTTAGAATCGATCATAAAAGCCATATGCCTGCCACCGTTCTTATTTTTCACAGTGGCAGTGGAAAAAAAACCTGCTAAATAAAATTTAAATAAAGAGGGAGAGATCAAAATAGAATTGCATTTTAAGTATATCCCAAAAGTTGTATGCATTAAATATACCAGTTTTATATAATCTGTTATTGGTGTGAATATATTTGCATTTCAAATGCATAAACTCTCCTACTTTATAAAAAAGTCAACAAACACAAGTAAGCATCAGAAACTGTGCTTAACTTTTTGGAACTTATGATCTAATTAAGTAGTCAAAATAAATATGAAAAATGGAATACTAATAAAGAAATTAAATAAGTTTATACTAAAGCAATGTAAAAAATCTCACAAGTTCTTGTGATCATTATCATCAAATAATTCAAAGGAAGTGTCTTATAGAGGAATTTAGAGCAAAATTTCTAGAGTAGTCTGGAAAGATTTTATAAGGATACAAAGTCCAGTTAGCTAAGCATGAAAGAAAAGTACTAATTATGTGGTGGGGTGTGGGGGGAAAGCAGGGATTATGAATTATGAGTACAGAAACACTGAAAATAAAATACAAAACAGATAAAGGGTTAAACTCTGGGCAATGGTAAGAGAAAGATAAAATAAAATAATAAAAAATACATCCCTGGACCATAGTAGAGATGCTTAAGGTAATGATGGACAGTTGATTCAAACCCCATCCCTTCTTCTAAAGTGATAGAGGTTAGATCAGGAAAACTGCAAAGTCCAGACTACGTTTCCTGGATCACCTTGTTCCTAGGTGTGGTCATGGAGTAGAAGGTGAAGTTTGATATTTCTGGCCCAATCCTTTTTAAACAATAAATGTGCCTACTCTATGTTGTCTTTTTCCTTTTCTCTTCAGCTGATTGGAAGTAAATGATGACAAGACCCTAGGGGATAAAAGATTCACGAAAGAGAAGGAACCTGAATCCCTGAATCACCGTATGGAAGAAAACTGCCAGCCAACCAGAAAAATCTATCATGGACTGTCATAGAATAAAGCCTAAAATTAAGGCTGAATATTACGTGCTGCTTTGACATCTGGTAAACTTGGAGAACCTCGAATGACCTAGTTGCAAGCTTTCCTTCTCACTCTGCTCCTGTGGATAAGGTGCCATAGCCAAGCAACCGTCCTTATCAGAGAACCCAGTCACAGTTTCTGAGCAATGGGTTTCAGTTTACCACCAGCCCACAGAATTATTCAAACAAGCCAATGACATCCTCTTCAGGGAACTAGGGAGCATCTTTCCCTACTGATACTACAAAGCCTGCCTCCCATAACTCCTAATTATTCACTCCGGTCCCAAGGAAAACCTCACATGGTCTTGTGAAGCATGTGTTGTCCTCCTCCCTCAGGGCTGTGAGTACACGTGACTAATAAACAGCCGTCAATCTCATCCGTTCAATGTCAGGTGTCCTATGTTTGGCCATCACTCTAACCCAGGGCAGGAATCGCTTCCCTCACCAGCAGCTTGAATAGGAGACAATTAAAACATTTGTTTAGGCCGGGCGCAGTGGTTCAAACCTGTAATCCCAGCACTTTGGGAGGCCGAGGCGGGCAGATCACGAGGTCAGGAGACCGAGGCCATCCTGGCTAACACGGTGAAACTGAGAGGTGACAGCGTGCTGGCAGTCCTCAGAGCCCTCACTTGCTCTCCGCACCTCCTCTGCCTGGGCTCCCACTTTGGCGGCATATGAGGAGCCCTTCAGCCCACCACTGCACTGTGGGAGCCCCTTTCTGGGCTGGCCAAGGCTGGAGCCCACTCCCTCAGCTTGCAGGGAGGTGTGGAGGGAGAGGCGCCTGCGGGCACCTGGGCTGTGCGCGGCGCTTGAGGGCCAGCTGGAGTTCCGGGTGGGCGTGGGCTTGGCGGGCTCCGCACTCGAAGCAGCTGGCCAGCCCTGCTGGCCCCGGGCAGTGAGGGACTTAGCACCCGGGCCAGTGGCTGCGGAGCGTGTACTGGGTCCCCAAGCAGTGCCAGCCCACCGGCGCTGTGCTCGATTTCTCACCGAGCCTTAGCTGCCTTCCCGCAGGGCAGGGCTCGGGACCTGCAGCCCGCCATGCCTGAGCCTCCCCCAGCCTCCGTGGGCTCCTGTGCAGCCCGAGCCTCCCTGAGGAGCGCCGCCCCCTGCTCCACGGCGCCCAGTCCCATCGGCCACCCAAGGGCTGAGGAGTGCGAGCGCACGGCGCAGGACTGGCAGGCAGCTCCACCTGCAGCCCCCGTGCGGGATCCACTTGGTGAAGCCAGCTGGGCTCCTGAGTCTGGTGGGGACGTGGAGAGTCTTTATGTCTAGCTCAGGGATTGTAAATACACCAATTGGCACTCTGTATCTAGCTCAAGGTTTGTAAACACACCAATCAGCACCCTGTGTTTAGCTCAAGGTTTGTGAATGCACCAATCAACACTCTGTATCTAGCTGCTCTGATGGGGCCTTGGAGAACCTTTGTGTCCATACTCTGTATCTAACTAATCTGATGGGGATGTGGAGAGCCTTTGTATCTAGCTCAGGGATTGTTAAGGCACCAATCTGCGCCCTGTCAAAACAGGCCACTGGGCTCTACCAATCAGCAGGATGTGGGTGGGACCAGATAAGAGAATAAAAGCAGGCTGCCCGAGCCAGCAGTGGTAACCCGCTGGGTCCCCTTCCACACTGTGGAAGCTTTGTTCTTTCGCTCTTTGCAATAAATCTTGCTACTGCTCAGTCTTTGGGTCCACGCTGCTTTTATGAGCTGTAACACTCACCGCAAAGATCTGCAGCTTCACTCCTGAGCCCAGCCAGCCCACCGGGAGGAAGGAACAACTCCAGACGCTCTGCCTTAAGAGCTGTAACCCTCACCCTGAAGGTCTGCAGCTTCACTCCTGAGCCAGCGAGATCACGAACCCACCAGAAGGAAGAAACTCCGAACACATCTGAACATCAGAAGGAACAAACTCCAGACGCGCCACCTTAAGAGCTGTAACACTCACCGTGAAGGTCTGCAGCTTCACTCCTGAGCCAGCGAGATCACGAACCCACCAGAAGGAAGAAACTCCAGACGCGCCACCTTAAGAGCTGTAACACTCCCCCTGAAGGTCTGCAGCTTCACTCCTGAGCCAGCGAGATCACGAACCCACCAGAAGGAAGAAACTCCGAACACATCTGAACGTCAGAAGGAACAAACTCCAGATGTGCCACCTTAAGAGCTGTAACACTCCCCGTGAAGGTCTGCAGCTTCACTCCTGAGCCAGCGAGATCACGAACCCACCAGAAGGAAGAAACTCCGAACACATCCGAACATCAGAAGGAACAAACTCCAAAGGCGCCACCTTAAAAGCTGTAGCACTCACTGCGAGGGTCCGCGGCTTCATTCTTGAAGTCAGTGAGACCAAGAACCCACCAATTCCGGACACAAAACCCCGTCTCTACTAAAAAATACAAAAAAATTAGCGCGGTGGGGTGGCCGGCGCCTGTAGTCCGGCTACTCAGGAGGCTGAGGCAGGAGAATGGCGGGAACCCGGGAGGCGGAGCTTGCAGTGAGCCAAGATGGCACCACTGCACTCCAGCCTGGGGGACAGAGTGACATTCTGTCTCAAAAAAAAAAAGAAAAAAACCATTTGTTTAAAAACAAATAGGAGGGAGAGAAAAAGAAAAAAATAACTATTGGGTATTGGGTACTAGGCTTAGTACCTAGGTAATGAAATAATCTCTACATCAAACCTCCATGACGCAAGTTTACCTATATAACAAACCTGCACATGTAGCCCTGAACCTAAAATAAAAGTTTAAAGATAAATAAATAAATAAATATTAATTTGTGGATGTATTATAATGCCAAAAAAAATCAACATCTTGACCTTCTGTCAGATCAACTGTGTGAGAATCTCTCACAGGTAGGGACTGGGGATCAATATTTCTTAAAAAGTCTCTGCAATGATTCTAATGTGCCACCAGACCTGCGAACTGTTATCTCAAAGGAAGGGACACGCCATCGCTTTTTACTGTTGCCATCTTGGACATCCAAACAAGGACAAACCTTAAGAATTGTGGAGCCAGAAGATAGAATTGTGGGTTCCTGAAATATTGCTGGTACCTTAAACCAGCTGACTTTTATATAAGATCTAAAATGTCGACCATCTTCTAGCATGGTATTTTAGGTCTTTTTCACAGCAGCCAAACCTGTATCTTACCTAAACACAGATTTTGGTCCTGATTCCATCACTGTCACTAATTGGGTGTTTTATAAAAGAGAAATTCCTTAATTCTGTCCCATTGAACTATTTCATCTTTAGAAATGGGCGTGGGCCGGGCGGGGTGGCTCATGCCTGTAATCCCAGCAGCACCTTGGGAGGCTGAGGCGGGCGGATCACGAGGTCAAGAGATTGAGACCATCCTGGCCAACATGGTGAAACCCCTTCTCTACTAAATATACAAAAATTAGCTGGGCATGGTGGTGCATGCCTGCAGTCCCAGCTACTCGGGAGGCTGAGGCAGGAGAATCACTTGAACCTGGGAGGCGGAGGTTGCAGTGAGCCAAGATCATGCCACTGTACTCCAGCCTGGGCGACAGAGCAAGACTCTGCCTCAAAACAAAAAAAAAAAAAAAAAAAAAAAGAAGAAGAAAAGAAGAAAAAGAAATAAATAAAGAAAGAAATGGGTGTGATTACTCTTTTGCAGTCACTTTAAGGACTAATAATACTAAAGATTCCAGAGCAAATGCCAGCTTCTATGTAAAGAGGACCAGAATTCAAACCAAACTATTAACCTTTAACTTGTTTAAACTCCACAATAACAATCTCAACAAATGATAGTGTTCACATTTTACAAATACTAATATCAGGTCCACAGTGAGGTTTAGAGATTTCACCAAGGTCAAATAGCTAGCAAATGTTGAAGCTGGGATACTAACCCAAACGTTTCAGCTTCAGTCTGTGCTTTTATCTATACTACTATAATAAGTATCAATTACATGAAAATTAATATGTGAACACACACATGTTAGCATGCATATCGCATTGTAGGCATTAAACGAAGGTTTACTTCTTCTCCCCTTCTAATCTTTACTGAAAAAACCCACTTGTGCACATGCACACACATGCATACACATACCTTTTAATCTTCCTTCTTGGCATAAGTAAACGGTAGTTTTCCAGAGAATTATATTGAGGCTAGGAGTCAAAAGGCAATGAGGGAAAAAAAATTGGAGGCATTGATGGGAACAAAAAAAAAATCTCTACCTAATGTAAAAAGGAGATAACCGATTTCTTTCACCAATCTCCTTTAGCATCCCCATTCAAAAACATAAAGCCAAATCTGTGTCCACTGTCTGAACACAAAATTCAGGATGCAACAATGAATGTTCACTGACAGTACTTGTAGCAGTAAAGTAGCATGTAATTGACAAACAAAAGTTAAAAACGACATCCACAGTAAGAATACTCAGTCCCGAAAAAATTGAAATGTGGATGCTCCGGGGACATAAAAATGTCACAAATGGAATCCATGCCAAAAAGAGATATTCCTCCCTAAACACACTAAAGGGAAACGCTGTCACATACCAGACACATAGACAGGAAAAGATGTCCTGGAGAGGTGGAGAGAAGAGTAGACTCCTGGAACATATGGTAATAAAAGATGAGAAACTTGAATGCAAAGGAGGGATATGACTGACCCACATGTCATAAAAGATGACACACTTGAGATGCTGTACGGGAAAAGATGACTTATCAGAGAAGTTAGTAGGTAAAATATGGAATGTTTTACCATTACAGAGACAGACGCTGACTTGTGAATAGCTCTTGTGAGTCAGCTTACCATGCTTCTTTTGTTCCTTTCATGCTGGGGGGGTGGGGCAAAGGAATTATAAGGAAGCCTCCTGAGATCTTCCAGTCTTACCAGTATTCCCCTTGTTGCTACTAAATACATTTAATAATTCATCAAAGTGTATTTCCCAAATCTGTTGCCAATAGCAGTATAATATTTGTTCCAAGAAGCGAAAAACAAAGCTAGAAATATTAAAGTTTCTGAGCAAGTTCGGAATTAGACAAAGAAATTTTCTAATAAGCCGTAATATGAAAGTCCTGTCATCTTTGCTTTAAAATATTGAGCTGCCTACTTCTTTATCCATATTCTGCATATAACGTTTACTTCAAGTAAAAGTACTCCTTGTAATTTTATTCTTAGAAGGTTCTTGGGCACAGATCTACTATGAAAGAAGAAAAAAGTCAGTGGAATATCACACAAATTATGATAAAAGATACCCTAAAACCTTCTTAAATTCAAGCTTAAATTGTTTTCAAAACTTACTTTATCAATCAGAAAAATCATAGATGTTTGTCTGATAAAATGGTTCCACAGGAACTTTAAATAAACCCAGCTTCTGTAGAAAGCTGGAGAGAAATTGCAACCGATCTTTTGAGCTTTATAAAGCCCCACCTGTGCACAAAATGTGACAGGAAGCCACTGCTTGAAAAGCTACATCCACAAAACAAAATGGACATTGAAAATGTCATACTGAGGTGCTGTACATCATCAAAGTAAGAAGGGGGTTTTAGTCCTGTCTCTGCCTCTTAGTAGCTATGTAATTGCTGGCAAATTACCTGACCTTTTGGAATCTCAATCTTCTATAACATCAGGATAGTAATAGTACATACACTGTAGGGTTTTCTAAAGGATTAAATGAATTAAAATTTATAAAGTGATTAGTATAATGCTTAGTACATACATAATTGATATTATTATCATATGTCCTATCATGAAAATATTCTTAGCCTGAATATAGCACAAATCTTAATAAATAGGATATTTATTCTTAAAAAATCTCAAAGTATAAAAGACCATGTTTTTCCTATTAAATTAGTAAGAACTAAACAAGAAAGAAACTACTTAATGCTGTTAAAGGAGTTCTTATACTGTTGGTACATGGCTAAATTTATATAGCCACTTTAGATCTTGGTAAATTATTTTGCTTCATTTCTATGCAGAAGAATGGAAGAAATATACCAAAATGAAAACAGTGGTTACTACTATAAGCATGCACTATGTAAGCATTATTTTGCTCATATAAGAATAACTGGGACTTCATCTTAATGAAAATACTTATAGAAAAAGGTAGAAATCTATAGATAAGAGACATAAGTAAAATGCTATGAAGATTTTGAGTTAGAAAAGTTGCTTTTAACTGGAAGTAACAGCATCAAGTCTCAAGTGGTCACAGCATTTGTGCAAGGTAGAATTTCAACAGAGAAACGATGGTAGGAAACCCTTTGATAATATGAGAAAAGGATCAGATATAGGACAGGACTGGGCATAATTAGGAAACAGCAAGCCATTCAATTTATCTACAAAGTGATAAAAATTGACATTCTTCGGTGTATACCAAGTCATAACTGGAAAATCACATTCATGGAGTCATGTTACATTAGGGTAATTGTAAAAGTATATTTAAAAAAACAGAAAAAAAGGCAACCTTTAGGCAAATGGCATTTAATTCATTTTTGGAAGATTTTAAAATTAAAAGATTTCAAATAAGAATCCCAGTTTCTGGAACAATGAGCCTGAATATTGGGCAGAAGTAACTGCTTTCCCTTTTAGAGAGGATGTGCTTTCCAGAGTCATCACCACACATGCAGAGCATTCACAGGTGCACCTGCCTCTGTTGCCTGCTCTATTTACCTTCCCATGGATTTGAGTTTACAGCCCACAGTAGGACATTAGAAGCCTGATGAATGGGGTAACTAAAATATATGTCAACACTATATTATTTCCATAAGTTTTTTTAAAAAAGATGTGATTTGCTAATTTAGTAATTTATACTGGGATAGATCAAATCCAAAAAAAAGTGCCACATCTTCACCATTGTGTATGTGTGTTGTGTGGCATGGAGAATGGGAGTTGTTGCTAGTTTATTTAAACAATTTTGTTATTCAATTTGTCCTGTTAAATCAAAACCAACTCAAATGTTTATTTCTCTCTTCTGTTCTCCATTCAAATATTGTTTTTCCCCTTTTCTTTTTCTAAGTAACACTAGGAGCATGGCCTATTCTTCCTTGTGGACATCTTTTCTGAAGACTATAAAACTCTAAAATGATTAACTAGTGTCCATTGCTTTAACACAATCCTTTACTTAGTACATGATGCTAATACCTTCAGACATGTATCAGATTAGTACATTTCTTAATGTTCTTTAATGTCTTTAATTTCTTTATGGTCTTGAGCTCCACTTTTACTACTTTTTTTTCCATTTCAATCACTATACCTTCTAAGTCTCTGGAAGAAGTTGATCAAGGAAAGATTCCCCTTGAGATATTGTAGTTTACTTAAAGAATGTATTTTTTTTTTTTCTATGTGAAAAGGATTGTGAGCCACAAGAGATCCATCTCCTTGAGAACAAGTCTCTCTTTCTTGATAATAATATGAGCACGTACTGAATGCTTCTTATGAGTCAGGCCCTTTCCTCAGTACTAAATATGTATTTACACCTTTACTCTTCACAACAATTTCCACTTCGCAATTTAGAAGGTAGGTATTATTTTTACCTCCACATTGTACAGATGAGGAGTTGAGGTGCAGAACATGAAATAGCTTTTCCCAAACAACACAGCTGGCTGGGAGCTGAGCCAAGCTGCAAAGCCAGGCAGGCTGGCTCCAGCTCCCACTGTGTACCCACCAGGCCACCCTGCCTCCCACCTGGCACAGCCCCAGTGACACACACTGCCCAGCATGTGGGACACAGTTCATGAACACTCACTGACTTTAATTCAATTTAACTAGAAAGTGCTAAGATAAAAATAGGGAATTAGGAAAAAATGAAAATTGTAAGTGTTTAGCTTATCATTATGAGTGGCAGAAAGCATGATTTAAAATGTTATAAGTCTTAATCTATGGTTTCCTTTGTGGTATTTACTATTTACCATTTTCTACACTCTAATGTGAACCTTAAGAGTACAGACGTAAGCGATGGGAGATTTATATAACAGTTTTGTTTACTCAAACATATTTTATATGTGCAGAATCTTAAAAATATAAAGATGTATAGAAAATAATGTAATAAATATCTATATTTCCATCATCTCAAATTAGCTATTGTTAACATGTTTTCTTTGTCTTTCTTTCTTGGGAAAATAAACAATGAAGATAATGTTGCAGTGCCCTTTAGAGAATACAATTCTTTTTTCCTTGGCATGATCTAGTTTTCTTTGATCCAATATGCTGGTTCAATGCCAAGAGTGGATGCTTTTCCAGCCAAAGATGAGTCTTTCCTCATAGTTCATCCTTCTTCCCAAGTAACATATAGAAAAAGACATGGTGTCTCTAAAACTGTTCTTGCAAGTGTCTTGCTAAGGTCAGCTTTAAAAAAAAAGGCTGAATCATCTTTAAACATATTGGTTTATAATAGTTTCAATTTTTCTCATTATGCATTAGGATAACAATAATAACCTATTTTCAACCTAACAAATACTTTATCTGAAATACTGTTTGTGTAGAAGTATCTTTGAACTCACGTTGTCGAAGACCTTGAAATTTTCCCTTGTTTTTCTCACAAAATATTTTTAAATTTCAAGATAAGTTCCAGAGAAATCCTCCACATAAAAGGCAAGAACCAATAAGTGTCCTTTAAGCCTCGTATTAGCCATCAAAACCCTTTACTCATCTGAGCTGAACTGGCACATCTGTGAGGAGCTGGGCTTCACCTTCTCATCCCCTGTTGCGTATTTCACTTTTAGGAAAAACTGTTTAAAGTACATAACCCTCATGCTTCCATCCCATCCCCCTTTTTTTTGTTTCTAAAAGAATGCACAAATATCAGATTTTCACCTTGTTCTTTTTTTTTTTCCCCAACAAAGTCGCACTCTGTCACCCAGGCTGGAGTGCAATGGCGCAATCTTGGCTCACTGCAACCTCTGCTTCCCAGGTTCAAGCAATTCTCCTGCCTCAGCCTCACAAGTAGCTAGTATTATAGGCATGCACCACCACACCCAGCTAATTTTTGTATTTTTAGTAGAGACAGGGTTTCACCATGTTGGCCAGGTTGGTTCTCTTTTAATGAGCTTGTAAAAACATTTATCCTAACTACAAGTGTCTAACAGGTTCTTCACTTACAAGAATAGTATATTTTTCTCTTTTTTGATGTGTATGGGGTAAGTGGTGGCACATACTTAAGTAGCATAGACTAGACCCCTACACACAACACAACAGCAGTTCCAAATTCTCGGGCCACCTGATTGGACATAAGCAAACACCAACACATGTAAAATTGTAAAACACTGCATAAATATTTGTTTATATGTAAAACAATTACGTTAATATCACCTCATTACTGTTAATATCACATTTTGCAAACATACATACACATACATTAAGATGAAATTATACATAACAACATATAAAAGCAGTCAATATTACTATTGTGTTCCTTTCACAGAAATATGATTATTGAGTTTGAGAAAATGAAATGAGATTAAATAGCTAAAAGTATATCTGTAGATAGAAATCATAGATATTCCTAATGTATTTGGATGTACCCCATTCCAGATCTGCCCATGCTTCTGCAATCAGCTTCTACTCATCAGATTGCATGAAGCTGATAAAGGGGCCATTTGTCATTCTTCCCTTAGAAATCTTAAATCAGACAAAATTGACTCCTTGAAAACAAAGACCTGGTTCAATCATGTTTTGACATAGGAGGCCCCACGCCAAGTTTTTGTGCAGGATTCCCATGGAGATCAGACAATGTCATCTCTGCCCTAGCAACTGAGTTAAGTCTTCTGAAAGTTTCTATGTTACTTTTCCTAATACCCAAATGTGCAGTCACACCACTCAAGAATAGCTTCCAATGCCACCCATTGCAAGACTACAACAGTAGCTGTAGTCTTCATCAGCTGGAGGAAGAGCACTTTGCACCGCTGATACTACAATTTGCTTCCAAAGTTCCCCTGGTTCTAGAACAGTCATGGAGCCACACACTATTGAGATGTCCTGTGTCACAACCAATACATATCCCTCCGGTGTCTCACCCACTGTGCTTCTGAGCTCTTTCTCCATGTTGGATGGAATTCACATCCCTGCCATCTCTGTCAGTGCTACTGCTGACACAACTCCCTTTGCTCTCATCATCGAGAGTTTGAAATTCTCCACTACCTTTATCATGATCCCCATGGGAAATAATAGCTTGGCTGAAAGGCAAAGGCCTTGCCTCTGGGGTCACTGACATGTAGGAGAATATTTAAAAACACAGCTCTCTAGTCTTCACAATGTAATAAATATCAGCTTGACAACTTCTGACATTGGGAAACACAACACTCTTGGAGACATTGCTCTGGCTTCTCACTTTCGCTGTCAATAAGCTGATGCGGAGGGTTTGTTGTACTCTGAGCATTGCTAGGAGTCTACACTAACTGGGATGCCTCTAAACAGCCCCTGCACTATTCAAGAGACTGTCTCCTGTCTGAGGCTCAGACATCTCTGGTCTAGCCTTAAAATCTCTGGTTGCCTTCACAGAAGCCTAAAGGCATATGTACAACCAGCAATACTGTCTAGCTAGGACTGCTGTGCCCACGGGATGAAAAGCCTATCCACTGCCTAGTGCTTGTAACACACACTCATTAAATACCATGGATCTGGGTTACTCAAATTTATCACATTCTTAGAGGCTGTATCTTATATTAGTGGTGAGTCAAACCATATTTTTCACTCAATTATGTTTCCTAAGGGGTAAACTCCACAGTCCTTTATCTATCTTTCTGTTCATGAGCCCTTTCTAATTTATCTCCATTTTCTAATTCTGAAATCCCCATGCTAAGTTTAGTGAACCATACAAAACATCTTCAGAGCCCTGTGAAAGGAAATTCACTATATGCTAGTATAAGATATTATTGCCAGTTGTCTGTGTGTTTGTTTTTGTGTATTATTCTGGAGATACACTGTTAATTTTACATACTCCTTAGTGTTCTTTGTCTCGAGATACAGACTTCTCCCCTATAATATAAGGTTCTGTTTTTCTATTTTAAATTATCTGTTGTTTTGCCCCCTTTTAAAACCAGTTATGCTATTCTTTAGTCTTATTGCCAATTCTACTTCTTTCAAATCTTATTAAAGAAACAAGATAACATTAAGTAATAGAAAATAAAATCTACGTGAAAATGTAGAATACTCCAATTAGGTAATGGCCCACTTTAAATAATATTTTCCAATAATTGCCTACCTCATATTGTTATTCCTAGTTTATTTATTGAATCTAGCATAAGTTTTAATTCACACACCACAATGTTTTGTCAAATAATCTGGCAAAACAAATAATGTTCACACTAATTGTGTATTTCAGATACATGCTATAAGTTCTTTTGAGGGCAAGAAGAGGAAAAGAAAGAGAACGAAAGGAGATGTGGATGTAAGAGTCAGAATTTCTAACATTATACATTTATAGTATGTACAGTTCCCTGAGTTTATTTTTCTGAGACTATCAGCCACTCTAAAGAAGTGATTTGCTATTACAGTTTTACATGTGTGTAACCAAAGCACCAGGGTTTTCCCACAATAAAGGAGGTGACTAATACCTGAACACCTTTCCTACTACACCATGCCCAGCTGTTCCATCTCCGAAGGGCCTAGAAGGGCCCAGGTTTTTTTGAATAGATCATTTCAACTAGCTATCAAAAAAATATGAAAAAGAAAGACTAGAAAGATATCAAAATAAATCAAACAACACTTTGGGTCAGCCTGTGATGTAAAATTCTGGTCCAGTTCATGAGGTTTTATAGCAAATAGAGTCAACATTCAAAGTCTTGCTGACATTTTGTTTGTTTTTCAAGAACTTAAATTTTACTAAAGTGTTTTAATATTTTTAAACCGGGAAATTACCTGGTCAGTTGCCCACAAAATAAAATAAAATACAAAATGAAAGTTTACATAAAAGGGATCTTAGATGGCAGTAAAGACAGACAGAGTAAAATGAGCTTTGAGTGAGAAGAAAAGAGTGACTGCTATGAAGGAGGTGGATCTGTGAGCTCTCGTGTTCCCTTAGGGTCCTGAAAATGTTCGCATTCGGTAATAGAAATGCAGCTGCGGCAAGAGTTTCTTTTCTTTCGTTTTCAATGTCAAAAAAATGAAGTTATTTTATTTTCCAGCTAGAACATAATTCTAACATCACTGTTTGCTTTGCATGCCACCTAAAATTAACCACAAATGAAATGGCTTCATTTTGTTCTATGTATAAGTAAATAAAAAATATCATTGTAACAGATTAACTGCATCCATGCCTCCAAAACATTGCACAGCTAGAAATCGGCTGGTGTGCCCTTTCTTTGTCGATTCAAAAGTCTGCATCCAAATCCTGCTCTATTAGTATCTCTGAAGTTTTTGTCTTTTGTATAACACATACTGAAAAAAAAAACCCTAAATTCAAATGATCAAAATTATCACAATTTTATCAAGCAGTACTGTCCCAAGAAAGGTGTGGTCTTTGTGATCATGCCTACAAAGCTGGGCCACTCTGTAAGAGCTTCTTCTCTTTAAAAAGTTATATGACTTGGATGGGTGTCCGCTTCAAGTCTCATGTTGAAATCTGACTCCCAGTGCTGGAGAAGTGACCTGGGAAGAAGTGTTTGGGTCATGGGGGCAGATCCCTCATGAATGGCTTGGTGCCCTCCTGATGGTAATTAGTGAGTTCTTGCTCTGTTAGTTCACGAGAGCTGGTTATTTAAAAAAGTCTGGCATTGCCCTTTCTCCCTCTCTTACCATGTGGTACATCAGCTTCCCCTTGGCCTTTCACTGTGATTGCAAGCTCTCTAAGGCCCCCGCCAGAAGCACATGCTGGCACTACATTTCCTGTGCAGCCTGCAGAACTGTAAGGCAAAATAAACCTCTTTTCTTTATAAATTACCTGGTCTCAGATATTTCTTTACAGCAATGCAAATGGACTAACACGAAGACATAGGGCTAGAAAGAGATGGAGATAGAGACAGGGAAAGGGAGAAAAAGATGATGAGAGAGAGGGGGATTGAGTAAATTAAAATAACATAATTGCTAGTAGTGTCAACTTTAGTAATAGGGCCACCCAAACCTTCCCCCATCACCTCTCTGCAACTCACCAGGCTGGGAACCAGGGCAGCTACCCCTGTTGTACTAGGCAAGATGTAATTATAAGAATATTCTTTTCTACTTTATTAAAGAATTTCAGTCTCTCTAATAGCAGCTTATATTTCTCCAATACACTCTGTTTTCTACAGCATAAAGTTCAAACTTTAGAAATCCCTTCACTACTTGATTTCTTCATCTCATTCTAGCCTTAAGTCCATCACATTTAGCTGCACTAAACATAGAAATGCATTTCTATGTTCACACCAAGACCTTTGCTCATCCATACCTTTATTTTGGCATCACAGTTAGGAGGTCCTATTCCTTTTGTCTGGAAGTTGCCTCTATCTTTATGCCTTTATATGTAGTTTCAAATTCCATTCAACTTTCACTTCTTTAAAACCTTCTTCAATCTCCTTGTGGAAAGGTACCTGTTTACTTTCTTCCTCTTTGCTCCTAAAGAACGTGGTATATATGATTTGATTTTGTGTTTTCATTATGTTTAAATGTGTTTTTTATTCACTGAAGAATGAGCATTTTGGAGTCCGTTGTAAAAGCCCTTGGCACACAGTATGTAATAAATGATTGCTGCATGAATAAATACAGGAATTCATTTTAACTAATATTATTTAATTACTCAAAGCTAAAGGAAATTTTCTATTATAGCTAATAAAATATATAGAATACTTATTCTATTCACAATTCTAGGCTGATTATGTGACAAATTGTAAAGAATGTAAACTTTTATAGCATTTATTCTCTTTAAATTAAAATCTCTTCAGCTCTTTCCTAAGTAAATTCTACATTTTCCCAGCTACTTAGAATGCTCTAAATTTAACCAGACTCCATCTAGCCCCCTCCCCTCAAAAAGTTCCATTTTCTAGACCTAGTTTTTCCCTGAAACTCAAAAAACCAAAACAATTACCTTAGAATTCACAGATAGGAAATTGGTGTCAGAAAGCCTATTTCCTGGGGCTAGGGAGAAAAATTGGTGATTTGACCAGCAGGAAGGGAACAAGGTGTTCCAGTGACTTTGGCCAAAAGTACTTGGGGTCCTTAATAATGAGAAGGAAATAATGGTCCCCTGGCTGCCTTCTGCCAGAGATGACAGAGAAAAACAAGAAAGACAAATCTTCCCTCCACTTACAACAATATGTTGTCTTTTAATGTTAATTAATTTTTCCACTTAAAATACACCAGAGTTGCATTTTACTCTCATTACATTAGAACAAAAATTTTCCATTTGTACAAATACATACAAATTCACGTCCTGGAAATTGCAACTTCCTAGCATTGAATATATAGAAAAAAATTTCCTTCTCTTCACAATTAACAGTTCAGATGTCCATATTTCATTTTAAGCAAAAGCTCAATTCATTCTAAGAGGTGCAGAGTGCATGCTGACTTTTCTTCAAACTTGTATCCAGTAGAAAGTAAGCAGTGACTCTTCTGTGAATACTCCTTCAAATTCTTGGTAGATCAATGAAGGTCAAAGTAGAGTTTTAATTTAGAAAATCCTTGCCTAGATGTACAGTTATGCTTCAAGAAAGAGTAAAAATAGATAGTGTGAGGTCTTCAAAAATAGATGTACAGGTGCTCCTTGACTTAGAATGGGATTTTGTCCCAATAAGCCCATTGTAAACTGAAAATATTACATGGCAAAAGCATTTACTACAGGTACACCTAACCAACCGAACATCATAGCTTAATGCAGCTTACCCTAAATCTGCTCAGAACACATACTTGCATACAGTTGTGATAAATTGCCTAACATAAAACCTATTTTATAATAAAGAATATGTCATGTCATTTACTGATGTTCTACCAAATGTGTATACTTTCACATCATTGTAAAGTCAAAAATCATAAGACAAAACATCATCAGTTGGGAAACATCTGTAACTTTTTATCCTTTTTTCTTCTCTAAATGTACAAGTTATGAATCTTGACTATCTACAATCTTTTCAGAATATGAATAATGGAGTCAGATAAGAACTATGTTCCAGATCCAAGCTTAACAACTTCAAACTGTGAGATCTTGGAGCAGAAAATCAATGGAACCATCACTCCTACCCTAACAGGGAGAACAAGCTGGATACTCTATAACATCATAGTTTTATAAAAACCATTCAAGAGTTGGCAATGAAAAGAAAACTAAGTAAACTGAATTCCAGAAAGTGATGAGCCTTTTCTAGGAGAGAGGAGACCAGAGGTGCTTTCATCCCAGGCAGAGTGGTAAAAGAAAACTACCATAGGCAGTCAAACACCTAACAATGTTTAATGGCTTCATACAGGCTACCATTAAACAATACTAAGGATCCCCAGGCACAGAGCAAGTCTGTTTGCCAAACCTTTCCTGCAGGCCTTCACCACGTGTAACGAGAGAGTGTGCCAAAGGCTGAAAGGAGAGCATGAGAACTGAAAGACACTCCCTCCTCTGCACTTCTTTGGGCATGGAGCATAACTCTGCTAGCAAAATCTGACAATGATATTACAAAGAAATAAAATAATGGTTTAATAGCCCTTATAAACATAGAAATAAAACCTTTAAGAAAAGTAGTAAATTAAATCCAGTAATACATATACAGATAAACTCCATTTGGAATAGAACTCTGTTGTTTTAACATGTGAGAATAGTCAATTGTAGGTCATGATATTAACAGGATAAGGGAGATAAATACATAAATATCTCAAAGTATGCATTAAAAATTAATAATAGCATGCATTCAAGATATTAAAAATCTCTCAGAAAAATTAGAATAGAAGAGAATTCCTTCAGTCTGTTGAAACACATCTATGGAAAACCTATAGGTAACATTATAATTAGTAGTAAAATAGTAGAATTCATTTTTCCTAAGATCAAGAACACCACAAGGATGTTTGCTGTATCTATTTCAGATTGTACAAGAGGCCTTAGCAGTGCAATAAGAAAATAAAAAACTAAATATAAGGCAATCAGATTGGAAAATGAGCAAACTCTATTCAACAATGACATGGTTGTATGCATAGGAAACTACAGAATTAGAATTTATCAAAAAATCTCTAAGAACTAATAAGCGAATTTAGTAAAGTCACAAGATAAAAGGTCAACATGTAAAAATAATTGTATTCCCATATACTAGTAGCAAATACTTGGAAAATAAAATCTAATAATATACATAATTTACAATAACATTATAAAAATATATGCTCTGAAAAGTAGAAAACAATGCTGAGAAAAAATGAATAAAACATAAATTGTTAGCTATCCAATGCTCATGTACTAGAGGACACCATACTGTTAAGATATCTATTCTTTTCCAAAATTATCTATACACTTATCACAACCCCAAATAAATATCAGCATGATATTTTTGTGTGGAAAGAGACAAGCCAATTCTAAAACGTATATGGAAATTCAAAGGATCTAGAATCATAAAAACAATTTTGCAAAATAAAAACAAGGTTGGAAAGCTTACATTGCAGCCTGATGTTAAGAGTTACTATAATAATACAGTAATCAAGATGGCGTGGTATTGTGAAAAGGATGGACAAATAAAAATCAATACAATGGAATAGAAAGTTCATAAAGAGATGCACACATATAAAATCAGCTGAAATTAGTGAAAGGCAGCAAAACAATTCAGTGGGGGAATGTAACGTTTTAACAAATAGTGCTGGAATAGATAAATATCCTAATGTGAAAAAGAAATGAGACTTGACCCTACCTGATTTCATACACGAAAAACAAGTTAACATACACCATGAACCTAAACATAAAGCAGAACTATAAAGCTTCTAAAAAGTTACTTAGATGAGTATCTTCAAAACCTTGGAGTTGACAAAGAATTTTAAAACAGAACTGCAGAAGTGCAAACCATAAAAAAAGTAAATGATAAATTGGATTTCATTAAATTAAAAATCATTGCACATTAAAATATACCATTAAGATAATTATAACAGGGAAACCACACACTAGGAAAAAGTTTTTGCAACACATATCTGACAAATGATTTGTATATAAAATACACAAAAAATCTCTTCAAAATCAACAATAAATTAAAAAATGGAAAAAATACTAAACTAAAATCTTAAACACTCATTTTACAAAAGAAGATAAACAGATAACTACTAGACCCTGTAAAGTTTCTCAACAGTATTAATCACCAGGGAAACTAAAAGTAAAACTTCAAGAAGATGCCATTCTGTACCTTGCAAAATCATTCAAATTAAATAAACTGACAGCATCAAATTGGGTGGAGATTTGGGGCAACCAGAATTTTCACCCATTGCTTCTGGAGGAAATGTGGAATGGAAAAATATCATGTTCTTATAAGATTAAACATATACCTACCTATGACATAGAAATTCTAATGCTGGTGTTTACTGAAAAAAGTGAAAATATATATCCACAAAAATGCTGGTACAAGAATGTTCAAAGACGCCTTATTCATAATAGTCAAAAGCAGAAACAATCAAAATGTTCACTAATAGGATACTAGATAAATAACTTATGATCTATTAATACAATGAAATGCTATTCATTAATTAAAAGGAACAAACCATAATACACATCACATGAAAAAATATCAAAAAATATTGAATGAGAGAAGCCTGAACAAACAGCATATAATCCATGGTTATAATAATGTGATGCCCAAGAACATCTAAGGTAATAGAAATTAAAAATGGTTTGTCTAGAGTTGTGAGGAGTGAAAATCAACCACAAAGAGGTCCAGGACAACACTGTGGGAGGATGGACATATTCTATATCTTGTTTTGGGTGATGGTTACATGGATATATGCAATTGCCAAGGCACTCCAAACCAAATAGTTAAGATTATTTTGTGGCCAGGTGTGATGGCTAACACTTGTAATCCATCCCAACACTTTGGGAGGAAGCCTAGGAGTTTGAGACCACCCCGGGCAACGATGTGAGACTCCATCTGCAAAAAAATCAAAAAATTAGTCAGATATGGTGGCACACACCTGTGGTCCCAGCTACAGGGGAGGTTGAGACAGGAGGATCGCTTGAGCCCAGGAGGTTGAGGCTGCAGTGAGCCAAGACTGTGTCACTGCACTCCAGCCTGGACAACAGAGCAAGATCCTGTCTCAAAAAAAATTATTTTGTGTAATAATGCCTGAATTTAAAAAATAATGTAAGTTTAATATATATATATAAGGAAAATGGTACAAATTTCAATGATTGTTATATAAAGTTGATACAAAGTTCTTAACACAGTTCTAGAGACATGTAAATATAGTTTATTGTGTCTTTAAGTCAGAGCTTAGCCCAGTAACTGTCAAAACTAGTAACCAAAATATTTATTATGATATTACCTTAGAAATGGTGCCTCATTCCAAGAAGTAGGTTGGTATATGTAATGAAAAAACAAAGAAAAATAAAACACTGAACAGAGAGACAGAGATCATGGATCTGGCCCCTCTTGGATATACATTCTTTTGCACAAGTCATTGGATCTCTTGCAAAAAGAATATCATTACTTATGCCTTGTGCATAACTTCTTATGAATTGGAAATGAGAGTTCAGATTAAGTGAAAGTGCTTTGAAAATTTCAAAGTCCTAGAAAAATGTTTGGAATTAAGACTAATTGCCACCACATGTGATGTCAGTAAAATGATTGTGATTTTGTTTCTTTTCATAACTGCACCAGTTGTTAAGAGTCCCGGAGAAGTAGGAGCTAAAGCATTGCCTTTCAAAGATACACTGAGCTTGCAATATAACCTGATATGTTCTATCTGGGAATGGACATCTTCAATTTGCTTCCAGAATCAGTGCAAGGCAAGCTGTAGAGAGAAACATAAGCTCCCAGTCAGCGTCTTGAACTATTGGGAAATTCAATCTTGACCAGAGAGAAGCTGGAGGAGCAAACAGGCCCACCAGGATTTCTGATCGTTTAGGATGCAGCCTTTCCACTGAGAATAGTGGAGAAAATTACATGTTTTCTGTGAACTTCCCCTTTCCATTTTTATTCTTTTTCTTATCCTCAGTGAGTACTAGAACTCTGCCATGTTCAACCTATACAGTTTGGGCTATTTGTGACTTGCACAAACACATACTACAAATTAAATTTCTTCACTTTATTTCTTTAACAAATCAAGAAAAAGTAAATTTTTGTGTATTTTAGATATTAAAACAATTAATCAAAATTTATCTGAAGATTTTATACAGCTCTCATTTGATTTCATTCTGAAATACATAAAACTGCAGTAACTCCTTAGAAAGAATGATACAAAGAAAAAGTACTGGAGACATTGCAACATTCTTTTCTCTAATTTAGCTTCCCACACAGAATAATCTGGACTGAAAAAATTATCTAAAAAATATTTCGGTGGGAAAGCAAGTTAGGGAAATATACTCCTTAATCATCCTGCTTATCACTGAGTAATATACACATATGAGATACTGGGGCAGGTCCTTTGACACAGGACTTTGACTAATTTGAACATGGAATCATTTTTTGTAATATAATATACTCATTAATATCACACTTGGGAAAATGCTAAGTTAGCATTTCACATAGACCTGGATTTGTGATATTTCATGTAACTCTGTGAATAATATTCCTGAAGTTTCTATTTAAGGAGGAAACTTGGAAGTTGGACTCAAAGTCCCATCACAAATTTCACTATTTATGTTGCAGAAATAACTAATTCATCATTTTATTCTAACTTTCCTGGAGCTTATTTCGCAGGGCATAAAGACAAAAAAAAAAAAAGACATAGCAAGAGCAGATAGAAAGGGGAAACAGTGATAGCTCTGATTTTGGACTTAGAGGTATTTGGGCTCGGTGAGTTATAATCTCAGTAATGAAGTGAAGAGACAGAAAGTAGCTTCCTGGTTCTAAACACTCACCTGTGTTAGAGACAGGAAATACAGGTTTTCTCTGAGTTTTGTATGACCTCAAACAAGAAGTTTTATCTTTCTTTATCCTAGATTCCCATGTGCAAAACACAGTTGATTTTATCTTCCCTAGCAATCTAGGTCTGCAGTAGGGATAATATCCAAGAGAAATAATGCATTTAAATGTGCTTTTAAAAATTTAGAACACTGTCAAATGTGAAGGATGATTAAGGTATAAATTTCAAAGGCGAAGTAGCTGGACACCATGTACAGAGGGTCAGAGACCAGGAATGACTGGCAATTTTCCCAATCAGTATGTAATTGCTGCTCAGTTTCCAGCATGGTCTTGTTCTTAACCCTTTGGAAGGGTGGCAGAGATTATTGGTTTGGAGGCTGCCAAAGCGGCCAGCAACTGAGACATGCACTGTTTAACTTATTTTCTGGCTTAAAACAATCAGACAAATGCCCCTGACCTTCCAGGTTTGCCAAGAAGTTCTACAGAAGGAATGAAACCAAATCACAAAGAAGCTCAAAGAATGAGTTTCCTAGAGAATCAAAAAGCTTTTATTAGTGAACCTTATCATTCATGTGTGTGCACTTGAAAAAACACTCTGGTATTTCCAATAAATGCATGTTCTATTTATGCATATCTGTAGCTTGGATATCAGCTTTCTGGGTATCTGAAATCTTCCAGTGTGCTGGGTGACAGAGCAGGAGCACCGTCATCTTGGACAAACACCACCAATTTAAGTACCAGCTCCCTTTCTAACTTCATGCATTTCAAGGAGATCACTTCTCTTCTAACAACAAGCAGCCAGAAAAAGCAGACAGTAAAACACAGATACGACAGCTTGGGCACAGAAGGAGGGGGGAAAGTCTCTTGAGTAATCACCAAACTTCACACTTATACAGTGGGCCCCAGTAAAACAGTGGGCCCTAATAAGCACATTCCTTTCCCTTTAGGTGCACTAAGATAGGTAAGCTAAAAGCAGACTACGGCAGGTGAGCAGGTGGGGAGGGGACTGCGGGGATGCCTGAAGCTACAGGAAAATGTATGGGAGCAGACACAAAACCTCTCCCTCCCAGATAAGCAAGACAAAGAGACACAGACTAAAAGTTGGCTGATGTGGTCTGGGAATGGGGTGAGAGCTGATGAAAACTCTGCTATATACAGACAGCACACCTGGTCCTAACTGAACCGTGGGACCCTAGGAGGATAAGGCATCCCCTCCTCATGAGCCCCTGAACCCTTAAATACCCTTAGTCTGTAAGAGAGAAGGCTCCTGACCTAACTTGGCCAGAAGCCCCTCTCATGTTTATTCTCCAAAAGAAACCTGTCTTTGACTGTTGAGCCACTTTTCATGTTTCAGTCTTCTTTCTTCAACTCTTACACTGAGGAAAACCTTTTTAATAATGTTTAAATTTAAATGACTCATAAAACTACCTTAAATAGACTGAGAAACAGGGAGCTTACATTGTTCCCCATCATTTCTTACTCAGATCCCTTCTTCATCTGAATTATCTCTCTGTTTTTTGTCTGGCTCTATTGCTGCCCTAGGCTCTTCTCACCCCAGAATGCCACCTTCACACAGTATAAGCCCCAATTGAAAGCTCATGATGATAAATTCAAATGTTACATTTACACATTCTAGGTTCAGAAATTTTCCTGCTTAGAAAATTCCCATTAGCGCTTTCTCCTCTCTGGGTCACTATGAGAGCTTCCTCTTTCCTTTTTTCTTTTTCTTTCTTTCTTTTTTTTTTTTTTTTTTTTTTGAGACAGAGTCTCGCTCTGTCGCCCAGGCTGGAGTGCAATGGCGCGATCTTGGCTCACGGCAACCTATACCTCCCGGGTTCAAGTGATTCTCTTGCCTCAGCCTCCTGAGTAGCTGGGACTACAGGTGCGTGCCACCATGCCCAGCTAATTTTTTGTATTTTTGGCAGAGACAGGGTTTCGCCGTGTTAGCCAGGATGGTCTTGATCTCCTGACTTCGTGATCCGCCCACCTCGGCCTCCCAAAGTGCTGGGATTACAGATGTGAGCCATGAAACCTTCCTCTTTTCTTATTGCTCTACTCTCTGCCTCAAGGTTCCCCGAAAAATGAACTAATTTGTATTTTAACATAGATGAGAATTACAATCTATTATAATTTTGAATAAATAAAAGATTACAGGCAGTAGAAAAAATGCAGTTTCAGTATGAACTTAATTTTTCTCTCAAAGAGGAGAAAAAGAATGGGATGGGAGCCTATAGGGACACATTATTGCCTCTGCTTGTCTTCTGAGGCTTGTGGGTGAACTAAGAGTATGAAGCTACTAAAAGCTAAAATCCAGAAAGAAATAACCTTTCGTTAGGAGAAAAGTCTTTACTTTGGTGCAGCAAATTTAGTTCTTAAATGATCTTGGTGAAATAAATGACTAAATTTATTTGGGTAAAGAGGTACAAAAGGTGTTCTACTTTGTAAAGCCGAATGGTAGGTATATGTATTCATTTTCTTATTCATATATGTATATGCATATATCTATTATATTTTGTTTTATTAAGAAATTTATTTAAAAGTAAGCCAAGTCAGTTTTCCCAAACATAAATAAATATCAGAGCAAAAAATATTTTAATAAATCCTACATAGTTCTATTTTTAAACTGTAAACATTTAAACTGAAAACATATTGTTGGACAATAGAAAGAAAAATGGCTGCAGAAGGTAATATGGTCAGTGGGACTCTTATTTTTTCATGTTGAATGAAGCAGCCCAGGGAATGCTTCATGTGCTAGTGCACTCTGGCTTGTGTTAAGGAGTAAAAAAGGACTTGGGTTATAGTGCAGACTCAAGAAATGGTAACCTTGAGAAGGTATTTATCTAAAGTTTTTGAAGCAAGATTATAATATTTTTTGACTGGTGGGAATATCTGACTTCTTGTTTTATAGGAAAAGAAATGAAGACGAATTGTTTAAGGAACTTGACCAGTAACATTGATGTTCTGATTACAAGGCCTAGGGTAGAACCCAGGTTCTAGCTTTCAGTGGTCTATCACTAAATAGTTGTGACTAGAAGCACCTGCCCTGTCTCCTAATAGGGGTAAAATGTTAGTGAAATTAAAAGCTCCTAAAGGATGATCATTTTCTAGCCTAAAGTAAAGAAAGTTTTTACTTCCTGCCTAAGATCGGGTTGTAATGTAGATCTACTTGTTTTTTTTTTTTATTTTTTTCCTTTTCTATTTTAAGAATCAAATCATTATTAACACCTGTTTGTTTCAATGCTGCAGCGTTAGTCACGTTTTTCTGGTGAACAGTGACATCTGGTGGACACCTAAAAAAAAAAAACCCTGCCTTTGCTTATACAGTCATCAAAAGTTCCAGGAGCACATGAGCCTTCAAGAAGCATCCCTCAGGGAGCACAGGTTAAACTTTAGAGAGACTTGATTCCTACCATGGTATGGGGAATCAGGATAACAGAAAGAAGCCACCAAATAAGCTTCAGTAATGATCAAGAGAGCTTCGAAATGGCTAGAAGCCTCCTAAGTAATTTTGTTATAGATTTGAAGCTATTTCCCTCTTAGCTCACTATTTTCAAAGATGGTATGTTTACTTTACAGAATAAATGAAAATTATATATTCTACTTTTCCTTTACTTTTACTACAATTGAGACATACACGCAGAGAAGGGACAAGACACACACACACACACACACACACACTCAAAAACACATAAACACATACAGCCAGCACTTCACATTGGTAGGTTCCACATCTGTGGAATCAACCAAACTTGAATTGAAAATATTCAAAAAGAGTATTGCTTCTCTACTTAACACATATGCACTTTTTCTTGTCATTATTCCCTAAACGGTACAGTGTAACTATTATTTACATAGTATGTACACTGTATTAGGTATTATAAGCAAACTAGAGATGATTTAAAGTACACCAGAGGGTGTGCATAGGTTACACGCAGTTACTCTGGCATTTTGTATCAGGGACATGAGCATCCATAGATTTTGATATTCCCAGGAGGCCTTGGAACCAATACATAATATGTAAACATATATAACACATATATAAATATGTATATATTATATATAACATATAATATTTTAAAACATCCTATGGTTCTGCTTCTCTGGAGACTGCTAATGCATAAATTCCAAAAGATTAGAAACAACTCAAGATAAAGTATATTAAAGTACATATATATGTTAGGGGAAGGAGATTAACTGATAATAAAATTCAGTTACTCCTGGTGGAATGGAAGCACTGAGTAGAAAGACTTATGCAAAAATTACTTTTTTGTACCTTTCAGTTTGTATGATTAGGTTCATACCTGCTACACTGGTGAGGAAGGAGAATAACAGGGTAAATGTGTTTTTATGTTGAGATGAGTGAATCCAGCGCTGAACAGGCAAATCCATGCTAATTTTGCTCTTTATAGCCATGGCTTGTCAAATTCATCAGCAGCATTGTTTTCAGAAACTGTCTTTGTCATTTATCATTAAAGAAAATATACAATGCAAAACCGATATATAAATTTCTAATACCTGAACCAAAAACTGTACCCTTAAATGCATGTCAGAGTGACTACAATATATATTTTTTTAATTTTTAAAAATTTTATTGTGCTAAGAACACTTAATAGGAAATCTGAAGTATTGCTGACCATAGGCACAGTGCTGAACAGCAGATCTCTACAACTTACCTATCTTATTTAACTGAAACTTTATGCTCATTAATTAGCACTTGATTTATCTCCCCAGCCTCTGGCAACCACTAATCCACTTTTTGATGCCATGATTTTGACTTTTTTAGATATCTCATAGAAGTGGAATCATGAAGCATCTGTTATTCTGTGACTGGCTTACTTCATACAGCATAGTGTTCTTAAGAGTCATCTATGTTTTCTCATTACAAAATTTTCTTCTTTGTTAAAAACTGAATAATATGCCTTTGTATTTATATACATTTTCTTTATCCACTTAACTTTCCATAGACATGTAGGTTGTTTCTACTTCTTGACTATTGTGAATAGTGCTGCAATGAACATGGAAGTGCTAATATCACTGCAAGACCCTGATTTCCATTCTTTTAAATAAATACCCCAAATTGAGATTACTGGATCATATTTTGAATTTTTTGAGGAAACTCCATCCTGCTTTTCATAGCAGCTGCACCATCTTGCATTCCCACCTATAGTGTACAAGGTTTCCAAATTCTCCACATCCTCACTTGTTGTCTTTTTTATATATATAATTGATAACCTAACAGATGTGAGATGATATCTCTTTGTGACTTTGATTTGAATTTCCCTCATTATATTAGTGCGGTTGAACATCCTTTCATATACCTGTTGGCTACCTGTATGTCTTCTTTGGAGAAATGTCTATTTAAACCTTTAGTCCATTACTTTAATCTAGTTATTAGGTGGTTTTTTTGTTTTGTTTTGTATTTTTGCTGTTGAGTTGTAAGAGTTTTCTTATATATTTTGGGAATTAACCCCTTCTCAGTTATAGGATTTGCAAATACTTTCTCCCATTCTGTAGGTTGCCTTTTCACCCTGTTAGTTGTCTCCTTTGCTGTACAAAATATTTCTAGTTTGAGGTAGGCTTATTTTCCTCTCAAAATACATACCTTTAGAGTGTCTTGTTACGGATATAACCATATATATAAAGCAGTAATATGTTCATATATAGGAGGTCTGATCATTTATTGAGAGAGGTAAACTAGTTATAAGGAGTAGATTTTTAGTTCAAGGTGAAAATCCTCATTTGAGAAGTTGGTTCATTTTTTTTTCCAATGGCTGTCAACTCATATAAGTACAAATAATGTTTTAACAGAAATTTGTAATTCCTCTTTTGTGCTTTATTTTTAAATTGTGTGTTATAAAATCTTCTTGCCATCTTTTAGTTTGATTTGTTATTACTTGTTTTTCTAATTAATTAATTTTTGATGCAACTCAGTACTTTTTTTGCAAACTAAAATGTTTTAAATTTATATTAAAATATCCTTTCACTGATAATTCAAAGACACTCACCCTATAGCTATGCTTAATTTATATATGGGTCTTGCATTTCAGAGAAGAGCTTTTATTATTAGCTTTTAAAACAAAAAATACCTACACCAGCAAGTATAGCCCATGAGAGATACATTGTCATTTTGATATAAGGCACCTGTTTACTGCATCTATCTGGGGATAAACCAAATGAATACATTTGGCCTGTGGAACGTTTCAGCGGTGTTACCAGAAAAAAAACAAGTCAATAACAATACTCAAGCTATTGTAACAAAAGTCACAAAATGTACTAAGGGTGGTTTAAAAGGGTCTCAGGGATCTCTCTGCCAGGTATGACATAATACATCTTAATACTTCAGAGAGACTGATTAAATCCTTTTGAAATAATTTACTAGAGAAAACATTGGTCATTTTTCTTTTTAATCTACTGAGAAAAATGACAAGATATTATATCATCTCTTGGGTTGAATAATAGTAAAGTTTTGAAAAAACATTTTCATATGCTTTATACTTTATGCCCATCCATCCTGATATCCAGAAGTGTGTCCCTTGAATAATAGAAAAAGTGTGACCTCAACTAAAAAGAAACCAAAACTATCTATATCTATAAAAATGCTAATTTAGTTTAGACATCTATGTGACATAAGTACCTGATTAATACTCAGTGCAGCGGATCCTAGATTTCTTGAAAGTTTTAATGGTTATACTGTTTTGGGTTTTCAAAAAGCTGTGTGAGAGTTACTTTAGTTATCTTTGTGTTTATTATTTCTTGAGGCCTAGAGGATATCAAATCTATTGTTGGATCTGACACAGAAATGAGCAAATCCCCATCCCAGCCTGTTGCAGGGCAAAACAGATATCAAAAATCTCTCCCCATTCAGAGTTTCTCGGAAGTTACATCCTAGTGCTAGAGTCTGATGTGTGGACACCCTCCTCCCAACAATGCAAATTGTCTTCCCTTGATGCCCAAAGCAAACGCAATGATCAAATCACTCAGTCTCAAATATAACCCGTGTTCTCCTATACTTTAACAGAAAGGGTGCATTTGAGAAGATACCATACCAACATAGTGAGTATCTAATAAGTGTCTGCACCCCAGTCATGTCTACTATGTCCTGTATTATTTTTCTCTCATTGGTTACATGCAGCCATATGAACATTCTGGGTTTGTTTTGTTGTTGTTGTTGTTATTTTCCATCATCCTTGAATAAAGGCGAAGAGGAACTTGCCAAGGCCAAATCTCCATGACCCTTTCCTGAATTTTTAATGGCAACTATTTTAGCTACACAAATATTCAGCAAAAGCCTTTAAAAATCACTACTATTCAAGACTTACTTAAATTATTTTCCAAGGATTACCTTCATCAAGAAAATAGATAACAAAGTGAAGAAAGACAAGCTTTCACTTCAAAGGAATTCATTAGGTAGCTGAAATCTTCACAGGCAAGCACAAAAAGATAGTCTTCATTGTCACCCTTAAGAGGGGGATGGGGAGACTGTAACCATCCCAGTCTTTTTGTTTAATGACATAGCTGAGCCATTGAAGAAGAAAGAATTGGTTTAAAAGAATTAGCATTTACAAAGTTTCATACCTGTCTTCAAGTCTCGTTTCCATTATCCTGCTGTTACCACAACATGTTCTCTGCCCCAGGGCTTCGTGCTAAGGCAAGCTTGGAGGGCTAATGGATTGGGAAGTACTCTTGTTCATCTTTAACATCGGACAGAGAAGGACTCAGAAGTGTGAACGGGCAAAGGGAAAAATTCTGGCCAGCTGCTTCCCTATATCTAGACCCCGGAACTGATCCTACATTGAGAAGGAGAGTACAGAGTTGAGCATATGACTAGATTACCAAGAGGGGATAAGGGAGGAGAGTATCTCTCCAACTGATAATTGAGTTCAGCTTGTGTGATACTTGTTCAGGCATTGGTTTGAAATAAATACAATACCAGCAGATCGAATTAGCAAAGCTGAACTTCAGGAACATCAAGATGCTCACATTGAATGAACTGGCTGCAGTTTTCTAGTTGTGCTTATAAACTTGGAAATAGATCAGTGTGGCCAGTGCATTTTGACATGCTTTTATCAATGAAAACAGCTGTTGTGTTTTTAGGCACAAAACTGTGACTTTGGGACACACACTGAAATCAGAAATTAAACAAATTAATTAGTTTCATGGTGAACACTTCAAAAAGTGAGAAGTATACAAAGAAATGGAAATAGAGATCTGTCCTTCAGAATATTAAAATTATTGAGGAAATGAGCAAGATATTTCAAAACAGGTAAATCGAATAATTTCACAACACTTCTGTGAGGTTGGGATGAGGATACAGCTTGGGCAACGGGTGTGTTTAAAAATGCAATGATAAGGAAGGAACGAACCATTCCTAAGATTGTGGAAGACATTGTAATGGTTAATATTAGGTATCAACTTGATTGGATTAAAGAATGCCTAGGTGGCTGTTAAAGCATTGTTTCTGGGTGTGTCTGTGAGGGCATTACCAGAGGAGATTGACATTTGAGTCAGTGAACTGGGAGACGAAGACCCACCCTCAATGTGAGTGGGCACCATCCAATCGGCTGCCTCACGGCTAGACCAAAGCAGGCAGAAGAAGGTAGGATTCTTTTGCTTGCTGAGACTTCTTTCCTTGCTGGGTGTTTACTTCTGCTCCTCCTGCTCTTGGACATCAGACTCTAGGTTCTTTGGTCTTGGACTCTGAGAACTGCAGCAGTGGCTTCCCGGGGGCTTTTGGGCCTTCAGCCACAGACTGCAGGCTGCACTCTCCGCTTCCCTGGTTTTCAGGCATTCCGACTTGCACTGAGCGAACACCAGCTTCTCTCTTTCCCCAGCTTGCAGATGGCCTATCATTTAGAGGACTTCATCTTGTAAACCTGTGAGCCAATTCTCCCTAATAAACTCCTATATATCTCTCTCCTTCTCTCTCCTGTTAGTTCTGTCCCTCTGGAGAACTCTAATACAGACATTTGCAGGAAATATGCAAACTGGAAATAATCCCTTTTCCACCAAAAGGCATAAATATCCATAGTTTTTTTACCTGACTGACATATCTACAACATATAAGACAGAACAATGGAGAAGAATGAGCCTCGTTTAATATTTTTCTTGTCAACCAAGATACACGTGTATCAGGTTACTCGGTGGAAAGTTACGTCCCACATTTTACTTTACTCCTCACTTCATTTATTCATTTTTCTAATCGTCAATTGATTTATTTATGTTAAACCTCTGTGCCATCATTTAAAATTTGCTCCCTGCTTTGGGGCTTCAGAATTGAATTTTTTGTTTTACTTTAGGGGAAGAATCTCTTTGGTGTAGAAAGGACGTTTAGAGTAGCTCTTTGTAATTAAGCTTTTGTCCTTTGTGGTGGTTTGGGGAGGGAAAATTTTGTCTTGGTAGTGACCTCTGCTACCTTAGAGGATTCCTGAGGCAGATGGAGACTTGCGCTAACCTGTTCCCATAAGCTGCTTATGGCTGTGAAACCAGACTTGGGCTTAGTGCAGAGGAACCAGGCCCGGCACACAGGGCTACTTAGGGTCAATGTTTGCAGGCGATGGTTTTGCTGGCACAGCTGAGTTCTCCTGCCATGAGGAAGCCACAGGAAGACTGATTCTTGGACCAGCACAAGCAACTGTGTGGGATCCTGGCAATTTGCAGTAGGAGGCCCTGTAGTATTAAATACTGTATTAATTCATTAGAGTTAAAAAATTACTATAATTTTAACAGTAAAGGAAATAGAGTCTTGTTCTGTACTCCAAGCTGAGAAAAGGGAACATACTGGTCATATGTTAGCGTATATCAGAGTTAATTGCAAAATAATTTGGAACATGAAACAATAGCAGTAATTATTATATACGTAATGTTTGGCTAAAGGATGCCTGCCTTCTAAATACTTTGCACGTGTATATATATACAGATTTATACACAGATATACATACATATATGTATACTCCTATAAACACACACACATATATATATTTGTTTAGTCCTCATGACAATATTATCAATATGAAAATCAAAACGCAATGGTGCAGAATGGAATGTAAGTTCTGTAAGATCTGTGTTTTTTGGCCATTTGTCTTTCTCATGGGACCCTAGTACCTGTCCCATGTGCTGTGGATGAAAAGGTCAAAAGGGAGACCAGGAAATAAAGGATAGATGCAACAGCAGAAACTCATTGCCTCGAAATAGATTAAGCATATTTCCTCCTGTGACTGGCTCAGTAGCATCACCTTTAATTAGGAAGAACAAGATTCTGCTCAGGTGAAAAAAGTTGGCCCTATTATTTATGCTTTCTTGTCTCCCTCAGCTGTATAATTTAAATTTGCAGATTTATTCAAAGTTTAGCCTTTGTCATAACCAGGGTTTTGTTTAACTAAGGAGGATAAATAATCAGATGTTGACAGAAATGAGCAATGCTCCCTTCAAAAATCTAATCTTTCTGGCCTTTGTTAAAGAAACATCAGGGGAAATTGATGACCATAAAGATTTATGTTTATTAATCTAAGGGGATTTTTTTCTAGCTCTGGAATGATAATAGCTATTTGAGTTATGGCTGAATAATGGAGACTATTGAATCAGAGAGTCCCCTTATGGTTAACACATATTAATCATTTGTATAATTAAAAATATATTTCTCAACTAGTCTATTTTTCATATTTAAAGAATATTCATCAGACTAAAACTTTTCGGACACCCAATATGGAAAATTTACCTTTAGAGAATGATTGAGAAAAGGAAAAGTCCAACCAACCGAATACCATCACATACCTCATATATGGATAGAAATATGTTTTATATACATGATTTTTAGTCTAACAATATTAAACATAATGATAAACTTATTTGTACACTTATGATGATTTTGTTTCTATTTACATAAACTGTATGTGCTCATTGAAAAATGCAAATGCAAAATATGTTAAAGTAAAAATAGCCCTGCACCTCACCTCCAAAAGATAACTAAGTTTAATATCTTAGTGACTATCTTTCAGAAATTTCCTCAGGCTTACACTCAGAAACAGATCTTGCTCACACAAACACCCACGAAGTTTACATACTATTATGATATTGTGGAAACAATCAAAGATCTCCCAAATGAGAACAAACAGAGGCTATTTATTCAGTTTGCTATAGCAAGGGACTCAGCCACTGTCACTTGCATTTGGCAGAGACTCAAAGGGAAGGAGAGGAGTGGGAAAGCTTTGTAGTGGGAAAAAGTTTTAGGTATGCTCTGATTGAAGCTTTTTGGCATGGGGAAGCTGGAAGAGGGCTAACTAGAAGCTGGGCATATTATGTGATTAGTTAGTGAAACATATTTGACTTTCTCTGGATGGTTCAAAGCTAGAAGCACAGACAAAGATGTGTATAGAGTCAGAGAGAGAAGAAGAAGAGGAAGAGGAAGAAGAGGAGGAGGAGGAAGAGGAAGAAGAAGAAGAAGAAAGAAGAAGAGGAAGAGGAAGAAGAAGAAGAAAGAAGAAGAGGAAGAAGAAGAAGAAAGAAGAAGAGGAAGAAGAAAGAAGAAGAAAGAAGAAGAGGAAGAAGAAAGAAGAAGAGGAAGAAGAAGAAGAAGAAAGAAGAAGAGGAAGAAGAAGAAGAAGAAGAAGAGGAAGAAGAAGAAGAAAAAGAAAAGACAGTCATTAACAAAACCCTCGTTGTTTCAAATTATTTGCTGCAGAGATTGTAGTCTATCTTCCCAGGCGGGTGGTTTATAGGTAGTGGGTCAGAATTCTGTTGTTGTATATGGGCTGGCCATTGTCCATTTATATATTCAGGCTCTCATTATCCATAACTTGGATATAACTTGGATTTTTTCCTTGGATAATAGTTTCAATTAATACTCACTATAACATTATTTTTAATGGCTAAATATTTCATTTTATAGATGTGCTATACTCTCATATACATATGTATATGTATATACATATGCTATAATACTTATCCCATTTCTAATGTCATTTGGGACATTTCAAATGGAAGCATCATATTACCAATATAGTCATTTTTAAAAATTGCTAATCCTACAAATAGCAAACTTTTATTTACTTATGATGGTGAATATCTTCTTGTGTACTTACTGACCATTTGTATTTTTTTCTTTTCTCATTTACCAGCTCATGTCTTTTGCTCATATTTTTCCTGGTATAATCCATTTTCCTTTTGATTTATGAGTCCCTTATTTTTGATGCTGCAAAATTCTCCAACTTATCATTTAATTTTTAAATAATGTTATGCTTTATTTTTGCTATGTGAGATGCTTCCTTTTAATGGTATTTGCAAAGTGACTAAGATGTTATTGCTATTTAAGGCTTGTGGCCAGATGGCACTGTTTGTCTTCAGAGATCATGAGAATCATCAGATCCAAAAAGCTGACCTATACATTTTCGGTGTGATTAGAAAATAAGCTCTTACTTAAAAAGAAAATAAAAGACAAAAAAGAAAACTTTCCAAATTATTCCATAAAAGATAACAAAATATTTTTTATTTTATTTTAATAATAAGTATTCTAATATTCTGGCAATGCTCTATTACCTGCCCACACAGGTTATATCCTCTTCTCTACACTCAACTTCTGGAATTTTTTCAGTTTAATTGATAATCTTTAGCTTATAAGTATCTAAACCAGGTGGACACGAACCCCTCAGGCTTTTTTTTTTCCACTCTTGCCGACAGGAACTTAGTTAGCTTTTTGACTACTCCAAGGATAGGCAGTTGAACAGACCTTCTGTTAATGATCTCTGAGTGACCAGAACCAGCATTTCCTCCTCCCATGGAGAGGTTTCCAGCAGAACTTCTGGGTATTCTATTTTTTTTTTTCCCACAGTAGATCCACTCCAAAATTTCTTCAGTCTAGTAACTACTTTCTTCAAGTGTCTCAGCAGTTCTTCATATTGGCCATAAATTGGAATTATCTATGAAATCTGTAACAATTTTTCTGATTTCCTCATTCCATTACCAGAAATTCTGATTTAATTGGTCTAGGTTGGGATCCCAGCATAAGTATTTTTTAAAAAGTTCTCCAGGTGATTTCAATGTATCTCCAGAGTTAAGAATCATATGCTAATTCATTTTCCCTTACCTCTTATCAATAGGCTCTCTCTCTCTCTCTCTCTATATATATATATACATATAAAATGTATCTTCTGTAATAGACATGTCAATTATAAAATTATTTCGGTATGAGTTAGCTTGCTAAGTCTACTTTTAAAAATAGTTTATCTTTTAAGTAATTTTAAATATAAAATAAGAATAAGATAATGAATAATCAAGCAGTCTTTCTTCAACATTCAAATCAAATCATTGGACCTGATTAATACAATGCTCACAGTCTCATAGATTCAGAAATATGCATAGCTATTATATTTAAAAGGGATCCTAGAGATCACCTAATTATACTTTGTAATTTATATAAAATGAATATATTGTATATAATATTTTCATCTTTATAAAATGAATATATATATAAATAATATAGGAAAACTGAGTTCCAGAAAAAATAAGTGATTATAACAATGCTATTCAGCCATTAAGTGTTAGATTTAGTCCTAAAATATCAATATGTACTTATATTAGTTTCAAATGCAGCATAAGAAATTACTCTGAAACTTAGCAACTAAAACACACAATATGAATGTATAATCTCACACAGTTTATTCGAGTCATGAATTCAAGGATAGCATAGCTGGTTATTTCTGGCTCACTGCATTTCATGGGGTTGCAATCAAAATGCTGATCAGGGTTGCCAGCAACTGAAGGTTTGACTGAGACTGGAGGATCCGATTCCAAGATGGCCCCCTCATGTGGCTACTGTTGGGAGGTGTCAATTTCTTACCACAAGGACATTTCATAGGGCTGCTTGAATATCCTCATGATTTGGCAGCGTACTTACTCCTATTATCTATTTTATGAAATAGCTTTGGAAGCCGCACTCCATATTATTTACAATATCTTATTAGTCAAAACACAAGACATCTCTTACTACACAAGACGTCTCTCTCCATGTAGGAGGGAAGTACACAAGTATATGAATATCAAACAGTAAGAATCCATCAGGAATGATCTTAAAACTATCTACCAAATACCTATCTTGGCACTTCATCCCTCCATCATGGCTCATAACTAAATCATACATCATAGGTCTTTGGCAGTCTTTTAAAACTCAGTTCTAAGTTTTTACCAGAAATAACATGACAGTTCTTATAATCTAGTAACAAGTTGAGAAAATAGAGCTTTAAACAATGTTTTAATAATTTGTGATGCTTTAATAAAATCTGCATTGATCAGCCAGGCGCAGTGGCTCCTGCCTATAATCCTAGCACTAGGGAGGCCGAGGCGGGTGGATCACGAGGTCAGGAGTTTGAGACCAGCCTGATCAACATGGTGAAACCCCATCTCTACTAAAAAATACAAAAATTAGGTGGGTGTGGTGGCAGGCACCTGTAATTCCAGCTACTTGGGAGGCTGAGGCAGAGAATAGCTTAAACCTGGAGGCATAGGTTGCAGTGAGCTGAGATCGTGCCACTGCACTCCAGCCTGGCAGCCTGGGCAACAGAGCAAGACTCTGTCTCAAAAAAAGAAAAAAAAAAAACATCTGCATTGATCTTTTTTGACATTTTGGCAATTACCTTTAAAAGGCATACTTTTTCTTCAGCAATCTGAGAAATTTTATCTTTCCATTTTTAAAACATTTAGAAAATGTTAATCTCCTCTGATGAGCTATGTGATGTTTTCTATGCAAAATAAGTACTTTTTTCTTAATGACCATGATATATGATCAGCAGCTTACCTACATCCTAGTGATCAATTAGTTTTCATAATTGAGATTGTCATGAACTTCAAACATGGAGCAAGATATGTGTTACCAATGTTTTTTTCTTTAATGTTAAAAATAATGTAAATAGTTTTAAAGGGCTAGAGAAACAATATTGCAGTGGTAAAATAAGTTAATTTTTACTTTTCAAAAAATGGTATTTAAAATCAGTCCTTAAATAATGTATAATTTTAAGAAAGGTAAAATTTATAATTATTGATAGAGTGATTTATTCTCCTATCATTAAAAATACTTAATATTCTTGAAAAATAAATTCAGGAATTACACTACATAAATTATTATATAAATGTCTTATTGCTTATATAATTATTAATACTCTATTGAAACAGGACATTAACAGCACTCTTGCAATTTTAAGGTGTATTAAACTACTCAAGTAAGTAGCTAATAGTAATAAACAGCTATGTTATTACTAAAAGTAAGTCAGAAATAAGGAACATCCACTCTTTGAGCCAAAATCTACCCTCTAATGAGTTTAATATAAGTTTTTAGGCAAATTCTAGGGGATGATATTTTCACATGATGTTAAAATGAAATTTAGCTTTAAATGACTTTACTGGGAAAATCCTAAAAGACTCCAGGATAGATAAGATGTTATAAGAAAGAGAGGCGCAGGTGTGTATCTGTGACATGTGTTTCAATGTATTTGGGTTTCTAAGTCTCTGTCAACCTTAGTATGTCTTTCTTTACGGAATACTTAATTGCCTACTTCATTTCAAAAAGTGTCTAAAATACTAAGTAGGTGAGTCCTTCTGAATTCATTTGTATGGTTGTGTGCATGTGTGTATGGAGGAGTATCTGTCCATCTGTATGTGGATGGACAGATGGACAAATACTCCTTTAATGGATATGCCTCTATTCTTCTTTGTCTACATTTTTCTATGTTTGTGTCTTTCTGAGTTAAACAATTTTTTATTCAACAACTTATACTTCATCTCATTGTAAAAAGTGTTTAAGGTAGTTGTATATCCTGTATACACAATTGGTATTTTCTGTGGGTCTCTACCTCTGCACTCTGCCTTTTTTTTTCCCTGCCTCATTCCAGGATACCAATCACCCTGCATTTAACCATCAGTTCTTTTCTTTTTAAATTCTCTTCAGTAAACACTTTGCCTCATTATTCATCATAGAGGAACTTCCGTATAGTCTTATCATCACATCTGCCATCTGTTTCCAAAAACTAGACTATCCTTTTATTGACTGCAGTTTACTTTAGCACCCCCAATGAGTCTCAAATATATTACAACTAAGCTTTGCAGAAGTATGCTTCTTAAACTTCACATCACAGCCTCTGTCCCCAAGCTATTTGAAGATCTATTGCTGAAGTTGCATAATAAGTCTATTCTTAAAGCAAACCTGTCAAAGGTGGTGGTGGTTTATGAGTCATGCCCTTGCACACTGCTATTTAGTAAGTATGGGAAAAAATGGGCAGTACTCACAAGTGCTGGCCAGCTTTCTTTTGCTTTACTCCCAAAGCTGAAACCTGCAGTTTGAGCTAACTGAAATGGTAATTGAGTATAGGAACTGAGGATTATCTCTAAGGTCTTATTCAATCCTGAGATCCAAGTATCCTATAAATATTGAAATGTGAACCAAATTTTCTGATAATATATATATTTTTAAATAATTTAGAGAAGATGGTCAGATTGCTAAAAAAAGTCTCTTCTACATGCTATAGAAAGATTTCTGAAAATAAGATGTAAAGAAAGAATAGCTAATATTTTTAAAGACATCCTGTGCTTCAGTCACCTACTTACACTGAATTACTTTTGTTTATGGGTAGCATTGTGTGGCAGATTAAAGATGGCAGTAGATATTTTCACATTTGTTTTATGGAGAAGATGGTTCTAAATATCTTCTCCTTTAATCTGACTTGGCTTTAGTGATTAGCTTAATCAGCAGAATGCAGTGGAAGTGAAAAAAATGAGATCTCTGAGGCTAAAATATAAAGTATTTGCATTTTTTCCTAGTTTTTCTGGAACACTGTCTCTGAGAGCCCTGATCAACCATGTAAGGAGGTAGATTGCCCTCAGACCTGAAGATGACATGTGAAGGACCTCTAGAAAACCGTCCCAGCTGAGCCCTTTTTTCCAGCCTCCCTACCAAGGTACCAGACATGCAAATTAAGCCATACTGTGCCTTCCAATCTAGCCCATCTGCCAGTTAAATACTCCATGAATTGATGCACATAGTACAAAATATGTAACTATGATACTAATCCCACTAGATACACCTAATGTAACATAACTTTTTCAACACCAAGTTCTATAAAAGACTTTCTTGCTTCCACTGGGATATTTGAGAGCTACATTTAACCTACAAATCTCTCTACTGCTGTATCTCTTTATGGTCAGTCATTGTGGCTTTGGCCCTATGTATTAATTGGGTTCCTTTTACTCATCAAAAAAATCTGTATTTCAGAAGCAATTTCTAAAAAAAATTTACTGAGTTTCCTAGAGAGTACACAATAAATTTTTGTTTATTGATTGAACCTTTAACCCAAAGATATCTTTCAGTAAATCCTCATTTCCCTGTGTCTGTGTTTCAGATGCAGAACAACAGAATAAAAGGATTGTTGTGGTAATTGAGAGCAGAAGGTTTCTGTTATGTTTTACTACCAGAGTTCACTCTGTTATGGAAACATTAGACAATCTCAAGAAAGTAATTTCCTAGATGTTAATTTACAAACACAGTGCTTAATTTTTTTTAAATAACTAGCAACAGGACAAAAATAGCTGGAGCCTACAGCCATGTCAGAGCACATTCTCCAAGATGAATCTCCTTACATCTAATATACACTACAGGAAAATACATGCATTTCTCCAGGAATGTGTATATTTTGTTATGAAAAAAATCCCTTCTCCCTCAGGGGATCAGATTCCCAGTGCACAGGGATAGACTTCTTCAGGGGTACCATTCATATTTCTTATTCCATGGAGTTGTGCTCCAGATGGGATAATCACATAAGTATTTAACGGTGCCCTTTGAATTGTGCAAACAACAAGTACTTTCTCTGCCAGATTCTTTCTCATTTGTTCCACTCCATCCTACCCTCTTCTATCTACTCCTTCTCATAACCTTTTTTTTAAAAAATTATACCTTAAGTTCTAGGGTACATGTGCACAATGTGCAGGTTTGTTACATATGTATACACGTACCATATTGGTTTGCTGCACCCATTAACTCGTCATTTACATTAAGTATTTCTCCTAATGCTATCCCTCCCCCATCCCCCTTCTCATAACCTTTTGATATAAGCTAGTAGCTCTCAACCTGTGTTCAGATAAATTACTTCCACTCTCTATGTGCAGGTGCCTGCCGTTTTAGAGTAGATTGAGTAGATTTTCTTATCAGGAACACTGATAGGAAAAACTGGGTAACTATTTTGAGAATTGTACTTTTCAGCGTAAAACATTCCAGCTAGCATTTACCTAGTGCATGGTAAGGGTGAGGAATTCTGGAGTTGCTTGCTTGGAGAATAATTTGAGCAGATCATGACTTCCTTTTATCCTCTCTGAAGCTTTTCCCCAACAGGAAATATTTACTCAATAGATTAAACATGTGAAGACATTTTATTTAGAGCAACAGATATAATAAAACCAACACAATTTAACTACTTTTATTGGCTTTTTTTCCATCTCAGATTTGGGGTAAGCAAGAAAGATAAGTAATCAGGGAGCCTACTTATTATTCAAATAATGAATTACGAAATCTGTCTAGCCACTGCTGAAGTTCAGGTCACAATGAACCTAAATCCCAGTTGTATGATGCCAAAATGAAGTGCTAGAAGCAACTAGATCTGTTTCAAAACTGGGAACGTCCACTAACAGAAACTAGTTGACTGTTGGAGGTCTCAAAATTATAGGACTCTGAACCCTACTTGTAAGAGTATGAGAAAATAAATAGAAGAGAGGTAACATCACACACACATATAAACACACACACACACGTGTACACACACACACACGTGTACACACACAGAGCTAGTTCTAAGGTGGATATTATCTCATCTTCCTTTTATAACTTCCCTTTTGTAATGCTACATTTCAACCAATATCAGAATTATTCATTTCTATGTTTCTCTAGGTCTGGAGAGTGGGGTTTTACATTTTCCTGTGGGGAAATATTTTAATGCTTTCAAGATAATTAAGGAGAGGCAGAATTAGTTTGGGAAAGAAAGATAAAGAAAACAGAACACCTAATTTTCCTTTGTAGATTGATTGAAGGTCTTCAGGACAATACGTTTGAATGTGACATATGTCAGAGGTTAATATTGATTTAGCTCTGGCTAAAATTATTTTTATTTTTACCTTTGTTGCTGGACAAAGGGCCTGTTATGGACTGAATTTCGTTCCCTATAAAATGCATATATTTAAGTTATAATCCTTATTACTACAGAATGGGACTGTATTTGAATATAGGGCTTTTAAAGAGTAATTATGTTATAATGAGATTATTAGGGTGAACCCTAATTCAATTTGATCGGTGTCCTGATAAGAAGAAATTAGGATACAAGAGAGCCATCTTCAATGCACTTGTGCACAGGTGAAAGGCCATGTGAGGAAACAGCTAGAAGACTTGGCTTGCCATCTGCAAGCCAGGAAGAGAGGTCTCAGGAGAAATCAACCCTGCTAACACCTCAATCTTGAACTTCCATCCTCTAGAACTGTGAGAAAGTAAATTTCTATTGTTTAACCCACCCTGTCTGTGGTATTTTGTTATGACAGCCCCAGCACAGGGATTAGGAAAGTGAGTACTCTTTCTAAAGTTTAGGTCTATTATGAAAATAAAAAGATAATAAATAATACAACAGAAGTTTTACATGTTGAGTCCTAGTCAACCATTTCTGGAAAGGGACCAATTTTCTGGTTGAGAGGACACTCTCTTCCTCTGGAAATTACAACCAGGTCGTGATGATAATTCATGAATTCAACATTGTTCTTTCCTTCGAATTCAAATGTTCTCTTTCCTCTCCTGGAAGGATCATTTAAGTATACATTCTCTCCCTTTATTGGAACTTACTTAAGACAGTTTATACCCCAAGCCCAACCTCACAGCAGAAGCTTTCTCCAAGGGTACAGATTCTTGAACAATTCTCATTCAACTTCCTACCCTAGATCCTAATAAAAATCATAGGACAGCTTTTCAAACTCAACTGGCAGTTTTCAGGTAACAAGGTTAATTATGTAAAAAAGATGCTAAAGGTTACACTTGATTTCTGGAATACTTAATCTCTCTGGAAATATAATTGAAACTTGGCTTTGTAGAGAATCTCTCTACTACAGCAAATTTTGAAAGTTTTATGAGGTTTAGATGATCCCTGAAAGACTTGTATTTTCACAATTCCATATCCCTTAGCTATTATTATTTATTAAGTTTGTAAAAATCAATGTTCATAATGTGTACTTCTCCATTACTGTTTTCCCTGTGACAATTTGTGCATATTTTTCTTTGATGACTAAATCAAAAAAGAAAATACCACTTTACAACTGCTTCAACTTGCCAGTTTATTCTTAGAAACCTCAAATGCATGGGCTGCTGTTATCAATTTCCTCCAGTTAACTTGATCTCCTTCTGCCAACCTCCACTAAAAATGAGCATGTAATCATGAAACCTCTATCTGTTGAGGGGACAAAAACACTGAAATGCCTGTCCCTGGGATTATGAGATGTTTTGGTTTTCCATTTTCAGCAGAACAAATGGTAAAGTTTGAATAATCTCAAACTCATCTCAGAGATAGCTTTTAAATTGGGTCAATATTAATTTATCCATTTGTCAATAAAGTACATGATGAATTTAAGTTTATACAAGCTTTGATATGAAAGCCCTATGTAAAAGTAAGATATGGTGCTTATTTCCCTCATAATAACACATCAAATGCAATATTAGCTTGAAGTTTATTCCTATCTCTTGAGAATTTTACTCTTGTAATTGAGTATCTTCTAATCTAAACAATACTTCTGGATATTAAATTCAGGATTAAGAGATAGGAAGACTAGAAGAGAAAAGGGGGAACTGTACTTCAATTGCTACCAACAAAGAGTGAATCAGGCAGGAAACTTGCAAACAGTAAAAGCTGTTTATCTCTATCCCACAATTGATACGGTTTGCTTTAATATTTATTTCTCTCAATCATGGAATCCCATGCTTAACATTAAGCTTAGTTTAATCAACGTATTCAGTAAACTAAAGAGAGATTTGAAAAGTTCAGTTGGTAATTTGAGTCCTTATAAGGAATGATGGTGTAGAATGGTTCACCTATGGAATGTCAAATGTCATCTGGCCGGAAAGGTACCTTGAAGGCTTTAGTAACTGCTGACCTGGCAGTGTCTGCAGTTTCCTTTTAGAGAATTATTACTCTAGGCATCTGCTCAGTATGAAGGAGGCCCTTGTTAAAATCACATGTTAACCGCTATTGGTCATTATCACTTCACCATCTGTTAGTTATGAAATTTTGTAGGTGGACACAGAAGGTAAGAGAAAAGCTAAAGTTGTCACAAAGCCTCAAAAGCATGGGGAGATATGACATGTAGCAATCATGTGGACAGCTTAAGAGAGCAAGCTGCCTGCTTTAATGGTCTCAGAGCAGAAAGAGACACAATAAAAGAAGAAATAAGAAGACGCAAGTCAGTATTTGCCGAGAGTAGGCACCTATCCTAAAGTTGACAGTGAAGTAATTACTCTGCTCTTTATGACATCACCTACAAATCTGCCTTTCCTGTATTACTCAACCCATTATTGTCCCATTTCCTGAATTCAGTGGTGAACTTGGCAAATGTGAGGTTTCCACAGCTTTCTTCACAAGAACATCCCATTTTTCAGGAGCTTTTAATGTCATGTAGTGATTCCTAATAAAATGGCCAGGCTGTAAGCATTACTTCACTTCTCATTATTGAATTCTTTTCTACTCTATTAAATGCCTTCTCTCCTGCCTCAATATTTATAGCTTCAAATAATTGTAGATTGTTATGCTTTCCCAACTAGCCTAAAGTAACTGCTCAGCTCTGCTCTAACAACAGTTTTCAATAGTCGAGTGTACATTGTCTTCTTTGTCCATTAATTTTGAATGGGTTTAGAAAACTATGAACTCACGTATGACATAAAAATGAAGGAAATAGCCTGACATACCTAATTGGCCACACATCTGTCTTTCAGTTTTAGTCTTCTCTCAACTTCTGGTAAGACAGAGATTCTAGTTTTTTCAAACAATGAATTAAGACTTTGTTTCCACCACTCAACTCATTCAAGACTTGCAGGTATTGATATAACAGTAAAGTGGCCCCTCTTTGAAATGTTATATATTTTGTCTTCCCAAGGATCACACAGAACTCTACTTGCCAACAGAGCAGCTGCAGTGTCAAAGTGACACCATCCCACTTACCTTGGTCACAGCTGGGGTTCTCATAGAAACTGTCAAAGTAACAAGTCATCAAGATAGTTGTAGAAGCTTCCTGCTGCTACCATGTGTCCTTCTGCTCTAGTTTCTCAGCACAATGAAAATGTGAGCAATTCACATTACACCTGAAATAATAAACTTTAAATCATTCTTCTCTTATTTTTTATCAATATGACAAACAGCTGATACTGTAATATAAAAATGCTAGATTAAGTCTATCTGAAAGATAAAAATGGCTACCCCTTAAAATCTATCGGCTGTTATAATTATATGTGATTCATTAAGTCTTTCAAAGGAGTGCTGCCCTCACAGATTTGCACTGGAACTGAAACAGCGGGGAGAGCAGCGAACAGTGGCAACCAATGGCTATGGTCATGCCACTGCAGGTTGCAAGAAAATGGCTGTGCCACTCAAATGTTAGTTTTAGCTTTCATCTCCTGTTTTATTAAAGGACCTTAAATCTGCATCAATTGAGCTAATAGCCTCCAAGTTCATGACAACTTTGCCTAGAAACAGCAGCGTAACTATAGTAGTCTCCCATTATACATGGGAAATATGTTTCGAGACTCCCAGTGGATAACTGAATTGGTGGATAGTACTGAACTCTATATATACTATTTTTTTCTATACATACATACCTATGACAAAGTTTAATTTATAAATTAGGCACAGCAAGAGATTAACAATAATTAATACTAAAATAAAACAATTATAACAATTTGTCAGCATAACTACTGTTATGTTGTACAACCTTTATGAAGTAAAATAACAGTAACTTGAACACATGCACTGCCATACCACAACAGTAGATCTGATAACTGAGACAGCTCTAGGGCTACTAAGTGACTAATAGGTAGGTAACATACACAGCATGGATATGATGGACAAAGTGATGATTTATGTCCCAGGTGGGAGGGAGGGAGAGAGTTTGAGATTTCATTACACTACTCAAATCGGCATGTAATTTACAATTTATGAATTGTTCGTTTCTGAAATTTTCCATTTATTTTTTCTTGGACCACAGTTGACGGCAGGTGACTGAAACTATGAAATGGGAACTGCAAATAAGGGGGGACTCCTGTAATACCATTTAATTAAGTTGACTAAAATGGACATCAGAAATTATTGCATCTAATCCTTTCAATTTATGAAATTAAGAAATTGAATCTAAGGAATAATTTCCTGAGATTGAATTATGAATTAATCATGGAGATCATGATAAAAGGACTACAGTTTATTTCCCCCCATAACCCAAACTTGATATTGTTTCTTAACTAAGTCATATTCCTTCACACAAAAATAGCTTTCTAGTATAGCACCATAGAACTGTATAACTTCTGTTTGTTGGGAGTTTTCTTCTTCTTTTTATTTTGTTTTATAGTAGAGCCAAAAAAATACAGAAGCATATTTTCAAAATACCTCTGTGGGCTCAACAAAAATAAGTTGAAGATGGGTTATTATGAAAAACACTCATGTCTCTCAAATAAATGTCTCAGGTTTAGGAGTTTGGCAGATTTTGTAGGTGTGGATGAAGAGATTAGATGGGTAGCACTTTGGCTTCTTCCAATTGCTGGGAATTCTCATACATCTAAACAATACAGCACAAATAAAGAAAGTTGCAGGTATCATAATTTGGAAAATTGCTAAATGTATCGTCATCATTTGCAAAACTGTTGCAGTAGATCTTATGATAATTAACCACATTTGCTTTTCCTACAGCTTATTATATATAAAAGAAGGAGCAATTAAAACCCCTCTCTGCTATGAAATTTAGGTTCAAGTGAATTGTGCATGAAATTAGCTTTTTAATACTCACATGGAAAATTGAGCTCTCAACCTGGAACCAGGGAGAAAAGGAGTTATTTCTTTTATCATTTTTTTGTATATAATTACTCTTTAATTGTAAACATTTCCGACTTAAAGAATAAGCAAAAGGCCAATTCAATAAATTATTCAAAGGTCAAAAATGTCCACTTTCCAAATATTTAATTTATTCTGTAATTGATTTCAAACTTTAGAGATTGTTAAAACTTCCCCTTAGAATATGTACATATCACCATTGAAAACCAATACATTTTTCTTCAAGGGCTTACATCAGCAAAACAAAACAAAACAAAACAAAACAAAAAAACATTTTAAAGCTTAAGAAAAACAATATGAACTGGATCTGAAATCCAAATAACTAAAAAAAAATTAACATTTTAAAAGCAGAAAAGTCCTTGTCACACTACAATTAACTAATAAAATTGCTGCTACCCAGTTGAAGAAGGATGAGGTTTTAAAAGAGCATGCATCAGGCATAAAACAATATTGTGAATGCTGATTGTTTTGTGTTATTCCCAACTGAATGGGTCTTTTTCAATGTATGTTTAAAGTCACCTTATCCTGTTACATAATTTCCTTGGTCTTCTTCTGACTTGTAAGCAACCAGTGGAAATCCCTGTTTTTCTGAGATTCCCATAATCTGATGTTAGAGGCAGAATTTTCTTGGCAATGGCAGGCACTTCCTATATCCTCCATGGGACTTTTGGTGGGGTCATGAAAAGTTAAACTTTGGCTTCCTGCAGTGAACTATGGCTCTAAGTATTTCATCTCATGATTTCCAAAAGCTTAAAATACTTTCTTTAACCAGTATGTGTTTGACCATTTTTAATTTTAAACTTAATACTAGCAGTATGTATGATTTACACATAACCATTACAGTATTGGAGTATTCTGGGTTTGACTATTTATCTCTACCAGTGAGTTTTATACTTTACATGTATTTATGACACTAATTATTATCCTTTTTTTTCTACCTGAAGAATTCCCTTAAGCATTTCTTTTAAGGCAGGGGTAGTGATAATAAATTACCTCAGCTTTTACTTGTCTCTGAAAGATTTTATTTCTCCTTCACTTCTGAAGGACAGCTTTGCTGAATATAGTATTCCTAACTGAAATTTTTTCCTCTCAGCACTTTGTTTTTGTTTGTTTGTTTTGAGACGGAGTTTCACTCTTGTTGCCCAGGCTGGAGTGCACTGGTGCGATCTCACCTCACTGCAACCTCTGCCTCCTGGGTTCAAGTGATTCTCTTGCTTCAGCCTCCCGAGTAGCTGGGACTACAGGCATGTGCCACCATGCCTGGCTACACTCTGAATATATTATTGGATTTTCTCCTGGTCTGCAAGAGTTCTGCTGAAAAGTCCACTGAGAATCTAATGGGAACTCCCTTATATGTTACTTGAAGACTTTCCCTTACTGTTTTTAAGTTTTCTCTTTGTCTTTGACTTTTGACAGTTTGATTATAATGTGCCTTTGAGAGGAACTACGGTTGAATCTATTTGTAAATCTTTGAGTTTCATGGATCTGGATTCATTTCTCTCCCAAAACTTGGGAAATTTTCAGCAATTATTTTGTTAAATAAACTTTTTGTCCCTTTCTCTGTCTCCTCCTCTTCATGAAAGCACATAATGTGAACATTTTTGTTTCCTTAGTGGTGTCCCATAAGTCTCATGGGCTATCTTTACTCGTTTCCATTCTCTCTTTTTTTTTTGTCCTCTGACTGAGTAGTTTCAAAAGACCTATCTTCAAGTTCACAGATTCTTTATTCTTTTTGATTTAGCCTACTAGTGAAGTTCTCAATTGTATTTTTTATTTCATTGACTGAATTTTTCATTTCATTGGTTGAATTTTTCACTTTCAAAATTTTTGTTTGGTTCTTTTTGACGCCATCTATGTCTTTGTTAAATTTCTCATTCAGGTCATGAATTTTTTTTAATTCCATGAATTATCTATTAATATTTGTATTCTCTTGTATTTTGCTTAGTATACTTAAGGTCATTATTTTGAATTCCTTTTCAGGCAATTCAAAAATTTTCACTTCTTTGAGACAAGTTACTAGAGAATTATTATCTTCCTTTGGTGATGTCATGTTTCCTTGCTTTTATATATTTCTTGTGTACATGTGTTGATGTCTTCCATCTTGTGTTTTGGTCACCTCTTTACATAGTGGCCTTCATAGGACATGTCTTTCACCTGCAGATGGGATCGAGGTGCCAGTTGGTTGAGGTGTGGTGGTTATGGTTTTGTGTGGGTGCAGTGGTGTAGTCTCCATGCACTTTCCTCATTTTAGTCAACATCAGTAACGAATGCAGGTACCTCAGTGGTCTAGGCAGCAGAGGTTTGTGGCAGTGACATTGACTGTGTAGTTCATTAGAGAAAGGGCTTTTCTTGACTCTAACAGTGGGGAGGCTTAGCTGAAGAGATCTATTTTGGTGTTGGGTCTGACATGGCTCTGAGGCAGCCAGAGAGACACTAAGATCCAGGACATAGGTGCTTGAAACAGCTGTGGATCTGGGTTCCTGGGCTCAAGATCTTACAAAACTACTGTAGCACTTGGAAGTTGAGGTACAGGTTCAAGGTATGAGTGGATGAAGTCCTCCTGATAAGTTGAGGTCTATTGCTCCAAGGCAAACCCCGGCAGCTCAGACCCAGGAGACTAGAACATAGCTGTGGCTGTTACCCTGGGGGGAACAGGGCACAGCACTAGCATAGCTCTGGGAGGAAAATGTGGTGCTCCAGAGGCTCAGGCCATGGTGAGCAAGGCAAAGCTGCAATTCAGGACTCAGAACTGACAGAGCATGAGATACCACATAGTGGTCATTGTGGACTCTGGGATAACAGGGTTCACCAGTAGCCCAGGCACCGTAAGTCCAGTGCAGCAGCAGCAAGGACCCAGGAATGGCAAGATGCCACTGTGGGGGATTCTGAAAGGTAGAAAGCAACACAGTGATGACTTTAATCTTCAGAGAGGCAGAGTGCATCAGCAGCTTAGACTATGAGAGACGGTCCAGTTTTAGGTAGGTGGGGTACTGTGGCTGTTCGGCCAGGAGGATGGGGTGAAATAACTCAGCCAAGGCTCTGATTTCCTGGGATGTGAGATGCTGCATATGTTTGGCTGTAGAAAGTGAAGTTATAGAGGTTAGCAGTCTTTGGATCCCGAAGGGTGGGCCACTATGTTAGCTGTGATGCTGGGTGGTGCAACTGCCTCAGTGTGCCAGAATATCATAACTCCTGGGGGCTGCAGTGCTGCTTCACTTGAGGCACCAGGGCCAGGGGCAAATGTTTTGGTGTCCCAGATGCCTGAGATCCCCAGGGCCAGAGCACTACCTCAGCTGTAGCAGCAAGCATGTGACTACTCCAGTGTGCAGGAGGCCTGAGGTCCCTGGGAAGGTGGGGCTGAGTGTTTTCTTTGGGGCCAGAGGCATCACTGCTCTGGTAGTTCAAGGCTCCAGGTCCCTGAGGGGGTGAATCACCACTTCAGCTGAGCCCTCAGGGGAGGATGCACCAGTGACTGTGGTAGCTTGACCCTGAAAGGTAAGGTGTAATAGCAGCTCTGCTTGGGGATGGGACACTACTGGATGGGTGTGAGTGTAGTGGCAGCCAAGCCTCAGAGAATGAGAGATGCAATGACTCACCCCATAACAGGACACACTCTAGCAGTAGCTCTTGTTTTGAGATAGTACAGAGCATTAACAGCATGGGCCATGATGGAGGGGACACAGCATCGGTTCCTTATCTGAAGGTATCTTCATGTATGGAGTATGGGGAGCTCCCTCTTCTGGGCTTCAAGCCTTTGAGAACTGTGGGAATCTCCAGAAGCTAGGACTGCAGGTGTCCACAATGGTGATGGAGGATGCTGGAGTCCTCTTGCTTATCTTTTCCCCACAGGGAGAAGTTCCTCCTGATTATAATCTGATCCCAAGAGGGTGGATGGGATGGTGGAGGTGAGATGTTTCCTTCCCTTCTCTATGTGGCCATCCTGAGTTCCTATGCTGTATATGATTTCTGGTACTTCTTTGCTGTGCTCTGATGCTACCTTTTAGTAATTTTGGTTGAAATGTAGTTGTTTATTCACTGTTTTGGTTTTTTGTGGGGAGAAGAGTGTTAGGAACTTCAGTCATTTTGCTGATGTCACCTTTAAATAGTCCCTTCTTGAAACTCTTTTCAATTAACTCAGTTGTTTTGCTATCTGTCCTGCCGTGCTAACCTATACAAAATGTGAACTTTATCTCTCCTATACTTTTCAGGCAAGGTACCTTTGTTGACTTTTAAGCAGTTTAAATATATGTTGACTACATCAGTTAACCCACAAGGCAAATTTTCTTTTGCACAGCTCAGTCCACTTGTAAACATAGGACCTACAGTGCGTATGTGCATTTTTCTGGAAGGAGGGACCATAGCTTCCATCAGAGCTTCAAAAGGATTCACAATCTAAATATAATTAGAACTGACTTTCCCTAATATTGTATTTATCTTCCTAGAGTCTTACTTTTGACATTCCAATAGCTGATATCTGGTGGAAAAAATATTGTAAGTAATGAAAGTATCATGACTCTTTTCCAGGAGATACTGATTTTATTTTAGAGACACCAAAGAGGCATTGACTTTTATATGTTTTTGAGCATAATGGTTATAAAAACATAAATGTTTAAGTAGTACTTATTTTATAAGAATAAATATTATCACTAAGTAAAATTTAATTTAAGCAAAATTTCAGTAAATTTTTTATATCAATATTCACATGTATTTCCAAATAGCATGATGCATATTTTCAAGTATTTTATTTTTTGTTAATAAAAAGTGTCTCATTTTCCAAAAGTTGATATGCCCGTATCTTTAGAAAGATGAAGAAATTTTAATTGGACTACAATGCTTTCATGTTTAAATGACAGGTTTTTAAGTTATCATTTCATCATTTTCAATTATTTTTAAACCTACAAAAAAGATTTCAGTAATTATATTTGAGTGTTTATAAATCATTGGCAGATTGTAACAAGTCAAAAGAAAACTACTGAAGTTATTGTCCAGAATAATTAAAGGAGCACCTTACTATTAAAAAAAAGCATGAAACAAAATTCAAAACTAATGCACTAAGTCTCACAAATATACTGTTTTTAATAATTGAACAGGAAAACTGATATTCAAGATTTTCCAAATTGACATTAGTAAAAGCTATAGGAAAGGCATTATTTCCTTTTGCAGAACTGATTTTATTTACTTCCTGTCATGCTGTACCTAATATCTGTCATAATTGTTGAAGGCAGGCAATTTACACTGAGTGATGGAGCAACTTAAATATTAGAATATAGGCCAATTCTCTCCACTTAAAGTTACAAAGCTAAGATCAAAATAGAGAAGTGAATGTTTCTAGATATGTGAGAATGAATCATTAGCTAGATACAATATCTTCATTATACTTTTTAAATTACATGTAAAAATATTTTACAATTTTAGCTGATACATCCATTATGTATTTCAGTCTGCATTAATGCACCAGCCATGTTGCCATGGCTTTCTTGTCTTTTTAAACATAGAAATAATATTTAATTTTTATTTACTTATTTATTTTTGTTGAAGTTGACATTATATTTATTTGTTATTTTTATTTATCTTTCATTTTTATTTTAGGTTCAGGGGTACATGGGCAAGTTGATTATATAGGTAAATTGCGTGTCTTAGGGGTTTGGTGTTCAAATTATCTCATCGACCAGTAATAAGTATGGTTTATCTTAGATATGTTTTCGATCCTCAACCTCCTCCCACCCTTCACCCTCAAGCAGGCCCTAGTGTCTGTTGCTCCCTTCTTTGTGTCCATGTGTACTCAATGTATAGCTCCCACTTATAAGTGAGAACATACAGTATTTGGTTTTCTGTTCCTGCGTTAGTTCACTTAGGATAATGACCTCCTGCTCCATCCATGTTGCTGCAAAGGACATGAATTCATTTTTTTCTATGACTGCATAGTATTCCATGGTGTGTATGTACCACATTTTCTTTATCCAGTCTACTGTGGATTGGCATTTAGGTTTATTTCATGTTTTTGCTATTGAGAATAGTGCTGCAATGAACATACACATGTGTGTCTTTGTGGTAGAATGATTTATATTCATTAAGGTATATACCCAGTAAAGTGATTGCTTGGTCTAATGGTAGTTCTGTTTTTTTTTTTTTTTTTCTCTCTCTTTCTTTTTTTATTACACTTTAAGTTCTGGGGTACATGTGCAGAATGTGCAGTAGTGTTACATAGGTATATATACACGTGCCATGGTGATTTGCTGCACCCATCAACCCATCACCTACATTAGATATTTCTCCTAATGCTATCCCTTCCCTAGACCCCCACCCCCCGACAGGTCCTGTGTTCCCCTCCCTGTGTCCATGTGTTCTCGTTGCTGAACTCTCACTTATGAGTGACAACATGAGGTCTTTGGTTTTCTGTTCTTGTGTTAGTTTGCCGAGAATGATGGTTTCCAGCTTCATCCATGTCCCTGCAAAGGACATGAACTCATCCTTTTTTATGCCTGCATAGTATTCTGTGGTGTATATGTGCCACATTTTCTTTACCCAGTCTATCATTGATGGACATTTGGTTTAGTTCCAAGTCTTTGCTATTGTTAATAGCACCACAATAAACATATGTGTGCATGTCTTTATAGTAGAATGATATATAATCCTTTGGGTATATACCCTGTAATGGCATTGCTGGGTCAAATGGTATTTCTAGTTCTAGATCCTTGAGAGATCACCACACTGTCTTCCACAATGGTTGAACTAATTTACACTCCCACCAACAGTATAAAAGCATTCCTATTTCTCCACATCCTCTCCAGTATCTGTTGTTTCCTGACTTTTTAATGATCGCCAGTCTAACTGGCGTGAGATGGTATCTCATTGTGGTTTTGATTTGCATTTCTCTCATGACCAGTGATGATGAGCATTTTTTCATATGTTTGTTGGATGCATAAATGTCTTCTTTCGAGAAGCGTCTGTTCATATACTTTGCCCACTTTTTGATGGGGGTTTTTTTTCTTGTAAATTTGTTTAAGTTCTTCATAGATTCTGGATATTAGCCCTATGTCAGATGAGTACATTGCAAAAATTTTCTCCCATTCTGTAGGTTGCCTGTTCACTCTGATGATAGCTTCTTTTGCTGTGCAGAAGCTCTTTAGTTTAATTAGATCCCATTTGTCAATTTTGGCTTTTGTTGCCTTTGCTTTTGGTGTTTTAGACATGAAGTCTTTGCCCATGCCTATGTCCTGAATGGTATTGCCTAGGATTTCTTCTAGGATTTTTATGGTTTTAGGTCTTACATTTAAGTCTTTAATCCATCTTGAGTTGATTTTTGTATAAGGTGTAAGGAAGGGGTCCAGGGTAGTTCTGTCTTAAGTTCTTTGAGGAATCACCAAACTGCTTTCCACAATGGTTGATCTAATTCATATTACCACCAGCAGTGTATAAGCTTTCCCCTTTAGATTAGTGATGCTGAGCATTTTTTCATATGCTTGCTGGCCACTTGTATGTCTTCTTTTGAAAAGTGTCTATTCATGGCCTTTGCCCATTTATTAATGGAGACTTTTTTGCTTGTAAATTTAAGTTCCTTATAGATTCTGGATACTAGAATATTGTCAGATGCACAGTTTGCAAATATTTTCTCCCATTCTGTAGGTTGTGTGTTTACTCTGCTGATAGTTTCTTTTGTGGTGCAGAAGCTCTTTAGCTTATTTAGGTCCCATTTGTCAATTTTTGGTTTTGTTGCAATTGCTTTTGGTGTCTTTGTCATAAAATCTTTGCCAGGGCCTATGTCCAGTATGGTATTTCCAATGTTATCTCCCAGGGTTTTTATAGTTTTAGGTTACACATTTAAATCCTTAACCCTTCTTGATTTAATTTTTTATTTAGTGAAAGGAAGAGGTCTAGACTCAATCATCTGCATATGGCTAACCAGTTATCCCAGCACCATTTATTGAATAGGGAGTCCTTTTCCTATCGCTTGTTTTTGTCAGTTTCATCAAAGATCAGATGGTTGTAGGTGTATGGCTTTATTTCTAAGCTTCTTATTTTGTTCCATTGAGCTGTGTGAGATTGTATGACTTTTTTTTTTTTTCTTTTCCAGTAACGTGCTGTTTTGGTTACTGTAGCTGTGTAGTATACTTTGAAGTAGGGTAATGTGATGCCTCCAGTTTTGTTCTTTTTGCTTAGGATTGCCTTGGGTATTTTGGCTCTTTTTTGATTCCATGTGCATTTTAAGACTTTTTTTTCTAATACTTTGAAAAATTACACTGGCAGTTTGATAGGAATAACATTGAATCTGTAAATTGCTTTGGGCAGTATGGCCATTTTAATAATATTGATTCTTCTTATTCATGAGCATGAACAATTTTTCATTTGTTTTTGTTATTTCTCACTTCTTTGAGCAGTTTAATAAGGCTTCTTGTAGAGATCTTTCACCACCCTGGTGAGCTGTATTCCTAGGTATCTTATTGTTTGTGGCTATTATAAATGGGATTGCATTCTTGATTTGGTTCTCAGCTTGGACATTGTTAGTGTATAGACATGGTAATGATTTTTATACTTTTATTTTGTATCCTTAAACAGCTGAAGTTCTTTATCAAATCTAGGAGCTTTTCGGCACAGACTATGGGGTTTTCTAGGTATAGAATCATATCATTGGGAAACAGATATAGTTTGACTTCCTATCTTCATATTTTGATGCCTTTTATTTCTTTGTCCTAATTGCTCTGGCTAGGACTTCAAGTACTCTTTTGAATAGGAGTGGTGAGAGTGGGCATCCTTGTCTTATTATAGTTATCAAGTATAATGCTTCCAGATTTTATTCGTTATGATGTTGTCTGTGGGTTTGTCATAGATAGCTCTTATTATTTTGAGGTATGTTCCTTCTGTGCCTAATTTTTTGATGATTTTGAACATGAGGGGGTGTTGACTTTTATTGAAAGCCTTTTCTGCATGTATTAAGATAACCATGTGGTTTTTGTCTTTAGATCTGTTTATGTGATGAATCACATTTACTGATTTGCACCTGTTGAACCTACTTTGCATCCCAGGGATAAAGCCTACTTGATTGTGGTGGATAAGCTTTTTGATGTGCTGCTGGATTTGGTTTACACGTATTTTCTTGAGGGATTTTGCATTGATGTTCATCAAGGATATTGACCCAAAGTTTTAGTATTTCTGTGTCTCTGCTAGATTTTGGTATCAGGATGATACTGGCTTCGTAGAATGAGGTAGGGAGGGATCCCTTCACCTCAGTTTTTTGGAATAGTTTCAGTTGGACTAGTATCAGCTCTTCTTTATAATCTGGTAGAATTTGGCCATAAATTCATCTAGTCCTTGGGTTTTTCTCATTGGTAGGCTTTTTGTTACTGATTCAGTTTTGGAAACCATTATTGTTTTATGCAGGCATTCAGTTTCTTCCTGGTTTAGTCTTGGGAGGTTGTATTTCCAGGAATTTGCCCATTTGTTCTAGGTTTTCTAGTTTATGTGCCTGGAGATGTTTATAGTAATTTCTTAGAGTTTTTTGTTTTTAGATGGGGGTCAGTGGTAATGTCCTATTTGTCATTTCTGATTGTGTTTATTTGGAACTTTTCTCTTTTTTTCTTTATAAGTCTATCTAGTGGTCTAACAATCTTATTTATTCTTTCAAATTACAAATTCCTGGATTAACTGATCTTTTATCTGGTTTTTCATATCTCTGTTTCCTTCAGTTAAGCTCTGATTTTGGTTATTTTCTTGTGTTCTGCTAGATTTGGAGTTGGCTTGCTCTTGTTTTTCTAGTTCCTATAGGTGTAAAGTTAGGTTGTTAATTTGAGATCTTCCTAACTTTTTGATGTGGCCATTTTGTACTATAAACTTTCCTCTTAACACTGATTTAACTGTGTCTCATAAATTCTGGTATATTGTATCTTTGTTCTCATTCATTTCAAATATGAATGAAATGTCTTCATTTCTGCCTTAATTTCATTGTTTACCCAAAAGTCATTCAGGAGCAGGTTATTTAATTTCCATGAAATGGTATGGTTTTAAGTTATTTTCTTAGTATTAATTTCTATTTTTATTGTACTGTGATCTGAGAGTGTGGTTGGTATGATTTCAGTTCTTCTGAATTTGTTGAGAATTGTTTTATGGTCCATTGTGTGGTTAATTTTAGAGTATGTGCCATGTGTAGATGAGATGAATCTGTTGTTTTGAGGTGGAGAGTTCTGAAGATATCCATTAGGTACATTTGGTCAAGTGTCAAGTTAAGGTCCTGATTATCTTTGTTAGTTTTCTCTGCCTTTATAATCTTTCTAATACTGTCATTGTGGTGTCAAAGTCCCCCACTATTATTGTGTGGTTATCTAAACCCCTTTGTAGGTCTCTAAGAACTTGCTTTATGAATCCGGGTGCTCCTGTGTTGGATATGTATATATTTTGGATAGTTCGGTCTTGTTGAATTTAATCCTTTCCCATTATGTAATGACCTTCTTTGTATTTTTAATTGTTGCTGGTTTAAAGCCTGTTTTGTCTGAAATTGGAATGACAACCCTTGCTTTTTTTCTGTTCTCCATTTGTTTGGTAAATTTTTCTTCATCCCTTTATTTTGAACCTATGGGTGTCATTGCATGCGAGATGGGTCTCTTGAAGACAGCATACTGTTGAGTCTTGCTTCTTTATACAATTTGCCTTTTAAATGGGGCATTGGGCCCATTTATGTTCAAGGTTAATATTGATGTGTTTGAATTTGATCCTGTCGTCACGTTTCAGATGTCTATTATGCAGACTTGATTGTGCATTTGCTTTATAATGTCAGTGGTCCATGTACTTAAGTGTGTTTTTGTGGTAGCTGGTAGTGGTCTTTCCTTTCCATATTTAGCACTTCTTATAGGACTCCCAGATCTCATAAGGCAGATCTGGTGGTACAGCCCCCTGGGCCTCACCAAGCAGAGATGGAGCAGTGGAAGCAGTGGCTTTCTTGCACCTCCCAAGATTCTATCAAGACCCAATTCCAGTACTGCTTATTCCCTGAATTGTTCCTATAGATCTCCAGTCTAATTATTCCATCTGACCCTCCTTTAAATCCATAGCCTTTGCTGTCCATACCATTCATGTGTTAACCTTGTCAAATATTTATCCTGTGATAAAATCATCACTCATGGTGATGGTGAATACATAACAAAGTAAAGATGTTAAAAGAGAAAGTCTGTTAGCCTAGACACTTCATTATAGAATCAGTCCCTCATTTAATAACCATATGATTGGGCAAGTCACTGGATTTTTTTGAATCTAAATTTGCTAATTCATCAGGGAAGAGGATCACACTGAACTTCTTACCTTAGGATATTTGGAGTTGAAATGAGGCATGAAAAAAAGGTTTAAGATTATAAAGTGCTATGTTATTTTAAGGCATTTTAATCTAATGTAGGGGTAATAATAGCATATATTAAACATGTTTTACATTAAATTTTTTATATTAATTGTCCTATGTAATCAGTAGAAACCCTATGAAGTAAAGGTCATTATTATCTCTATTTTATAGATAAAGATTCTGAAGTATTTAGAAGTTAAACAATATACTCATGATCATACCATTAGGAAATGAGAGAACCAGGCTATGAACATATGCAGGTTGGCTCCCGAAGCCGTTATATTTGGGTGAATTCTGCTATATTACTTTCCATAAAGCTAAATTAAAAAGGTCTCTTGAGGAGGCAATGTCACTGGCATACCACAAGAAAATCATCCCCTTTATACTCATCATTAAAAATTATGTATTCTGGAGTGGCCTGATGAAACCCAAACAGCACTTTCAGATTATTTCCCTGGAGAGGAAACACTCCATGTAATTCTTATATTTTCTAACTACTCCTCCCTAATAATATTTGCTATTATGATAATTGGTGATTGCTCCTAGTATATAAATGCCTCATCATTATCTTTTGATGTTATCAGGGAAATTTCCTTGCAAACCTTGTAAACTGGGATCTTGTACTTTGCCACCATGGCATCATCTGCATAACAGGTTTGTTTCCTTTACACTCAAGCCTAAAACCAATTTTGTTACATTCCATAGATTCTCCTTTGTTTTTTTCCCACACCTATCTCCCTAGGAATTAATTTAATTAGACTGTCATGTAAATCAACAAGGGAACAACATGTGTAGTTTTCATTCTTATTGGGAGCATGAATTCTTCTTAAGAGAATTATGAAAAACATAAATTTTAAGAATTTATTCCATGTGTACATATAAATATCAAATGTAAATATAAGAAAAATGAAAGAAGATAGGTTCAAAATGGACTTACCCTTTACTAATTGTGTGTCATCTCTTTATTCTATGCAGATTTTTAGGATTTCTTAATATTATCAGTATTTGAGATTTTCATAAATACTAAACATTTTCAAGGTGGACTTCTGAGCAAAGTATCATGTGATAGGGTGTCTAATAGATTAAGAACTCTTTAATAAGAGTTAACATTGGACTGAAAGATGACTAAGTGTTAGATATATGCATAAAGTATGCTATGAAGTAGTCATCATTGTTATCACCATTGTACATTGAGAAGAATGGGGCTTAGAGAAGATAAACATATCCATTAGTAGAGCTGGGATTTCAGCCCAGGCTTAAGTCCATCAACAGGATCTTTAATTCTAACCACCATGCTTCCAAAAGAAAGACTACATTACCCAACTAGATACATCATCAAGCCATTTTTTTTTATCATCTAGCTCAGCAACTCTTTTCCTGCATGAATGTCATTCCAAATCAGGAATATATCCATATTTGTTGAAGATTTATCATGGATCTAGTAGTACCCCTTTACCACACAGTAAAAAGATAACAAACTGTTATAGCTCATTCAAAATATATAAAGTTGCAAATTATATTTAGAATAATTAGGACTCATAGAACCAAAGATTATGCTGCCTTATCCTATTTCTCATTCTCAAGATCTCACTTTAAATAGAATTACCTCTTTTCAAGGAAACATAATCTCTATGAAGATTAAATTTTATCCTTAATTCTATCTATGCAGTGAATCACATTTATGATTTGCAGATGTAGAACCAGCCTTACATACGTGGAATAAAACCCACTCAATCGTGGTCTACTATATTTTGGTTGTGCCGCTGGATTCAGTTCGCAAAAATTCTATTAAGGATTTTTGCTTTTTTTGTTTTATTTATTTATTTTAATTTTTATTTTAGCTTTGGGGGTACATGTGAAAGTTTGTTAGATATGTAAACATGTGTCATGGGGGTTTGTTCTGCGTATTATTAAACCACCCAGGTATTAAGCTCAGTACCCAACAGTTATCTTTTCTGCTCTTCTCCTTCTTCCCACAATCCCACTTCAAGTAGACCTGGTGTCTGTCATTTCCTTCTTTGTGTTTGTAAGTTCTTATCATTTATCTCCCACTTATAAGTGAGAACATGCAGTATTTGGTTTTCTGTTCCTATGTTAGTATCAGTGTTCATCAGGGACATTAATCTGTAGTTTTCTTTTTTGGTTGTGTCCTTGTCTGGTTCTGGTATCAGGGTGATACTGGCTTTGTAGAATGAGTTAGGGAGAATGTTCTCATCCTTGATTTTTTGGAACAGTTTCATGAGGATTGGTACCAGTTCCTTGCACATTTACTAGAATTTGGCTGTGAATCCATCTGGTCCTGGGTTTTGTTTTTGTTGGGAGAGTGTTTATTGCTGATACAGTCTCACTGCCCATTATTGGTCTATTCCCCACTTCTGTTTCTTCCTGGTCCAATTTTAGGAGGTTGCATATTTTCAGGAATTTCTCAGCATCAGTCATGCTCTGCTGCAATTGCCTGTTAAAGGCAATATTATCATTTTCCTTCTAAACCTGGAATAGTAAGCACTGTTTGTGAGAAGTCAGATCTACTTTGTGCTGTTCCTCTGCCAATATTGAGTTGCTTATCTCTATTGACATATGCAGCTTCTCTCTGAGCCTGGATCTAGACCTGTAAAATGTAATTAACTGTATATAAATTATCTTTTAAGAAGAGAATCAAATATCAAATTTATCTACAAAGTTAGGCAGAAAAAAAGTATAAGCCAGGTATGGTGGCACACACCTGTAGTCCTAGCTACTCGGGAGGCTATGATGAGAGGATCACCTGGGCCTAGGAGTTTGATGCTGCAGTGAGCTATGATCGTGCCATGCACTCCAGCCTGGGTGACAGAGTGAGACCTTGTCTCTAAAAAAGTATTTTTACTATTATTATTATATAATAATTTAGAAATATAAAGAAAGTTCCATCTTAAAACCAGATGTTCAGAGCTCTAGCAGCTTTCTTATTGATGATCTGCCATTCCCACCCTGTCTTTACCAAGAAATGAACCAAGCTTCGTTTAGGAAACATCAGGTTTCACTTACTTTTAATGTAATCACTTTTGAGCATTTTTCCTATTTTCTTTAATTTTCTATTTGCTTTTACTAAAAGTGAAATGATTTTCTTACAACTTAAAATGTAAGCTTTAGACCACAGGTAAGAAATATAAAAGAAAATATAAACTGTATGAAAGCAGGGATATTTTTTGCTTTTTATTTGCTGATGTATTTGTAACAATTAGAGAAATATCTGCCACATGGTAGCACAAAAACATTGCTGAATAAACTGAACAAGTGTAATGCAATTCAGTGCTAATTTCCAAAGAAAGTATATGTATATACTATACCACATGCTAGATATAGTGCTGGGTGATTTATGTATACTACTTCATGAAAGTAGCACAAAAATGTTAAGAGGAAACTACCTTTAAGAAAAAATATGCATTATCCTATGTTATATAACTTTTAGAATAACTTTTTGATAGCTGAAATCATAAATGTGATAGTTTCCACTTGTGAGAATTTCAAACTAGATAATTTTGCTAATCTCTATAATAAACATAAAAAGAAGGCACCATTCTCATTTTAGAGATGAGGACACCAAGACACAGAGAATAAGAGCTTAGGGCCAATGACCATTATATCTCCATCATTCATTCCCTGGCATCACTCTCACATTCTCTGGTGCCTCAGTCCATTGGTCACTTCTTCCATCTCATCCTGAGATCTTCATTTATCTCTCTTCAAGTGCACATGGGGCCTTGAAATATTGAATATTTTTAAATGGAGAAATGGCTTTTATCTAATATGTGGGAACACAAAGACAACTAGGATTGCGATCTCTGGCATTCTAGTGGAATAAAAGATTATTAACAAGTGTTCAGGACTTCTCCAAGTATTAGGAAGTTTACCAAATACCTTATTTAATATGCAATATAACTACTGTGAAAACATCTTAACCAGCTTTTCTCTGTATTTATTTCACTAGAGAGCCTCTTTTAAGAGTTGCTACCATTTAGGTAAGTATACTAATTTCAGTTCTCTGGTGGATGATACTATCCACTACAGATAGATACCAATGTCTAGGGCACACATTTGTAGTGATTTTCTAATACAAAACATTTCTTTCTCATAAAATATGTAGCTGCATGATGAAACTGGAGGGAGCCATGCCACTTCTCTGATACTTCGTTACCATAGATCTAAACTTCATTGTGTATCTTTAAAATGCCTCTTTTAGATAAGATTCTTTAAAAATAAGACAATGAAAAATAAGCTCTTGAATTTAACACCATAGGAAATAATTGTCTGATTAGGACCAGACTATAATATCTGTAAAATATATGTCTTTATAAACACTTGTCTCATTAATAAATTTCCTACTTAAAATTTGAATTACATATATAAAAGTAAGATGTTCTTGCTGAAAAATAATTTCCTAATGAGCAGCAAAGTCATACAATCTATTTAGCAGAGTTATTACAGTTATTACTAATAAAATCGGCCTCCATTTGAATGTGGAGAAACTGCATTGGTTCCAATAGCAATTATACATTATCCTTAAATTACATATTGAAACTTGGTGGATTTATGCCAAGATGTAATCAGAAGGAATCATGAGGTGAGCAATTTTCAGAGCTCAATTTAATTCAACATCTTTTTAACTGCCTCTTCCAAGATTATAATTACATTTAACAATTGGTTTGATTGAAGGAGAAAAAAATCATACTGCTTTATTGACCACCATTTTACATACTTGTTTGAATGGCATTGCATGTGATATAATTTGTAATAAGGCCAATTATGAGAAGGGCAGGAACACCAGTATTTTTTAAATTCTGGTGGAATGTTTTAAAATTTTAATATAAAAAGTTAAAGGGCCCTCTTTCTAGAACTCAGTGTCACAGAATAGATATATTTTTCCCTATTTATCACAGCAATTAGTGCATTAGTTGACCAGATAGAGAATGGGATGTTGAGTAGAACAAAGGGTTGAATTTTGGAATCCGTTCCTTACAATCTCAGTTAAATAAGGCAAGGCGTTTGGCTAATAATGCTTTTTTACACCTAAAACGAGAATTATAAGCTTGCTTTACATGATTTTCAGGAAAAGTAAACTATGTATATGTTTATATACACCATATATATTTATATGTGCCACATGTATGTTTACATATACCATATATTTACTTATGCTATATATACACCAGTATACATATACCATATATGCATACCATATAGATATCATGTATGTGTGTACATGTTTGTATGTGTATATGTGTGTGTATCTCCTATGTTAGGAGACAGTTCTCCATGACTGTGTCACACTTTTACACATCTTGTGACAGCTTTTATTCCAGACTATCTTTCCAAGTATATTTGTAGAGCAAAGAGCCTTGAAAAATAGAGGTAATATTTCCCTCCGAGACACAGGGCATATTTCTTTCCTTCTGAGCATAATAAAGATATAGTCTTCCTTTGAGGCAAAGGTTAGGTGGGTTTGCTGTTAGCTCCCTTATAATATTGTGGATCTCCTAAGCTTGATGCTACTCAGTGCGACACAAACTGACTGCGTGCACGTCATCCATCTGGGCATGTTCAACATTACCCTTTCCATGGAATTGGAGGGCAAGGAAGATCATGTGAACATGATGTTTATGTTGCTTGCTGTGCCGTGAGTAATAAATTCCTTTGTCTCTGATCCCAGAGTCATGTACTCTGCTGGCATCTATGAAACTGGGGCAAGCTAACTTGTTAGACTGTAGCAAGGGTAACATTTCAGTGCCACCACAGTTCTTGACACTGAGGCACTTAACAGAGGAAGATATTATTTCTTCCCATTTTGAATCATGTGATTAAAAAAAACTGGCATGAAAGAAAAAGACATGAATGGCCTTACTTTATGTGTAAACTTTATATTATCACCAAGGAAGCATTCCTGAAATTACAACTGACGTGTATATGTCTAATAAGCATTGCCCAACCTCTCTTATTTCCTCCTTATGTTTTTCCTTTACTTTATTTAAATAAATAGTGTTAGCAGAAAAAATTAGAGAGAAAACCCAAATGCTTGACTTAACCAGAGAACCAGGATTTGGGGGTACTTAATATTTCTGTAAACAGAGAAAACCGGGAGCTGAAACCCAGTCACGGCTCATCCCACTGGCTAAGCTGGCAAAATATGCAAATCTGTTTTTAGCCATTTTGGTGGGGGAAAATATAGTTTTTTGATAGTCCTTTTTAAAAGGAAAATCTGGGTAATAATTGCCACTTGGAAACAATATATAAATGGCAGGTTAAATATTTTAATTAGGTCCTTCTTTCACTAATCTATGCAACTGTGAGTAAAACCCTTTATTTCATGATCACATTATATTAGCTAATACCACCACTATGATTGTAAAATAAATGTAAATGAGAAATATTCCACAAATCTTTTTTTCTTCCTTTTTTTCTGCTTAAAAATAACAAATAGCAGAATTCTCTTTGTTTCTTTAGGAGATTAAAGAACCTCTATCTGTTTCATAGCTCAAAGTAGAAATCAAATCAAAACATAGCAATTCTTTCATTAAAGTATAAACTATGCCTCTCTTTTTCCATTAAATGCCTTTGGCATGAAATAAAACTGGGTTTGGCTATGTTGAGGCAAGACATTGGGAAGAGCAGCAAGCACACCCTGTCACTGCCTACCTGAAATATAAAGCTGCCTCTTTAATACCTAAACTCTTACTTAGTGTAAGAATTCCAGGCAATGAGACAGCCTGGTTGGCAAAACAAAAAACAAAAACAACAACAACAACAACAAAAACCAACCAGTCAGTTATTGATGTTTGTTCATGTTTTCCTTGCAGTAACTTTTTGAAAAACAAATGCTTGATGCTAGTGGGTAAAAACAACCATTACGAATTGATGAATCAGGGAGACACTGAGTATCCACTACATTGTCAGCACTGGGTGGATGCTTATTTAAAATCCCCCTGATTGATTAACTGATGATGCTTGTTTCTATCCACTAGTATCAGTAAGTGATTTTATAGTTCCTTAATATTTTTCTGATAAGGAAATAAATTAAAATTTGCTGAAATTTAATACAGATATAAAATAAGATAGAGTGTCGATATTTAACATTTTATACTTCCAAATTGTCATCAAAACTGTTGTGAATAATATATCACTAGGGAGTTCACCTTTTAGATTTGTGAAATAGCTAATTGATGTATAAAGTACTTCAATAGGCTTCATGTTATTTATCTTATTTGCTTTGTGCATTAACTGTGCTATAATAGGATCAAGGTTCAACTACATTTGAATATATTTCAAAAATTCAGTTCATAAATTAACTTCAATAGCTAAAATAGGAGCCATTATATGTGACATTGTTAACATTTAAATTTGAGGGATGGTACCAGGATCTTTTTTTTTTCATGATTAGGGCAAACTGCTGCACTGATCATTTTAAAGTACATTTTAACATTCAGGAATCACCGTATTTACATATTAAAAGCTAGGAAACCAAGCCTGGTGCTGCGCCTACACTCTCAACTACTGTGGAGGCTGAGGCAGGAGGATCACTTGAGCTCAAGAGTTTGAGTCCACTGTGGGCAACAGATCAAGACTTTATCTCTGAAAAAAACAAAAACAAAAACAAAAACTAGTGAACCAGAGAGCTTATAACATTTGCCTATGATATTTAGAAGATGGGGCATTTGTAAGAATCTGTCATGTCTTAGAAACACCTAGACTAGTATCTTAACAACTTATTGCACAACCTCCAAAAAAAAGTAATTAAAGAAGAAGAGGAAGAGAATGGCATGTGAATAAGCTGTACTGAGGTGGGGATTTCCTAGCATCAGGTATTATACATTCTATTGGTTGGTTCTTAGTTCTTACCATCAGGGTTGATGGTGGGTATCTGCTGATAAATGCACTAAACACATTTTTAAAAATACATTTTCTCCCATACATTACAGCAGTAAATAAGTTGATAACTTTGATTTGGCCTTCAAATCATAGCCTTAGAAATTCTTAATGGAAGGAACTTTGTCATTAATGTGAAAGTGTTAAGCATATTGCAAAGAGTCATGCGATTAAATGTAGTAAACTCATGGCATATACAATATTTTGTCAGTCTTTCCTAAAAAATTTGGAATGTTTTTAGTATAAAGTTTCTGGAAGATTTATTATTATTATTTATTATTATTGCCTGATTTTAAAGATTCAAAAACAGTTTTACAAGTTTGCCCATGTGCTCAACTGCTATCTGTGTATGTTGTGATTGGTTTATTTGTAAAATGCATTTCAAGGTAAGTTCTCATTTAAAGGGATGTATATCATAATTCAAATGTGTTAAGCTACTGAGATTCTCTTTCTGGTTTGAAAGGATGATAAATACAGTACAGGTCCCATCCCCTTTAAAAAAAAAAAGCCCAAAGAATCACTATTAAACAACCCAAAATAAATGATTCATTTTGTCTTTATAAATTTGTGGACACAATGATATGAGCTTTATATGCCAACTTGTACTTTTTATGAAGAACTGCCACCAAGTGGACATTTAACGCAAATTTAGCTTACTGCTTAAAACTTTGATGAACAAGATATTTGAAATAGTCATTTATAACCTACATTACCAGTTGTTACTCTAAATGGCAACCTAGTAACCAAGTATCAAGGTGAAGACAAACACAGGAGAAACCTTTAAAAACTTAAAATTTGAACATAACGTAATTCTGCAATCATAAATATTTACATATTTTACATTTGGCAACAAGTTCACTGTTAACAATTCTATTGCATGCAAAATGTCTAACTAAGTAAAATCTATGTTATGTGTCAACTTCCTTATTTGTAAAATGGAGATATCATCAATAGCATCTACCTCACAGGGCTATTGTGAGAAATAAATGAGTCATTGTAAGTAGAGCTCTTAGAACTGCAGTTAGCTGGAATTGCTCAGGTCCTTACTAGTCCTATTACGAGGTCAATGGTTTTTAATGAGTGAGAAAAGTCCCTTTTAGGGTCTTATCAGAATTGCTTGGGAAACTCCCAAATTGAAGCCATTTCCCCCCTGTAAAATCTCCCGCAAGCTCTAATGGGTTATGCTCCCATCCCCCATTCTTCCTTCTCATATTCATATGCTGAATCCATTTCCCACAAACCTCTTTACTGATGACAATGAGTTAAATACCTCATGTGTACCATTGCAAACTAATTGTTCAGAAACCTCTTCTAGAAGCTAAAAAGCCAATTGTTCTAACTTGTAGGAGAATTCAAATAAAAGGAGAGACACTTTGTAAATGCTGCAAAGAAGATGTATGAGTTTCCTTTCGGTTCTGTAACAAATTACCACAAACTTAGTATCTTTTTAAACAACATGAATTTACTTTGTTACAGATGTGGAGGTCAAAAATCTGAAATAGCTATTACAGGGTTGAAGTCACATGTTCCTGGACCAAACTGAGGGTCAGGCTGCTATTTTCTGTGGCCCAATAATGAGATGCAGATGAACTGGGGAGGAAGAGAGTTTTTATTTCTGCAACAAGTTACATGGAGAAGGCCTGGAAATTATCACCAGAGCAACTCAAAATTACAAAGTTTTCCAGAGCTTATATATCTTCTAAGCTATATTTCTACATTTAAGTGTGCATTTATCTAAAGACATAAGTGATTAACTTCTTTTAATCCATAACTAAGGTCTAAGTCCTAAAGACTTCCTCTGGAGCCTCAGTAAACTTACTTAATCCAAATGGGTCCAGGTGCTGGGGTGATTACCCTTATCTCGTCTGCTTCTAAATTACTCAGGTTTGGGGAGTTCCTTTAGAACCCCAACAAACTAGTTTGTAGAGGCCTGGGGAGTTTTTTCAGATCCCCAATAAAACTTGTTGAATTCTAAATGGATCCTGTTAAGAATTCCTTTGTTATTTTATCATGCTTTAAGGTCCAGGAAAGACCTAGGCAAAACTCTCGGTGGGCTTTTGTTACATTTCAGTCTTTACAGGGCACTGGCTTTTTCAGCTTTTAATATTCAACTTAACTACTCAGTCGGTGCTGAAACAGTTGTTATGGAGGCCTGCAATAGTGAGACCTGGCCTGCAGCAATCCCCACTGTCAATTTGCGCATGATTTCTATCATGCTTGTAAATTTATTTACCATGATAATTGTAGGGAGTTGTCTTTCTGGCAACTTCCTGCTGAGAGAGGGTCATTGCTATGGGGCACCAAACTCAGTGCTGGAGTGGAAGAGATCAGTTTGTTCCTGGTAGCACTCCCTGTTTTGGGGGCTTAGAGGAAGTTCCTGCTGAAGCATAATAGTATGCAACAGCAACCCATAAATAGGTTGCTGGTGGTTTCTTCTGAAGTTTAAGTTGTTGAGTCTTCAGTTCACAGGGCTTTAGGAAAGCACAGCTTAGGTCTCAGTTATTTCCAATTAGGAAAAATGGGGGAAAAGGGAAAGAGAAAGGAAAAAATTGAAAACATTATTTTGGAGAATTGTAGCAAGAAAAATTAGAATTTAATCCAAACTGTAGAAAATAATAAAAATTGAAAAACATCAGGCAAGCCTAGAATTTAACAACAGGTATACTATAGCTTTTGAAACATTTTTCTCTCTTCAGTTTCCCATTTTTATTAAAAGACAAATCATAGTAGGACTGGTTTACTTTATTATAGTTGGCCTAATTATTTGGATACAGTGCAGCAAGAATAACTATTTTTCACATAGTCCTTTTAAACTGGCTTTGATGGAACTTTGTTCTGTAGAAGGAATCTGATATAAGACCTTTTTAAAGCTGAGCCCTGCCATGGATTTGTACCATCAAATACCTATGAGTTGGGTGAGTTCCTTTCCTCTGAAGGTTACAAGATAACTTGAGGTCCCTGGCTTGTAAGAAAGTGACATTCTTTACTTACCACAGATCAGAAACCCTGTACAGGGACTGTGTACACAAAATATGAGGCCAGTTTTCCAAGGGCTTTATTGGTGCCAGAAGTCAAGTTTGATTCCCTAAGAGAGAGCATAGCATTCCAATCAAAGCCTTGGTAAAATAACCAGTTTTTTAAAAATTGTGTTCTGTTACAAAATAAAACAGATTCTTATTGCACTTATGCAAATAACTATATTGCCATAAATTAAGAATACTCACAAATAGTTTCAGATATTTGGAAGAATCAGGTAGAGAGAAACAAATATGCTTCAAATTTTGTGGAGTATACTTTACTTAATTGTTAAAAGCTGTTAATAGCTCAAAAGAAAAGTTTCCTTTACTCTGAAAAGCAAAATAAAAGATTAGTAACATTTTAAGCAAAAAGTCAAAAAGATCATTTCAGTCTCCTGTTAGTTCAGTTCATGAAGTTAATTCCTGTCCTGCTTAATATTAACAAATATTTTAGCTTTTCAAGAGTCCTGAACGTTTTTCCTTTATTCTGATGTCACAATCTCCAAAGTTATCAGAAACCTGCATTTAAGAGCACCTGTTAGAACTTTATAGCTGATTATAAAGCCACCCTCTAAAGAGGACAAAAACAAGACAACAATTGTTTATGGATGACAAAAAGTTTTAGGGTAGCCATAAAGACACAATTGACAAGGAAATCTGTTATCTCTGTGGCACAAAATAATTTAACATAAAAATTTTAATTATTAATAACATACACTAAGAGATATAGAATTATAGGAGTTTCCCACAATTTTGGAACACATACTAATGATATATTTATACAAATACAGCCCAAAGAAAGCCAGACCCCATTTTATATTTGTCAATGCTTCCTGTATGGTTTTTGGTACCAAATAAACCAAATTTCACCTTTACATTAGTGTACTATTAATGTTAAACTCAATTCTTAATAAAGCATTATAGACATATTTACCAAATTTTAATATTTGACCATAAGGCAAGATTTTTATAGACCTTTTATAACCTTTTACAATTTTTGTTAAAGAGCACATTAGCGCTCCTAAGAGAAACCTGTTGTGTTTTTATTTTAATGCTCAATTTACAGAAAAACTGGATAATACTCCTTTAACTTCAGCCAATATGTTTACACACAGAATTTCCTTTACATCAAACTTCCACAACTTGCTTAAACTTTCATCTTTATTTTATCCAATTTAAAACAATCCTTTAGGCTTTTAATCTAGGCACAAATCCACATTCTCATGCCTCCTTATAATCTGTTTACCAAAAGTATATTTTACTTTCCTTACACACCTTACAGATAAACTATTCCTTCAGTAGTCTTAAATACACATTACATTGTTAACTCTTAGCAACCTTTACTTTTGGTGAAAACCTTGGTAAGTTTGGGATTTTAATTATGTACTAGGTGTGGAGCCTAGGACCTAGACAGAAGCGCAGATAAGGTTTGACTTATCCCAGCATCTAACTCCATGTGTCCCAGGCCTTATCTAGCTGTAAAGCAGGCAATTTGTACAGGTAAGAGTCACAGTGGCATTTGATAAAGCATTTAGAAGGCCTAATCACCTTTAAGTTGTACAACATTTCTTGCATAAATTCCCTTTTCATAAATTATTTCATGACTTTCACAGACAAGCTATGACATGCCTTGACTTTCTGACTTGTCCTAAATGACAGAGCAGGAGCACCGTCATCTTGGACAAACACCACCACTTTAAGTTCCAGCTCTCTTGCTAACCTCATACATTTCAAGGAAATCACTTCTCTTCCAGGAACAAGCAGACAGAAAGAGTAGACAATAAAGCACAGATAAGGAGAGGTGAAACTGACTGGGCTTCTGGGTCGGGTGGGGACTTGGGGAACTTGTCTGTCTAGCTAAAGGATTGTAAACACACCAATCAGCACTCTGTGTCTAGCTAAAGGTTTGTAAATGCACCAATCAGCACTCTGTAAAAACTGACCAATCAGCACTGTGTAAAATGGACCAATCAGCGCTCTGTAAAATGGACCAATCAGCAGTACATGGGCAGGGCCAAATAAAGGAATAAAAGCTGGCTACCCGAGCCAGCAGTGGCAGCATGCTGCGGTCCCCTTCCGTGCTGTGGAAGCTATGTTCTTTTGCTCTTCACCGTAAATCTTGCTGCTGCTCACTGTTTGGGTCTGCACTACCTTTATGAGCTGTAACATTCAGTGCGAAGGTCCTGCGGCTTCACTCCTGAAGTCAAGCGAGACCACAAACCCACTGGGAGGAACAAAAAACTCCAGACGCGCCATCTTTAAGAACTGTAACACTCACCGCGAGGGTCAGCGGCTTCACTCTTGAAGTCAGTGAGACCAAGAACCCACTGGAAGGAACCAATCCAGACACAATAAGACAGCTCAGGCATAGAGGGAGGTGTAGGGGAAGTCTCTTGTGTAACTGCCAAACTTCATTCTCATACATTGGGCCAAGTAAAACAGTGGGCCTTAGTAAGCGTGTTCCTTTCCCTTCAGGTGCGCTGAGAAAGGGAAGCTAAAAGCAGACTCTATGATGATATGCCTGCAGCTGCACAAAGATGTGTGGGAACAGACACATAGCTCTCCCTTCCAGATAAGCACAACAAAGAGACACAGAAGCAGTCCAAGCCTCTGATAAACTCACCTGCCCTGAATCCTTAAAAACTCTTAGTCTATAGGAGAAAGGGCCTCTGACCTAACTCAGCCAAAAACCCCTCTCAGGTTTATTCTCTAAAATACACCTGTCTTTAACCATCGAACCACTTTTTGTGTTTCTTTCTTCTTTTTTTAAATTCTTACACTAAACATTCTTCTTTTTAAACAAGCAGTTATTTTACTTTAGGACAAGAATTTACCATGCAAGAGTTTTTCTTATATGAAATCTTTTTTCTTTAATAATTTTTTGCATATTTTATATGTCCCCAGGACTTATCTAGAATTTAACATTCCAAAACAAATTGAACAATTTTTAAGTTAAAGAAGCAGTTTATGACCTAAAGCATTTAGCAAACCTAATATTCAACCTGCATAATTTAGACCAAATGTTTACATTTTTGAAGATATTTTTATTTTACCAATAATCTTTAAAACTCTATTTTTATAACTTTCTTTATATCTCTCTTATTTCCTGGTTTCTCTTACCTTTTTTTGTATATAAACTTTAAATACGCTTCGAATTAGACAAAAATTAGTTACCCTTTTAAAAAGACACAATTTTTAGAAAGAATGCTTTCCTACAATATATTTTTATTGAAAAATACCCGAATACTGAGATATCTGTTTAATTTAATATAACTTTAGGTTCCAAATTATGACATTTGTTTACAAGTATTTATCCCATTACATTTATTTAATTATTTATTTTAATCATTTACCTAGATTATTTACAAAAACTGTGATAGTCATTATTTAAAGTTATGAAACCACCATGGCAAAATTATAACTGAGACGGTGAAAATGATCTGACCTAACTTACTCCATCTTGGGTCTAACTTCCAAGCTATTCTTGTTCATTAACTTAGTTTATAGTTTAGCTTTGAAACAAAGACGATAACAGCCCTTTCCCAGAACAAACTTCCTTCACGTCTGTGGACTAGACTGCCTAAGGTCACAAGATTAGAAGTTAGGGTATTTTACTAAATAATTGAAGATGCAGCTATCTTCATTAAACCAATATTAATGTTTTATTTATTACACAAGCAAAGATCAGTCCGTTTGGGGCTGAGTTATAGTTTTGTAGCCTTTATGCCAAATTTTGACACCTTATAGTATTTGGCAGAAGTAAGTATGAAATTGCTTGAACAATAAATGCAAACAAAAATGTATGCTGGCAACTCTTAAGACATTTCTAATATTATTTTATCAATAATTGTTAAAGCTAGCTTACTTATTGAAGATCTTAGTTTAGTCACATAAACTTGAAAAAGCATTCCTTTTTTATGTTAAAATATTTAAGAACTTTTGTTTTTCTTTGAGACAACCAATTAGAACTCTTTTATGTGAAACATGGTGTACACAAGACATAAATACATAGACATATTAGGCATGCCAATAGATATATATTTTATAGATTCATAAGACCTCCTTTTTCCTATCTTAGACTTGCAAACTCTTGATAACCTGGTTTATTGCTCTGGCACTTGTCAGCTAAGTAGCCCTAAATCTGCATATTAAAGGAAATAACTCTGAGGTGAAAAATCAAATGGCAAGACTAACATCTCAAGGTACACAGAGAAAAAGTCTGGTGGTGCTAGAAGGAGATTAAATATGGATGTGCCAGATCAAACATAAAATTATAGAAATTTAATGTAGGACTGTATAAGGAGATTAACTTTACTTAGATATTGACTACCTGTCTTTTAACTGGATCTTTGAGCTCTGGGCAGAACCCACACTGAATCTTGGGTTTTTCAAAAAGGGAGAATTATTATGAGGCTAGACTATGTGATGTTTTTACAGTGCACTTAAATTTTTTTCCAAACAGAGACATTTCTAACTGTCTAAATTACATTTTTTTCTTAAAAATCCCTGTGTAACTTATGTTGCAATAGCTGTTAATGAAGAAAACAGAATTGAGTCAACTGAGAAGAAAAAAACTTTTGCTCAAAAAGACAAGGTCCTAGGAGAGAAATAAACAAAAACAAAAACAAAAACATGAAGGCCTTTTAAATACAAACATGCACACATGCACACCCATGTATACACATCTTGGATGTTAACTTTTAATTAAGCTGACTTTTAACCATTGAGCTCCTAAAAAAATTTTTTTCCTTCCCAAAGGCCTCTCAGCAGGAATAGACCTGATACTTCTCATTTCCAAGTTCACATGGTATGAAAAGGAATAAGACAGATACACAAACAAGTGGAGACAAATTTTGGACAACACAAGGGGGATTGCATGCAGGCAAAACAGACTCAAAACCAACTCAAAACCTGGTCTCAACCAAAATGCAAAGTGGGTTTATGAGCTCCTCCTATTGCTTCCCTTGGTGGTACCGGACAAACAGTTCAATGAGTCCAGGCTCCCAGCATACGATCCAGTTAACCAACCTTTTGAACACATCTGCCCCTGATCTCTGTTCTTCCCCAGCAGTGAAAGGGACGTGCAGGTTTGCACATGGGACAGCCTACAGGAGGATCCCCAGGAAAATCTCACCAGCAGCTTCTGGGTTCCTCCTGAAGACTGCCTCGTCGTAAGCCGCTGGCCACTGAATGCAAGACCATCCCCGTCTCTCCTGGCTGGCTTGCCAAATTTTGTTCCCAGACCAAACTGAGGGTGGGGCTACTATTTCTCGTGGCTCAATAACAAGATGCAGATGAACTGGGGAGAAAGAGAGTTTTTATTTATCCAACTGGTTACAGGGAGAAGGCCTGAAAATTATCGCCAGACCAACTCAAAATTACAGGTGTTCCTTAGCTTATATACCATCAAAGCTGTATGTCTACATGTAAGTGCGCATTCATTAAATACAAGTGACTAACTTCTTCTGCTCTATAACTAAGGTCTGAGTCCTGAAGACCTTCCTCTGGAGCCTCAGTAAATTAACTTAATCTAAACGGGTACAGGGGCTGGGGTGATTACCCTTATCTTGTCTCCTTCTAAATTATGTAGGTCTGGGGAGTTCCTTTAGATCCCCAATAAACTTGTTTGTGGAGGTCTGGGGAGTTTCTTCAGACCCCCAGTAAAACTTATTTAATCCCAAACAGATCCTATTAGGAATACCTTCATTATTTTGTCATGCTTTAAGGCCCAGGAAAGGCCTAGGCAGAACTCTTCGGTGGGCTTTTGTTACATTCCAGCCTTTGTATAAGGGCACTGGCTTTTTCTGCTTTTAATATTTAACTTAACTACTCAGTCAGTACAGAAACAGTTGTCATGGAGGCCTGCATTAGTGAGACCTGGCCTGCAACAAACAGAGAAACAGGAAAGATATACATTACTTCTAGGAGGAGAATCATTTATTTGTCTATTCCAGCTTCTAGAGGTAGCCAGCATTCCTTGGCTCATGGCCTTTTCCTCCATCTTTGAAGCCACCCATTTTATCACTCTGATATCTGTTTTGTCCTCACATCTTCTCTAATCCTCCTGCCCTCTTCTTTCAATTGTAAGGACCTTTGTGATTACATTGGGCCCACCCAGATAATCCACTGAAACCTCTCCATCTCAAGAGCCTTAATTTAATCACATCTACAAAGCCTTTTTTCCCACATCAGATTAATATATTCACAAGATCAGAACATGAATTTCTTTGGGTGTCTATTATTCCACCTGCCATTGAGGGTAAACTATTTGAATAAGCAACAAGAAGAGTAATGTGTTATCTGGGCTCCTGGGAAATAGAAATCTACATGAATTTCATGAAGTGCCTAATGGAAATCATCAGTAGTTTGAAACCGACAAATCACATGCAAAAGTAGCTACATGGAAATTAGTAGGCAATGTGCAGCTCAGAATCTCATAATCAAGAGTTCATTTCAAAACTTTCTATCAGCCAGTGTGGCAAAGTAGAACCACTTCTATCATTCTCTAGCTGTGTGAGTTTGGGTAATTAGAGCCTCGTTGACCTTTGCTTTTTCTCATCAAAAAGATAAGAAAGATGTTCTAAAAATATTATACATAAAAATGATATACACAGAATGCCTGTCTTACTGCCTGATACATTCGCTATTATAACAGTTTAGTAACAATCAATTTAAATGATCTAAAGATTTTTCGATGCTTTGGTAGAACACTATATGTGTCAGAGAACTATGTGGGTTAATGTTAAAATCATCATTCTTTTTGGGTTCCTACGTGTTGTTCATATTGGTTTTTGCTTCTATGATTGTAAGGCAATGCTGCTTGGTAGGGTGAGCCCAGAGTAATTTCTATTAGTAAGGGTAAGACTATTAATAGCTAACAAGCAGTGAGTACTTAAAATTATGCTACACACTGTTCTAAATGTTTTGCAGGTTTCATCTCTTTAATCCTCACAATGACCCTATTAGCACATGGTTTGTAATTTGTCATCATCTTGGCAGGGCTCTTCTCATGCTAAGACATGACTCACAGGCATGTTACGCAAAATTGATTTGCTAATCAAAGGAAAAAATTAGAGTGAAATGGAATGTAATATCACTTTAGAAAATGTCTGGAATTACTTTGTCAAAAACGTGTAGCTGAAAGATTGTGAGTTATGTAAACCCACTTGCCTGAGTAATCCACTTTCCAGTACTATCTATTTTCATAAATTGTTTAAAATTTTCACAGGCAGAGCCCCCAAAGGCAGGAGGACAATCTAATTTCAGCCTTCAAATCAAACATATGTGTTTAGAGTAGGTCTTTGTAATATTTCTCTCTTGTCCTGCCCTTTTCTTTTAGTCAGTGGCTGCTTCTGTTTAGTGGGTAAAACCTCGCATGGCTGCCAGATTTGTCATTCTACCTAAATGCTGCTTGTAGTGAACTGAGTAAAACAGGGACCGGAATTAGATACTTTGATATCTGACAAGTAGATGAGAGTTAGGAAAAAAAAAAAAAATCCCTCCAGCATAAACACCACCTATAGAGATGAACCCAAAGTGTGTCTAACACATCTTACATCACTGACTGGAAATTCACACACTTACTGCATGTCAATGAGCAAATCAAAGATAGATAAGCAAATTAAAATATATACTTTCTTATCTGTGAATGCTTAAATGAAAGTGACCTAAAAGAATATTAACATACATTTTCTAAAAGCAAATATCTATTTGTGATCATTTTTAGTACAGAAGCCATAACCATAAATAACCCAGGAAAGGACACACAAAATGGCCACAGGATTATAAACTTCCTTTTTTCATTCATCTGATAAAAAGAGCTTTGAAGCATGGGGGTGCTTCAAGAACTATTATTTAGTAGGAGCCAAAATAAACCGGCATAAATTCTAAACAAAACAATTATCAAAAAGAACTTTGAGTACTTCCTATGGTTAAAAAGCAAAGATCAAGAAGAACAAGTAGAAACATCTCCTCCTCCCCTAATATTATCTACTTTGTGTTATTGCTAAAGAAAATTAGTTGGAAGAGCTGTCCATATGTACAGGCAAAGTAATTAGTAGACTAGGGTGTAATTTGAGTGTGATTGACTGATTAAACGGAATAAAATTATTTGGTCCTAAGAATAGGACTGAGTATTGGAAACTGTGGCCACAAGGTTAATTCCTTCTGGAAGCAACTGCGTATTTACTGGATTCAAATTAACATTTTATATGCAGGTATTTACTCATTTTAACTACCTGTTACCACTTGGGAGAGAGCATTCTCCAAGAAATTTGAAAACAGAGACAAGTGTGATTTGATGGGGAAAAGAGCAGGGAAACTAAGGGAATAGACAGTGTGGGAAACATATTCCCTGCCTTGGGAGACCCTGAACATTGGCTGCTAGGAGGAAAGGATCTCAGATGAAATGTTTTAGTCATTTGCTTACCTTAATTATTTAGTACAGCATTTAAAACATAAATATGGACTCAGTAAACATTTATGGAAAAAATGATGGTGATGATGACGATGATTAACATTTGAATTATCCACTAGTGTCAGAAATTATTTCGAAGTTCTTGACACTTATTTTTATTTATTTATTTATTTTTAGTATTTCAAACTACCCTGCGAGGTAAGTACTGAAGTATAGAGAAGATAGATACAGAGAATTTGCCCAAGATTATGCAGCAAGAAAGTACAAATGCCAGAATTCAAAAGGAGGCAGTTGGGCTCCAGAGCCCTAGTTAGAACAAAGGCAGGCAAAAGGATGGAAGGGGAGGGAAGCAGGGGGGCAAGGAGGTCAGGAAAAGAAACATAAAAAGGAAAAAGAAGAAGAGAGTGGAAGCCTTGCGGACTACTTCTCCGTGATCTCTCCGAAAGCCCAGCATCGACACTATGATTTCTCACTCAAAAACTGATGGTTGAACAGATGGCATTCAGAAGGTAAAGGAAGCAAATAAATAGAAAATACCCAGGCAGATAACTCATAAGCCAGATTTGAGAAATTCAGTAACTGACTGGTACTGTACTTTGTCTTAGCCCTGGTCTGGCTCAGCATCTCCCCTCTTGCCTGGAATGTAGAAACACAGATAAGAAAACCCGAGGTGTTCACGCAGTTCCTCAGGGAAATGGTCTTCCCATTTGCCTGACAATCCAACATCCTCTTTACCCACAAGCACTCATCTAGCTGGCGAGCTGTGTAGTCTGGTTTTCTTAGGAGCAACATTTTATATATCTCATGATACAATGGAAGGTAGTTTAACCATTCGAATTTGACTCTATTTTTTTCTTCTAACTCTTTTCAAAGGCTTTGTGATATATATTACAGCCTAAGATCATGCTGGGGGATGATTTCAAATTCATTGTGCCACCCTTGGCTCATTCATAATTTTACATATTTAATATAACTAAATACCCTTTCCTGCAATGTCAAACACTGGGAAACTATTTAAATAAACAGAGTAAAGGTTTGCTCCTGCAGTGTGATTTCAAAGTTGGAAAGTCAAGATGCCTCACCAGATGGGGAGATATGTCTCCCATCCACTTGCTTAAATCTGAAATCTCTTTCACAGAAACAAAGCCTTTTCTTTCTCTGTGAGAGATACAATATAAAACATAATTTTATTTCAGGCAAACCATGGACTTATGATGATACTAAGTTGTAAATAACTAATGTTAGTTTCTTTGGGGATTCACAGACTTTGAGGGTGATAGAACAGAGCAAAAGAGCCCCTGGGGGTTGGGCTGAGCACGTTGGCTCACGCCTGTAATCCCAGCACTTTGGGAGGCCGAGGCAGGTGGATCACCTGAGGTTAGGAGTTTGAGAACAGACTGGCCAACCTGGTGAAACCCCATCTCTACTAAAAATACAAAAATTAGCTGAGCATGGGGGCGGGCACCTGTAATCCCAGCTACTTAGTAGGCTGAGGCGGGCGAATCACTAGAACCGGGGAGGCGGAGGTTGCGGTGAGCTGAGATCGCACCATTATACTCCAACCTGGGTGACTCCATCTCCAAAAAAAAAAAAAGAGAAAAAAAGAAAGAGCCCCTGGGGGTTGCAGGAGGAGGATGGACAGTGAGCAACAGGGTAGAGAGGAAAAGGGCAAGACAAGAGGAAATAGGAAATGGCTGTACATCTGTGTCACCCACTTCCCAATTTTTCTTAAGCTAGGTTTGCACCAAGATAAATAATGCTATTTTTCATTCATTGGATGGAAAAATATACAAAATATCACATACAGTTAAGAACTTCAATTGTGATCTAGAATACCTAGATTTCAAACTTTGTTCTGCCATCAGCCAGGGGTGTGAGCTAGAGCAGTTTCCTCTCCTATGCTGCCACCCCTCCATCTGTAAAATAAGGTAATAATAGCAGCATTTTATAGGCTTGCCAAGAGGATTAAAATAAATAAATATGTAAAGCACCTAGAAAGCTGACTGCCATATAGTAACTGCACTGTAAATGTTAATTATTATTGTGGTTATCAGTATCTTTTTTTTGTAAGCATGATTGATAAATAAGGGAAAGGGCTTCTCATAGGTTACATTTCTGTAGGCATTTCTTTAGGTCTCACTAAATCAGATAGCACCAGTACTAACAGGAACAAAATAGAAAACTGTTAGAATTGTTTTTCTTTAAATATTTGTTCCACTGGCTGCCAAGGTTATGTCAACTATACTTAGAGGCTGTTTACTGATCAAAAAATGCTAATCTAATCTAATCACAAATTGCCCTGAAGCTAGAAAATAATAATTACTCGATGTCACTAGGCATTTTTAAAGTTATTTAATAGCATTTACAAATATTGACACACAAGTCATTAAAAAATAAAACTTTTATCTGTCTTAGATAAGGTTATTTATAATGTCCTTGTATAATTTGGCTAATATAAATTATGATTCTGCAATTCAATTTTGTCCTCCTTGCATCATTCATTCTGACATTATTGAATGTTAAAAAAATATGAAAATGAATTACTTGGAGATTGAATTCAGAATCATTGAATTTTCTAGCTGAAAGGGACCTTGGAATTTCTATATCGCTCAATCCAAAGAACTTAAGTATCTTCCTAAGGTGCCACATCTTCAGGAAGAGAAAAATCATGCTTCTTATGTCTGACACTGTCTTTTAACACAACCAACCCTACATGTCTGAAAAATTTCTTATAATGTATATTCCTGAGAGCCCAAGAGTCAAATAATGTCCTTCTAGATTTTCCTCTAGGGTAAACAAGAAGTCACAACAGAATCCATGGAGCTGTGTACTGTTGCTACTCAGATGTTACCTCTTTTCAAGAAGTCCTTTCTTGACCTCAACACCTAAAACAGCCACTGACACCACCATTGCAATTCCACATAATTATTTACTCCATAACCTGCTTCTTTTTTCAAAGTCCACTTACAATATAAAATTATTATTATTATTATTATTGTAGTAGCAGTAGTATTGGAGATCATCAGTTGGCTAGTTTACTTCCCATCTTCCTCAAAAGAATGCAAACCTCAGAAGTAGAGGCTTCATTTTTCTTGCTCCCATTTTATTCCCACTGCCTAGGACAATACCTGGCAAATAGTAGGTACTCACGAACACTAACCCCACCTTGACCCACATCCTAAGTGTGTAAATTCAACTTACACTTCAGTGTGCAGCCCTGAACATTGATATGCAGAATCTAGGAAAGAGTCTTTCTCTGGGCCCACAAGTTAAAGGAATGACATAGGAATTATGTAACAGGGGACTTTTCTTTTTTAGTGGCCATATCTTTGTCAACTGTAGGGAGCTCTTGAGAAAGATTTCAAAAGAATAGAAAGGTACTGATGACATGTTTCATATTTGTGATCCAAGTAAACCTGAAACTAGACTCATTCTCAGTTGTACAAGCTCTATTTTTTTTAATTTGCTTACCTTATCTAAATCTTGGTTTTATCATTTGCAACAGAAAGGGTCTCAACAGTGGAGGCTGTCGTCAAAACAATTTTGGGGCCTCAGCTCTGGTTTGTGTTCTTACGATGATATTTTGGCAGATATGGTTTTGAGATTTCTCTTGATTGTCTTTAGGTTTTTTAATTAAAAGAGGACAAAAATCAAAAGGAGTACTTATTAATCACCAGGAGGATTTATTTATTACAGAGGCAATGTCTGGAAAAATCAATTTATTGCAAATGTTTCCTGCAGGTTTGCAGATTTCAGGCAATTAACAAAAGCTGCTATAATTCACACAAAGAGAACATTCATTGTGTTGCCAATAACTCATTTTGATAAATTAGACCTTGATGATGTTGCATTTTATGAGAAGTGTAGGTTTAAAGCTGCAGAGTAGCACAGGCACTATTTGTAGTAATGACCCAATTGACACAGAAGCTGATCATGTTGGCTGACTGCATGTTGCATCTAGAGTCTTTCATGGCCACTGTGGGGTGTGTGTGTGTGTGTGTGTGTGTGTGTGTGTGTGTGTGCTGGTCATCTGTTTGGGTGTTGGGTTCTTGCTACTTAAAGATGATTAAGTGAATACTGGAAAACAGAAATAACACATATTGCAGGAATTGAGGAAGCTGAAAAAATCAAACAAACAAAAACAGACTCCATTAGGATTGCTCTTTTACTCTCTCCACAAACTTGAATGATACCATGGCAACAGATGAGGCTAGTAGCCTCTTTGTTTCTGTCAAAAGCATGTCACTAGGCCAATTTAAAACACTTTCTGAAACTCTTCTCTCATTTAATCAACTCAAAAAGAATTATCACTGATTGCGTGCCAGGTTCTATTCTAGGAATGAACTCCTCAGTCAGCCTCAGAAAGTGAGAGAGCAGTGTAATAGAGAAAGTAATGTTTCCACGACTCCAGAGAAGGATATGTGTTTTATAGATTACTGGAGGCATGTTTTTAAGTCAGTGGAATGGGGATGAGAAAGGCATTGCTGATGGAGTCACCAGCAAATACAAAGGCAGGTAATTATGAGAGAGAATAATGTAGAGTGGTGAATTGGAATATAAATTGCAAGAGGGATATGAGTTTAATGGGAGAGGGAAGGGAATTCATGATAAATGAAATCGGTAGAAACTAGATAGCAGTAGGCAATATATGTCTCTTTAGAGTTTGGACTATTTTCCTTCAGTGAATGAAGAGCCATTAAGAGCTTCTGAGCAGGTAAATGACAATCCAATTTGCATTTTTGAAAGGAGACTCTGATAACAATATAGGGGCCAAATTGGAGGTTGATGAAACTTGCTTCAGTCTTCAGTGAGACCTGTAAGAACAGTCTTCTGGACTCCTGTACTCCATTCAACCTAGAATTTATTCTAATGTGGCTTCTGTTGGGGACTTGTTTCTTTTTCTAGTTTTTTTTTCTATGTTTAATATAATTATGTGGTTGTTCCATTAACCTCATCTCATCATGATTTTTGGAGCTGTTGAACATCATCACTGTTTCCTTTTATGCTTTAGTGTTTAGTATAGCATTTTGCTGCAAGTAGATCAATGCAAATGCTAATAACTAAACCAGGAACTAATTGAATGAGAACTTAGCTGATGAAAGTCAGAAACCAGGACTGGGATGGGTTTGTGATTTCCTCTGAAAGTATCAATGCTGTCACTGTATAGAGACACAGTGGTTAGAGCACACTTAGAGCTAAGGGTCATGCTTAACTCTGCAGAGGGAAGCTTGAAACTTCACTGAAGAAATAATATTTCAACTAGATCTAGCAGAACAAACCAGAAGAGAAAAATTGCACAAAGGAATTGTGAAAGGGCACAATGCAATGAATGATCAGAGCATGATGAGAGGCGTAGCTGAAGTTTAGGGTGAGTGAGGAAGTGATGAAAGGAAATCAGACTAAAAGTAGACTAGGCAATGGATGTGAAGGGCCTTGTAAGCCATGGTATGTTTAAACATACTATATGTTAGCCATGGTATGTTCATAGTGTTTTCCATATGTAGTCATATTTGCCATCGTGTTTGTATTCACTCAGTTTAGAGTAAGAGGAAATTAGCTCACACTAAAACACTGGGGAAAAGGGATTATTATTAAAAACTGCTTTGTTTGCAGCAGGCAAAATATTCAAGAGGTTCAGACAATAATTTACATAATGAGTTTTAGCACAGCAATAATTGAATCTTCCCTAAAATATTTCCCTCTCCAACTAGTTATCCAATTTAAAATATCACCATAGGTTTATTATCATATATTAGCAAAAATCCTCATCTAAAATAGAAACAGTGCCACAGCTTATATACTCTGAGTAATAAAGTACCATGGAACCATCTAAACTGGCCCCTACTACTCACCAATAAATGAATCCCCCGAACTCATCTTCTGTGAATATGTGAATAACCACAGTGATAAAAATTTATTTGCATCACGGATTTTATTTCATTTTTAAACAATCTAGTTGGTAGAAACCTCTTCCTTATTTGGACTCACGCAGTGCCTTATTCCTCTTCCACTAGAAACCTAGTCATGATTTTCTATTTCTGCCAATTCCAATCAATTGGTATGACTGACGTGGGGCACATGGCTGAGCAGGAATCTAAAACTACATCCAGATTCATCAATGAAAAATAAATGATTCAGTGGCTGTATTTGCCAGGAATTCTGGAAGGGAGAGTGGCAACTTGCGTGATATGTTTTTCATTCCAAGCTGAGACTATTTGAAGACAACTATAATAGCTCTACCATCTGTGCTGTGAAATGGTTCCCATATAAATGCCTAATACAAAGCATAATCTTAATAAAAGTTTTTTGAGTGGATTTAAGACATTGTTGCTAGCCCTCTAGGAGTCATTTTTTTCTTGGACATTCTAGACAATGCCTACCTTAAAATTTTAATGTTCTACATCTTCTTTCCGTCTTTACTATTGGTGTATTGAATTCTAGTACAGGGTTCTCCATTTGTTCCTGTTAAATTTCATCTGGTTAGAGTTAGCTTGTTTCAACATATATTTTTAAATTACTTTCCAAAATATTTTGAGGTTTTAAGAGTTCTTGAATATAATGTATGCCAGTGGATGGATGCCAAACAAATCCTAAAGTAATATTAAAATGCATTGAAGAATATAGAATCCACAACAAGGAGGTAATAAGCTCACTCCAGGAGAGAAATCACCTGCCTCCTAAATCCTATTTGAATTTCTACTTATCTTTTAATACTCAGCCTAAAAGCTAATTCTCCATGAAAACTTCCCATAATTACCCCAGTTGTAATGACTCAGTTTGTAAACTCTTTGAAAGAAGAATCAAGTCTCATGTATTTTGGTATCTATCTTAGGTCAGGTTCTATAGAAAAAGACTGAGATAAAGGTTCTCATGTAATACGTTGAAGGAGTGTGCGATGATGAACCTGATGAGGAGTGAAGAAAGATAAAAGAGGGAGAAAACCTCAGTAAAGAAATGGGTTTAGTTGAAGTCTTATCTCAGCCTGATCCCAGGGAAAACTCTTGAGCATGAAAAACATCACAGAATTATCCTTATTTATAATAAATACACATTACAGGCATTCAGAGCTCTTTGTAACCCCTCATCAGTTAGTCACTGGTTGCAGCTTTCCTCAGGAGGAAGGCAAAACCAACCATATCTCATCAGCTGAGAACAATTCTCAGAATAAGAATGCAGCTGTAGACTTTTAGCAGCCAATACTCACAGCAGCTTGGAGATGAGTGTCTGACCAGGAAAAGGGGATCTGGACAGAACAACAGCAGTACCTGCTACAGTTTCTCTCCAGAATCAAGTGTGGCATCTTACATGTATAAGACACAATAGATGCTTACTGATCTGTAGTGTTTAGAGAATTCAACCAAAATGCAACTCTTCTATTCGCCACATTTTTATTATTGGCTATTCCTTGTTTCGCTCTTATGCTTATACAGCGAAAGGTGGCGTTAATTAATTGGATTTTTAATTTGGTAGTACAGTAATAGAAGAAATATAAAAATCACTAGGATGTCACAAAACTCTAACCCTTAAACTATTTGGTGAAAGCAGCTCTGTGGAATTTTTAGCTTGTGATTTATTTTCTTTATTTGTTTTTATTAAATATATAAATAGTAGGATTTACATTGATCAGCTGTAGAAAAAAGAGTTAAAAGAGTATGGATATGAAATGGGAGCCACTGATGTAAACTCCTTTAATTTGTTCAGAGAATCCTCCAACTGAAATTCTGTTGCTAATTTTAAGTAATTTTTAACAGTATGAAACACTGTGGAGCTTACAGAAAAGTTGCAAATGTGATAGGAGAGATGTTTTTCTTCTCTGAGCCATTTAGGAATAAGTTACTAACATGAAGTTCCATCACCCTGAATAGTTTAATGTGTGCTTACTACAGATAAGGATAATCTGCTACCTATCCACAATATAAGCATCACATCAGGATATTAGCATTGATACATTACTATGACCAACTCTTCAGAGCCCATTCATATTTCACCAGTTGTTCTGCTGGCATCTTTTATCTGTCAGTGGAACAGTTGGTGAAACATGAATGGAAGAATTCAGGTCAGAATCCCATGTTGCTTTCAGTTGTCATGCTTCTTTAGTCTTCTTCAGTCTGGAACAGTTCTGTCTTTCCTTGACTTGCCTAATCTTTACAATTTTGAAGATGACAGATGGCTATACTTGACATTTCTTGCAATTTGAGTTTGCCTGTCACTTCTTCGTGATTAGATTCAGGTGCTGCATCTATGGCAGGATTATCACAGAAGCAATGCTACATTCTCTTTGCATTCTACCAAGTGGGGCAATTTCGGTTTGCCTCACTTTTGAGAACACCAGTTTTGATTACTTAGTCTGCCAGGTTTCTCTACTACAAAGTTACTTTTTTCCCTTTGTAATTAAGTATTTTATAAGAGGAAGTATTTTGAGATTATGTAAATATCTGGTTCCTTATTAATCTATTTATCTATTTACATCAAATGAGGTCATTGTTTCCTATATTATTCAATGGATCATAATCTGTTGCCAACATTATTTATTTGAATGTTTAATTTTTTCCAAAAAGAGCCAGTAGGTGTCCCTTCAAGCTGGCTTATGTGTCTTTTTGACATGTCCTTATCATTCTTTGAGCACTTCTGTACTGTGGCAAAATAAAATGGTCTAGCATCATTTTATACTTGTTCTGTCCGACCTAGAATCAGCCACTTCCTTGAGGATCCTAGGTTTCTGTTGTTATATGATGGGATTTGAAAGCCAACTGCTGTGTCCAGCTGTGCTCATTGCTATTGGGAGTATCACCGCTCCCAGATCCTCTCAGTGACAGACGTACAGAATCTCTACACACACCCACTTTCATGTCTGTTTATTCTATATATCTCTACTTATACTAAAACCCGTGAATTCATACTAATACCTCCTACTTCAACTTAACACCACACAACCTTCTGTTTTTCTTCATTTTCATATTTGTAACTCCATTCCAGTGAGAAAACTGGCACTCATTATATTTATTATATTTCATATATTTAATTACTTCATTGGTTCCCCCATGTGTAAGCAAGCTGCACTGTCTGTGCCACACCTTCCTCTGCATGGATGCCCTCCCATCTCAGGTTTTGGTGTCTGACTTTGATTCCCCATTGATTCCCATGGCTTTGGGATTAAATTGTTTAAGGAGGTAAAGAGAAGGGGAAAGGAAAAAGAAAGAGGAACTACTGTTGAAACTTTTATAAAGTGTTTTCCATGTTAGAACAAAGGTATTCATGAAAAGTTTAAAATTGTATACTTCAGAAGAAATGAAATTAGATATATACATACACACACCAAGCTTTTATTTTGTTGCTTTCATTGCTTATCAAAAAACAAAAAAAACCCTGAAATTGCACAGCTTGTTCATGGATGAGGTAAAGTAGCAGCCCTGTCATGGCGTGAACAATGAACAAACTAGAACACTTGTGCTTGCGTGAAAAAGGCAAAGAGCCAAGCCGAAATTACTAGGGCACGTTGATCATTTTGGGGAAGACTAAGGGGACATCTCACTTGTCAGTCATTCTTTGGAACAAAGAAATAATAAAAAAAAAATGTACAGATTTAACTGGCCACCCAATGTGTGTTTTTATAAAATCAGAATTCTAGTAAATTCATAAATGAAAAAATGGCAAAGCTGAATTAGATGAAAAGCCTCTGTTATTGTAGTTAAGAAACTAAAAGCATGTGAACAAAGGGAAAGCAAGTGTCCTAGTTGGTCCCAGCTTTATAATGACTGTCACTGAAGTGTTCATCTAATTTGTTTCTAGAGGGCACCATAGATGGTGATATACAGGCCATAGGGTCAACAGCATAGGGACCTGGTTCAGAATTTAGTCATCTTGGACATATTTCTTAACCTCTCTGGTCTTGTTTCTTTACAGAGGTATTTGGAAGGATAAATCAAATGCAAACAATATTGCCAAAGTTTGAACAAATAAGAGAAAATTAATTGTACACCTCCCACTCTGCCTTAGGCACGTTGGTCCCTTCTCTGTTTCCGGAATATGCTTGGTGCTCTACCTCAGGGAACTTTGATTTGTTATTTCCTCTGCCCGCAGTGCTTCTCCGTTGGATAGCCTCAGGTCTTGCTCCCTCAGCTCTTCACCTCTTTGCTGCGATGTCACCTTCATATTATGGCCTTCTCTAGGACCCCCTGTAAAATTACACACCTCTAACACATCCCATCTCCTCTTTTTCCTGCTTTTTCTTCTTAGCACTTATCACTCTCTAACATTCAACATATGTCTGTGTCATGTTTATCATCTTTGGTCATCTCCACCAGAATGCAAGGTCCTTAGGCAGGCACTTCGGTCCGTTTTTTCTACTTTTGTGCCCCTAGATCCTGGGATCCTGCAACATGCTTGACAGCATGCAGTAGGCACTCATTTGCCATAGGCATAAATCAATGAACAATAGAATGAACGTTCAAGGCTTCCTTTTATTGTTTTTTGTCTTTCCTCATAGGCAGAAAAGTGAAAGGTGAGAGGATAAAAAGAAAAATGAATAAAGAGCTTAAAGAAAGATAATTCAAGGAAAGAAGAATGGCAGACAGTTAAGAAGAGGAAGACCTGAGCTTTGGAACATTCTGAACCATAACAGTTCAGCTGCAACTGCAGCCACAGTTGTGTCATACAGTGTTCCCAAGACAAATCTTGCAGATGCAAGAGGTAGGCCACTTATTAAGCTTGATTCAGCCCTTACCACTTTTTTGGATTATTCTCTGAGGTCAACTACACTGGTTGTTGGATAAGCAGTCCAGGATAATATTAGCCAAGGGAAATGTTACATTAGAAGTGGTTACACATATATTTTCTACTTAATGAATAAACATATACCATTTTCTGAAAAAATTATATATTCATCTTTCAGAAAAAAAACCTATGATTTAAAATTAAAAGTTTCAGCCAGGCGCGGTGGCTCACACCTGTAATCCCAGCGCTTTGGGAGGCTGGGGCGGGCAGATCAAGAGGTCAGGAGTTTGAGACCAGCCTGGCCAACATAGTGAAACCCCGTCTGTACTAAAAATCTAAAAATTGGCTGGGTGTGGTGGCGGGCACCTGTAGTCCCAGCTACTCGGGAGGCTGAGGCAGGGGAATCGCTTGAACCTGGGAGGCGGAGCTTGTGGTGAGCCAAGATCACACCACTGCACTCCAGCCTAGGTGACAGAGTGAGACTCTGTCTCACAAAAAAATTAATTAATTAATTAAATTAAATTAAAAGTTTCACACTTGAGTTTAGGATGAACAACTTTTGCGTTTGAAAGCAGTGAATATGAGAATCTTTCATAGCAATAGTCCAATATCTCATTAAAAATTAACAAAAAACTCAGTTATCTCATGCTTATTTTTATATTGATGTATTTATTTCATGTATGTATATATATGCATATATAAATAAAAATAGTGTTGTCTCATGGTATGAATAAATCTAGTCAGTGAATAACATTCATACATAATGCGAGGTCTTATTGAGATTGAACTGTTAAATATTTTAAAAGAAAAAAAATTTTTAAAAAGAACACACATAAGAAAGTTGGTGAGAAATGTTTAAAAATACAGTATATATCCCTACATTTGTATCAGGAAGTTCATACTGACTGAAAATGTAGCTAAGTATATCCTTACATAATCAACATCATTTGTCAACCTAACTTATAATAGTATTATTCTCATGCAGCTAAGTAACTGCAACTTTGAGTATCAGCCAGTCTCTCATGATCAGTACGACTATCTGTACTGTACTTTTAAATCCAGTTGTCATGGGATTGCAAACTGCCTCAGCATCAGAAACTGCTGCCATTTCCAGTACATGAACTATGCTTTGGGTTTACTTAGAAACTCCTTGTTGAAAAATCTTCTTGCCTCAACATTACTAAGGGAAACAGAGCAACGAGATGGATTCTGTCTTCTATATTCAATGCTTTCAACCATGGCTTCTTTTATCACCTGCAAATAGAGACAGAAGTTGTATAATTAGCGCTGCTATGAACTCATTTATATATTTTTTATTAAAATAAAAATCAAATGAATCTTTTTATTAGAGTATTCCTTTTGACATATATGAATAGAAATCTACGAGTCATGCATACACATTTAAATTCAACATCCCACCACTGCACTCTTGTTAAGCTTATATTCAGCTACTGTTCCTTCCCTCACCAGGGAAAGAAGGATTCTGGAAATGTTCTAGATTTTATGCTGATAAATTTGGGAATAAAGTGGTAGCATGGTAAAATTATGTTGGTTCTGCTCTTTGCCAAAAGGGGGATAACAGGGAAGAAACAAGTAATTACTAAATCTATAATTTATGTTCTTTATAATTAGTGGGCAAGTAGAAAAAGACCACCAGGAAAGTAAAAGCTTTTCCTAGTGGAGGAAGAAGGCATTGCTGGAGAATTGCCTTCCTTCCTCAACTGAAACAATACAGTTATAAAACATGAGCCTCCTCTATCTAGGAAACATCATGCTCTGTGATTTCATTGGTGAAAATGAATTACTACTTTTTATTCAGCATACATATATCCAATATATATTCTTTACATATACCCATGTTAATGGTAACCAGAAGAAAACACAGGAAACTACAACCTCTAAGAACTGCTATTTCAACTGTCATACACTGGTTTTGGTATGAAGTTAACCTAGTTAGAATTTGGGGAAAGAAGAGAACATTCAGAATTTGGTAGATGCAGTTATTGAAGAGCAGTGGAAATGGGCTTTGGAAGAAGGCCTGAATAGTAAATCTTGTCTCTGCTTCTGCTTCAGAACCTTGTTAAAATCAGGAAGACTCCATTTCCCAGGACAGTCCTCATTTCATCTCGATGACCAATGAGATAGATGTTTCTGGGCATCAGGAAACCGAGGCAAGTCACAGAGTTATTCCACAATTCCTTTTATTCTCTACCTCAGGGATTGTTAAGCAACATTAAGGTACAGTCCACGGGCTTTTCAGCCCCTTGCCACAGGTAGGAATACTTGGCAAGTCTGATCAGTTTAGGACGCTATGGCCTCCTCTCACTCACAACTGCTGTGGCCCACTTGGCCTTGGAGATGCATGCTCAGAGGGATTCTCCCATTACCACGTGCAAGCTCACTGGGCAAGCATGGCTCATTGCCTGAAGGAGATCATGTTTGCACCACTTAAACATGTGAGATCTAAATGGTGCAAACATGCAATTATTTTTCTGTGACTTTATGTCCCAGACACCCAACAAGCAAGGCTCTCTATTCTCTAATAGTAACTTTAAAAACGCAGTCAGATTTTGGAAAAAGGGAGCTATCACAGGAATGTGGTTCTTTTATATGCCTTATTTTAAAACGTAATATATGTAATTATCTTCTCGGGAAATGGGCTCAAACGTGAATGAGTCCGTTAAGGTAAAGCTGATATTTGCTGATCCCACTTTTCTTAAGAATAGGGAAACATAATTCTGTGATGACAAAAGATGCTTCAGATCTATGAAGGAGACTTGGACCAAAGGCTACCAGGCACAAACACTTCTTGGCTGTGTGAGATGGAGGGCAATTAGTGTCAATACTTGAGCCCATTTCTTCTTCTTTAAAATGGAAATAATGTACTAATTTGGGGTTTTGTGGGGATTGGAGATCATTTCTATAAAGTGCTTGGCACAATACCTGGTACATAAACATTCTACAACAGCTGTTACGCTTGTTATTTTTAAACTGACAATATGTGATGAAAATTGGGAACTCTAAATTAGAAGTGAAGCTATAAAGTTTATAAGAAATAAACACACCAGGTGTGTAGCCAAGAATGAGCTTATTATATTGTGTAAGTCAGCAAATCGTTTCTGCTATTCAAAGTATCCTACTACATCTTCTTTTAAAAATCTCCCTGCCTTTCTAGAGATCTATATCAGCAAATTTATCAATTGGTTTCTCCTTCTCACAGAAATCCATGAAACATCAACCCTCATTGCATAAAAGTGTCCAAATAAAATAAAAACCAACTATTTGCTTTCTAAACACCTAAAAAGCTTTAAAATAAAAAAGACCATACAAAAAATTAAACTGACAATGATTGCTGCTATCAATTCCCTCATAATGAATTCTTGAGCATAAAAAAAATCAGCAATATCAACATCAGGAACTAGTGGATTTATCGTAATTGGACCTCAGCTGGTGTTCCTAGTGAGCAAGCCATTCTGATAAAGGAAAATGAACACTTCCAACTCTGAAAACCCCAAGTTAGAATGTGCAAGTTGATCCACTAGGTGGCATATTAACACCATGAAACCATTAACCAGGTTTTTCACATTACTGCGGAAAATACCCTGTTCTTGGGAGTTACAGTTCTGTGATAGAAAAAATCAAGCCCAGTATTAGATCAGTTACTAAATTCAAACCTTTTGGCATCCTACATGATACAACTACATATATTCAAAAAGGCATTATGTTAAATTTAAACCTTTCTTTTCATTATTATACAAGAAGTCATCTTAAATGGTGTTTGTATCTCTTTCATTCTTCCCTGAAATTCATTGGGATTCCAAATCCTTCCCTTCAGTGTTATCCCAGCAAAAGCCCTCATATCTCAACCTTCTCCAGCCTCACCACCTATCCCATGTCATCTTTCACTTGTGCCATTCAGTAGCCTCCTATTGTTGAACCAGATCTCTTAAATCTTTGCTAATGAAAGCAGAGAATAAGAAAAACAAGCATGTAAAATGTGATCCCCCTTCCACATAAGAAACAAATTTGTAGAGGTGAGATTATAAGCAATCTACAAACAAATATTGAGTTATCACAACAGAAAATAAAAAATAAGCCCAAGAGAGAAAGTTAAGTATATTTTGTTAGAGAAGTAAAAATTACAAATATAGGAGAACATGAGAAGATATTTAGGTGTAAAATTACTGTGAATTTGCTGGATAATGCCTGCCTTTTCAATAAAAACTGAAATGTCAGGAAGGCAGAAAGTTCATCAGGCTTGCATTTTTTTTTATCCGAGCGCTTAGAACATGGAAGGTACATAATAAATATTTGCAAAATTAATAAATACACAGAAGGTGCTCACTAGAGGTTGATTGACACAGGGCAGCATTCAGTTCAGAGGAACAGTGAGACCAGTTGAGTTAAAGGACAGGCAGGGTTTTTAAGTGGAGCAGAAGACTGGGCATTCTCTGTAGAAGAATAACCATATGAAAAGACTGAGGATGGGAGGCTGTGGCATTCGTCAGAGACATCTGGGAATTCATTCTGGCCTGGCTAGAATGAAGGCTGTGTTTGGGGAACACTAAGAAATAAGGCTGCTTGAGAGACAGGTGGTTCAAAAGTAAGGAATGAAGGAGAAAAGACATGCAGCCTCATCTCAGCTCCCCCACATCATCGTGACTTCCAGTAACCTGCCTAAGTAATCCATGACTCCATTTCCTAACTTATAAATTAAAACCCCACCTCATAGGCTAGTCTTGAGTGTTAAATATTTGGGGGAAAATATTTGGCTTATATGAAGCACTCAAAACTTTTAATTCTTCTTTCCATGCTGTACCCCTAGTTTCTAAAACAGTTTCTGGCACACTAAACAATAAATATGTATTGAATTAATAAATAAATGAGACCAGAAAGAGATCATAGGCAGCATTAAAAATAGATGAGTTATGGACTAATATATTAGGCAATAATACATAATAGTAAGCTTATAAATTATTTTTAAAAGATAGAACTTTTACTTGTACCTACACACCCTTATCAAGATGAAGAAATATCAATGAATTAATGAATTAAGAAATGAGTACCAGTATTTCTGGATATGGATGTATCCTCATTTTAATTAACATTTAATGTTTAGCACTTTGTAGAATTATTTAAGAAAGAAAAAAGCTCATTACTTTGCATCATTGGCATATGCTGAATAATGTGACACATAACTGGTTCTAAGACTATGCCTATCAAATTAATAATTTGAATAAGTGAGACTGGGAAACCATATATTTTCCTGTGATAGCAAATTAACAGGTCCTAGAAAAGAAATCTCAGAAGACATATTCCCTCCAGATCGAAGTGATGGTTTAAGAGTAGATAGAGTATGCAGCCATACTACGTGGGCAGGCATGTACTATATACAAATTCCCCATGGTTGGGAACTCTGCCTCCATCCCACCAAGAGCACCTTGTATCCTGACACTTGCTACCCACAGTAAGTCAATGAAATTTTAAACACCCATCATGAAAATTGTACTGCATATTTACTTTAGGTGTCAGGCATTGTGATCAGTATGTCTACAGAATACAAGGTAAATAAAGCAAGTCACTGTTCTTAAGGGGTTTATAATTAAAAGCCAAAAACTATGAACACTAATAATTATATTAGCTGCTTCAATTTACTGTCTATTTCATGCCAAGCCCTTAAGTTATATTATTCTACTTAATCCCCATCCTGATCCTACATGATATATACCATCGTTTCCCTTTACAAAATAGGAAAGCAAAATTTAGAAAGGTTAACCAATATGCCCAATGTCACCCAGCCAAGAGGCCGCAGAGCAAGGATTTGAATACCCAATTTGGTCAGACTCCAATGCCTCTGCATCCCACCCCCGCCCCGCCGCCATCACATGTCTACCAGTGTAAGTCACTATACGTTAAGTTTTTGAAGGAAAAAAAATTGAAATACTACTGTAATTGTACAAGCATTGAGACAATGTTCAGTGAAAAGGAATTTGGGAGAATTGAGTAAGAGCAGAAACCTGATGCTATGAGAAACCCAGGCCGCTGTCATGACGTGAGCAGAAACAGAGCAGAAGTCCTCTAAAGATAAACTGAAATTTAGCTTTGGCAAAGCAGGCAAGCTAGAATCTCTTGATAAAATGAAGCAATAGGAGGGTGCAGCTGGCTGACACAGCATGGCCTCTTCAGAGCAAAAATTGAGGTCAGAGTGAATTGAAGAGGAAACGTTGCCCTAAGCCACAGTGGTCACAGTTGCAAAGTTGAAAACTGTTGTCTATGTAATTGGCAGAGAGGTAACTTTGCATTGTAAGAGTTTATATTCACAATGTCCATCCACCGTTTACAAAGAACTCTGATGGTCTACAGCAGTAAACATATGCTGTGTTGCCGAAGTGTGAATCGGTACCCTACTCTATTCAAATGGTGTGGGAATGAGAGAGTTAGCTAATTCAGCAGAGTTTTGTTGCTCTTTAAGTACCATCATTTACAAAATTGTGATTCTGATAAAAATGTGTTTTCTTTTCTTTTCTTTTCTTTTTTTTTTTTTTTTGAGACAGACTCTTGCTCTGTCACCCAGGCTGAAGTGCAATGGTGCGATCTTGGCTCACTGCAAGCTCCACCTCCCTGGTTCACACCATTCTCCTGCCTCAGCCTCCCTAGTAGCTGGGACTACAGGCACCTGCCACCACGCCCAGCTAATTTTGCTTTTTTGTATTTTTAGTAGAGACGGGGTTTCACCGTGTTAGCCGGGATGGTCTTGATCTCCTGACCTGGTGATCTGCCCGCCTCAGCCTCCCAAAGTGCTGGGATTATAGGCGTGAACCACGGCGCCCGGCCCCAAAAATGTGTTTTCTTAAAGTGGAGAAGAAGGGAGTCACTAAGGCAAGATAAAATGTCAGTGAAAACTGAAAATTTTATCTGTTTATGAAACACACACACACACACACACGCACACACACACAAAGAGGAGTTACTTGAACATGAGTCTCAATGTTCATATAATTCAGGAAAAAGCCTACCTTCATTTGTTCATTCAGAAAATATATACTGACTGCCTAAGCTGGCATTACCTGTACAAACTTGTCTATGTTGTTAACCTGAGGCATTTGCAAAGGTCTTTGGGTGTAATCCCCATGGACCTTCAGGGGTACAAGATAAGGACATGTATAGGTAAGGTTCTCATTTATTGAGCAGCTTCTGTAATCATGCATCACCCAATTAAACATTCACTACTACAATTATTATAGATCCTACCACACCTGTTTCAGAGACGAGGAAGTGGAGGCTCAAAAAGTTTAAGCAGCTTATTCAAAGTCACATGTAAGAGATTTAAAGATGATATAACGCCCATGACCTTGTCTGTACATGCTGTGCCAGAAACTGTAGCAGAAGCAATTAAAAACTGCTTAATTCTCAGAACTAAAGGACTTGGAGATACAGGAAAGATTGCCCTTTATGGCTAATGCTTTTAGCGTCAAGTTTAAAGAATATTTCCCAGGGTCAAAGTCATAAAGATACTCCCCTGTGTTGTATTCTAGAAGCTTTGTTTACTTTTATACTCAGATCTACAGTCTATCTGATATTGGCTTTGTTGATAATGTGAAAGAGGTACATTTAATTTTTTCCTTTGTGAATAATCATCTGATCACTTTTTTTATTACAGATAGTCACAATTTATTCAAGGACGATTTTATTTAGTGCTACTGTCTGTCCTTGGACAATGTCATGTTTTCTTAATGTTATCTTGCTGTCTTTCTATTTGGTAAAGTAAGTCTTCTAACTTCGCTTTCTTTCTTCAAGATGAGTTAGCCTACTTTGGTCCTTTTCACTTTCATATTATTTTTTAATGAATTTATCAATCTTCTTATAAAAACCTGATGGTATTGTTACTAAAAATGCAGGGGAAATGGGGACTTACTAGTTAATGGTTACAGAGTTTTAGTTTGGGAGGATGTAAAATGTTCTGGAGATAGATGGTGGGGTTGGTTGCACGATAATGCAATGTACTTAATGCCACTAAACTGTACACTTAAAAATGGTTAAAATGATAAATTTTATATTTTGTATATTTTATAACAATAAAAAGTGAAAACATATTTTTAAAACTGCTAAATTAATGGTTTCTGAAGAATCAACATTTGATGAGGTGTATAGGTCGGGACAGTTGTTCTGGGATTCAGTCTATTTTTGTTCAGGCACTAACTTTTACATCTATGTGTCAAACAAACTACTTTGAAGAATGTTTGTAAAATATATAAATAAAACTGTATCATTCCTTATTGCAAATTGTTTAGCAGACTTTATATAAACTAGAACAGCAAGACAAATGTATTTGGTTAAGATACACATATGTATATCTACTCCCAAGTCCAACATGGTATTTGTATATTCCTACAATCTGTTTTTTCCATTTGAGAAAGACTTATCAAATTTAATACAATTCATCCCAAGGAATGTGTAGTTTTGAGTTTATTGGCTCATACTGGAAAACTAGGGTGACTGTGATATTAATTCTTACCTCTGTTTTAGTAGCATGAGGTTTTATAAAATGCAACTAACTCTATTTTGAGAATTTATGTTCACTCCCTACAAATCAGAGATTAATCATTTTTTCTCTTAACCTTTCAATTTTTGCCATCACCATAGAGATAATGTATCACGTGGATTTCAGATGTCCACTGCTTGAAATATTTTTTCTAAAAAGGAAACAAATCTATGGAGAAAATGACATATGCTATATATTTTGATAAGCATTTTTAGATGAATTATCATCTATTTGTAAATGAAGGCTGAAAAAAAGAATTTTAGAGTTGTAAGAATCAAGGCTTATTGGGGAAAATTTTACACATTTACAAAAATTAAAGATATTAATTAACAAATATATTATGGTGCAACTGTGATGATTGCATACAGTTGATATTACTAGTCTCAGGCCAAACGAAACAAGCAAGCAAACTAGATGTGTGGAGTTCTATTAGCTCACAAAATCTAATTAGAGCCCATATAAACAGAACACTCATTCACATATTCTGAATTCCTTTGCGCCATTTACACAGTCACCAAAAAGACTGGTAAATCAGACATGATGCCTTTCCTTCTCCATTTAATTTCTTTTTTTCTGTTTTTCTAATGTACAAAATCCAATTAGGCCACTGAACTTAAGCTTTTACAACTGATAATCATTTGTCAGACACTATGATTTGGAACCACAAGTCAATGATTTCAGTTACAGAATAGTGTTCCTATATGGTAAGTTAAAAATGAAAGAATTTCACCTAGACACAGAATCTTAGCAGAAGATACACTAATGATAGGAAGGATTGATACTGAAGACAATGATTTGTTTCTAAAGCAAAGCATACTTGACATCTCAAAGGCTAAAAATTGGAAAGGCTGGCCGGGTGCGGTGGCTCACGCCTGTAATCCCAGCACTTAGGAAGGCCGAGGCGGGCGGGTAACGAGGTCAGGAGATGGAGACTAACACGGTGAAACCCCGTCTTCACTACAAACACAAAAAAATTAGCCGGGCGTGGTGGCAGGCGCCTGTAGTCCCAGCTACTCGGGAGGCTGAGGCAGGAGAATGGCGTGAACCTGGGAGGCGGAGCTTGCAGTGAGCCGACATTGCGCCACTGCACTCCAGCCTGGGCGACAGAGCGAGACTCCATCTCAAAAAAAAAAAAAAAAAAAAAAGGAAATGCTGTTACGTTTTGTGATGCTGCTCTCAAATTCACAAAAAGAAAATATGTAAAATCATAAATGTATTTATTAAAATTCATGTTATATTTTTGCAGATTAACTACACTTCTGGTTCCATTCACTTTCATACTCATATTTCCTTTACTCATATTTCCTTTTCATCACTTTTCTTCCTTACTTATAATTTGTTATATCATATAATAAATACATAGATACTTCGGGAAAGAAACTGAGTATTAACCAATCATTCAATAAAATAATAGCATAAAATGAGTTTCCTTATTTGTCAGTTTTGTAGGGTTCTTCTGAAGATTAGCAAAATATTTCATGAAAAGTAAAGTGGCATATTTTGGGTGGTGTCATTCATAACACTTATTTTTTTATTTTTAATTGAAAAGAGGTATTGGTGTATTTATACGGTATGGAAGTCATTTGACATAGTCAATGGCCATAGGAGATACTTACATCAATGTTGTTCAGAGTATTGAAGTGCATAAGATCATGTAGTCTTTTGAATGCTTGATTTGGATATTGAAAATTGAAGGTTGAAAATGGTGATTCTGGGTCATCAAAAATATCAAAGTCAGCGATTTCTTTCTCTTCCTCAGTTTCCCTTGGAACACCTAAATACCAGAAGAGTCACAAAGGGTGTTATTTTGAAAACTACAAAATATCTCTAAAACCCAAGGAATAAAACATACAGACATAAAGACAGCAGTGGGAGTCCCCACAGAGCCAGGTACTCTGTAGCATCTCTGACTTTTATCGTGTCTGTGTGTTCTGGCCAGATGACATCCAACTGCCAATATCTGACATCTGTGTGCCGGAGGGCTTTCTATCCTGCCCTGCAACTGTAGAAGCCTGCTTGACCCACTCACAGCAGGCTGGAAATTCTGTTAAATAACACTGTTCCCCAGGCAGTGGTCAACCAAAGACTCTAGGGAGTTAGAATCTAAATACTCCATTCCCCTGCCTTTTGGTGTGCGTGTGGGAAGCATGATTGTGGGACACAGGTCTATTCCATTTTGTAGTCTTTCCCAGCGGATCAAGTTCCCATTGTGGTAGCCGGCTTGCTAATGCAACTTTGTTGTCTGCCTTCCTTCCCTTTACCACTTCCCCATTTCCTTACTAATAAACTAGAGTGTTCCCCAGCTCATCTAAATAAACTATTTGCACTTGAGTCCTTTTCTCAGAATTAGTTTCTGGGAGAACCCAAACTAAAACATTATGTGGCTGTCTTTATGCCATGGAAATCCCCTACACATGCCAACTGCTCAGTGAGCCTCTCCTTGAGAATTCACAGTGATAGAAAATTCACTGGGTTTCATGTGCTCTAGTGTCTGATAACTAAAAATGTCAGATTTCCACCTTCTCCTATGCTGAACTATATGCTTCACAATAATCTTCACTCCTATCAATTCTTTCTTTGTCTTCCTGAGAAATCTAGAAAAACACCATTTTTCTCAGCATATTCCCATTACTCATCCTCCCTATTTTTTGTGTCTTTCCATTTATAAAATGGAAAACACATTTTCTGGTCCTAAAATATGGTTTTTGGAGCCTTAAGCACCCTGCATGTAAATCTTTAGATCTCCTTTGGTTAATCAACATTTTCCAGGATACACAAGAGTCGAGAGACCCCTCTGGATATGGTTAAAAAAATAAAACAAAACAAAAAAGACTATGCCTCAAACTTGATTCTTGTTTTCTGTGAAATACAACATGGCAAACTGAAACTGCTAGCCATTGTGTACTGCTAGATTACGTTAATCTTGTAGTCACGTAAAATTCCCAGAAATTTGCATGATTTTTCTGAAATAAGGGCTTTCTTACAAGGGTGATAGTCAAAATATTTGATTAAAAATCAATCAGAACAAACATAATTCAAAGTATTGAAGTAAAGTCCCAGAGATTTTTGCTAAACTGGTTGTTGACTTTGCAGTTTCTGAACTGTGAGCAAGTCAGGGGATCTTGGGGTAAGAAAGAGGAGAAGTACTTGAGGTCTCAGAATAGTATCTATTTATCAAGGTAAGGGAAGCATTCAATAGTGTAATAGCTGGTACAGCAGTGACAGAGTGAAACAGTTTAATGTCAGTTTCGTCCCCTACTTAATTTCTATTTTATGGAATACAGCTTACTCCCTACTTACCTGGAGCCCTGTACTTTCTGAAGTTGATGTTGGCCAGAACAAAGTGGATGATGGTTGGGCAATCTTTCTCCATATCAGGATTCTTGGGTTTAAAGACATAGCACTCCTTCAGCCCTTCCCGATCAAACACATAAGGATCAATCTTTGGAAAGGGGAGCTTGTTCATTTTAGCCCACTTTTCTGCAAGTAGAAGTTCCTATGGGAAAGATGGAAAGATGAATTTGGAAATTTTCAGTTTTCATTGATTCAGTTGGTCTGACCATAATTCAGTGTTCACTAGGTGTCTACTGTGTGCCAGCAATGTACTCCTTGCTAGGATGAATCACGACCCTGTTCTCAGGAAGTTCATTAATTTCAAAGAAATTGAAAACAAACTCACTATTGTTATGTTAATTCTTGGCACAAGGCTAGCTCCACAGCAGGCATTTGAAAAATTATTGATAAACTGAACTGAGCAAAATTATGTTGAAGAAGCTGCTAGAGAAAAAAAATTATGGGTTCAGAGAATTTATAACCATGTGAAAGTTTTTTTAACCCTTAGGAGTAAAAAAGGAATCTGATGATGCAGAGAAGAATCCTGTTACTGGATTTTTACCTGTATCATCTCCACCAAAGTGTTAAAAAGTACCAGCCAAAACTTCATTCATTTTATGTATACAAAAATATTTGAGTTACTCTGAATCAGCTTTTTGTCTTCTTTTTGTGAACAGAAGTTGAACCTTTGGCCTCAGAGCATTGCTATTACATGTAACGGCCAAGAGAGGACTGTACAGATGTACCAAGGGCTTAGTTAATGGTCGTGGCAAATTGTATGATGGTTTCCATGTATTAGCTCCCTTCCTGGTAAGCTGGTTATACATTCCCGCCAGAATGAGAAGAGAAATAGAACAGAGCCTCCACGGGTGATTTATGACTGCTGGCATGTAAGTGGCCAAGAAATACGTGTTCGCAGTCAGCTACGGAGATTCGAGGTTGGTTTGTCTCTGCACCAAAGCAGGCTAACTCACTGGGGTAAGCACCCCCAAAATTAAATTTAAACTGGAGAACATAAATCAATATGGAGAGATGCAGTGAAGAGACCTCATTTCCATTATGTGCATCTTCAGGGAGAGCAGAATAAATAAGAAGCAGAATATCATAGTGGGAGAAGCACAGATTCTGGGACCAGATGCCTGAGTCCAAATGCAAGCTCCATGGCCTTGGACATGTTTCTTAAGTCAATGTTTCCATCTCAGATTTAAAATGTGGATGATATAAATAATACCTATCTCATAGGGTTGCTATTAGAATTAAATAAATTAATACTTTACAGTGCTTAAAACAGTGCTTACTACATATTAAGTGCTATGCAAATGTTTAATAAATAAATGCCAGTAAAGAGAAGAAAAGAGATGGAAGGAAAAAAGTAAGGAAAACAAAAGAGGATAAAGAAAGGGAAGAGAGATAAGAACATTAGAGAGGAAAATTCCTGGAAAGGGGAAGTTTTGGGGATACTGTCACTAGAATCTTAAGTTCTTTTTAACTACTCTTGTCATCTCGTTGATCCATTCCACAGCAATCAATAGTGGTCGACTAGGTTCCATGTTAGAAGTGGGGACATAACAGTGAGTAAAACATTCATGGTTTTTGTTGTTATGGGATTTATAGCCTGTTGGGCGAGAGATAGCAATCAAATAACCCTTTGTGCTTAAAACTGTGATAAATGCCAGGAAAAAATACAAGGTGAGACTTTGCAGTACACCTGGACAATTTCCTCAGAGTATTTGTTAATTCAGCCAACAATTATCAGTGAGTTATGTTCTAAGCATAAGAGATAGGCTGTCCTTGAAGATTTGGAGTTTATAAATCAACAGAAAAGATAAATAGATATTATAGAAAAGTATGATAAAGGCAGGAAGGTGCTGCACGATTGTGGGCCTGGGTTGTGCAGCGTGAAAGGCCCAGCTCTAAGACAGACACCCTAAAACTTGCTAGCTGGATGACCTGAGACAAACTAATTAGACACCACAGCTCAACAAGAAACAAATTATTTTTGGTGGCTGCAGTGTACAGTGATACTCCCCTACAGGCAACGCAGAGATAATGAGGAACGAACAAACACAGACTAGATTATTCACTATCCCTGACATAGCAGGCTCCCAATCCCATCTCATCTCTATTTCATCTGTTTCTTATTTCTCAGCAATTCATTTTTCTACCTCTGTAAAATAAAGCTAATACCATCGCCTTTCTCATAGGATTGCTGAGAGGATTAAATGATAAAATGTATAAAGACCTCAGTAGTTTACATTAGAAGAAAACAAGTACTTTATCATACAGGCTTACATTCAGAGAAAAATACACTTTTCATTGAACTTTCACTGCTCTTTTTGCTTCTGGAATGTCATGAATTTTATGTTGATCAACTCTCTCAACACCACTTATGAATAAAAATCTAGGAGAACAAAGGATTTAATGTATATGAAAGCATTTGCTTCATAAACTATTATGATAAATACAATTACATTTCACTGAAAATCCCATATGTATGTAAATAATTTCTTGTTTGAAACTTGAGAAAGCTTTTATCACCAATCTCTTCTTTTTTTCCCTCTATTCAGCTAAATTAATCAGCTTGTTATTTCTTGTCCAGCACTGTTCACAATTATTCACTCGTGATTATTCAACATCAAAATAAACCAAAAGTTCACATTGTGGAGCAATTGCGTGAGGGCAAAGAAAAGAAAGAGCTTTCTAGTGTTTACAAACATGACTCAAGGGTATGACCAGTGATGTGTGGATTTTGGGGTAAAATGAAAAGGGAAATACATGAGGTAACAGTGAGGCTATTTTTAGATGGTTCACTTCACGCTAGAATCAGGAAGAGATGGAAACTTTCCCTTTCCTTATGTGATCCTGATGTGGAAAAGATTAAAAACAGATGATTGCAAATACAGTGATTATAGCATGGATAAACCATTTCCTCTCTGATGTCTGGTTTCTCTCTGTAAAAGCTGAGAAACAATGACACAGACTATGAGTAAAGTGCAATAGTTTTTAGAAAGTATTTTAAAAGATTTCAGTGAACAAAAAAATTGCTGCTCCACAAATTACAGCGATATGCCGGAATTGTGTTCTATGATAGCTATCCATTTTGGTTATTGTTTGACACCTCAGATACTTCACACTTCCATAGACTAACTTAAGATAAACTTACATAGTATTAACTAAACTGACTTTCTGTGGGATAAAAATTTGACAGTATCCTTCAAAGAGATACTTCGTAAGATGTCTGTGCTCATTTTGGTGTTTTGTTTGACAGAGTCTCACTCTGCTGCCCAGGCTGGAGTGCTGTGGCCTGATCTTGGCTCATTGCAACCTCTGCCTCCCAGGTTCAATCGATTCTCCTGCCTCAGCCTCCTGAGTAGCTGTGACTACAGGTGTGTGCCACCACACCTGGCTAATTTTTGTATTTTTAGTAGAGAAGGGGTTTCACCATATTGGCCAGGCTGGATGCCCTCATTTTTGAGTACTGAAACACCACTAAGAAGACTTGAAGGAGAGGAATGACAAATAAATACCATAGAAATGAATATTGTAAATAAATGTTATTTGTAAATAACAGAAATATATTCAAAACACAGTATGATAGCATATATATGCCATTTCATTCATTTACATGTAAAAAAATATAAATATATATTTTAAATATATGAAACAACACATTTATTTATTAAAATACGAACACACATACATATATACATAAAATAATAAATTGACTTGTCATTAGAGGAAGTCAGATTTCTTTTGTCTCTATGCAAACCAAGAATATGTGCTTTCTATTCTACAATGTTTCTCATTACATAAAACCTATTTTTAAGATTAGGGAGAAGATTAGGGAGAAGGATGGCATATAAGCATGTAGGTAAACCTCCAGAATCTTAAAAAATTATTGAAGCAAGTAATATAAAATACAACAGATAGAAACTACAAGTTAGAATTAATTATTTTACAGTTATAGTCTCTCTTACTTTTAATAAAAGGCATGCTAGTATTAGGCTTCAAGAGCTTTATAATGCAATAGGCATGAAAATAATTTTCTATATCTAATGTTGTATAGAGTTTACAGAGCACTTTTTAATTCTGGTTAGTTATTCACAGGGATGTTACCATAAACTCACAAAATACGTAAAGGGAAATTAATGTCAACTTAATGTAATATCATCACAAAACATCTGATTCTCAATGTGAGTGACCAATATGAGTGTAGTGGGTTGAATGGTGGCTCCATATAAAATACCATTTCCTAATCCCTCGGCCCTGTGAATATGACCTTATTTGGGGAAAGACTCTTTGCAAATGTAATTTAATTAAGGATTTTGAGATTAGATCATCTTGGATTACGTAGGTGGGCCCTAAATTCAATGACAATTATTCTTATATGAGATACAAGAGAAGACATGCACACAAAAGAAAAGGCCATACAAAAATGAAGGCAGAGATTGGAGAGATGCAACCACAAGGCGAGCAATGCCTGGAACCACCAAAAGCTGGAAAAGGCAAGGAAGGAGTCTACTGTGGAGGCTTTAGAGAGAGGACATCCCTGTTGATGCCTTAATTTCAACTTCTGCCCTCCGAAACTGTGAGAGAATATATTTCTGTTGTTGTAAGTCACCATGTTTGGGGTAATTTGTTACAGAAGTTCCAGGAAACTAGTACAAGAGATAAAACTGGAAGTACTACATTAAATGCTGTGCACTTTCCTTCACCAGCCATTGTGGATTGGTGCCCACAAAGCTAATGCTTGGACTGATTTGGCTGTGATGTGGGCCAACCTAAGCATTATAAGTGAATAATATGTGGAGATTCTAAAACAGGTCATGCCCTCGTTTCAACAAATAAATCAGGTGATTGTGGAAAAATACAGATACTTTTTCCGTTTTTAGTGGGTTTAAATGGAATTCTGACCCTAAATGAAATGTAGGCAGATCAGTTTAATTTAGATACATTACTTCCATCATTTGTGAAGACTGCCTCATTTCAGATTTTCCTTTCTTCTTTCTTCCTTCTCTCCTTCCCTCATTTCCTCTTTCTCTCTTTCCTTGAATAATTTTTAAGAGAATTAACCCGTTGTTCTGGCTTCTTGTCATTAAGCATTTAAATGAGCACTGAAAAACTGAGCCAGATTTATGTCCAACGTATGGCAACACAATATAACTTAATTTATGGCATAATAACTAAAATCTATCACTCTCCCTAAAAGTTAGTAAGATAAAGGGGAAAATAATTTCAAGTAGTAAACTCTGAATTCTTCTATATTCCTTGCTTTCTTGCTCCCCGACAAAACCCAAAGTCCCTTCATTTTCCCCTAAATTCACAGCCTCTTAATTTTGCATGCTTGAGTATGAAGACTTTGGCTTATTTTCATGACCAACAATCAATCTCACTGATTGTCTTTGGATGAGCTCTAATGGTACACTAAATTTTCATATTATACATCTAAGATATTAAATGGTTAACAAAAAGAAACTTGACAAAATGAAACACAAAGCTGCTTTTGTTAGATAAATTAATAGTAATAATATTTAGAATAATGAACTCTTTATATTGGACTACTACTAGGTGTGTGCTAACTAATCTAAATAAATTAGTGTCACACTGATGTCATTAACTTTCAAGGCCAGTTACAACACAGATACAACAACATAAATTGTGGTTGCTTTTATCAAAAGACATGATCTCCATCTTTCTGTATCTTCTTGACAAAATATGACATTTAACTACACGAAGTGCTAGAATTTTCTGCAAATGTGAAATAAAGTCAATAGTTCTAATTTTTTGCCCAGCATTTATGCTCTAATATTTTGTGAAAGGCAGTATCCATATTTCAGTCTCAAAAATAGGAAATTATTTGCTATTTAATTACCTTAATAAAATCATATTGCATATATCCAATTATTACATTAGGGATTCTCCCCTCCTATCAAAAGAACTTTATGTAGACTCCTCGCAAATTTTCAAATCTTATTATGTTATATATAAAACAAATATTCTACTTTAGTATTGATAGTATAATATTTTTATCAATTTAACAATTCTACTTTGGCAATCTTTTAGACTAATTTAGGAATACATATTTTGATAACAACACTTATAGGTTTAAGGTACTTTTAATATTCCAACTCTGCCTGAAAAGATTATTTTGTTTACTTTGAACTTGCTGAAGTACATACCTAGAGACAAGAAAAACTATATTATGTGTAATATATTGCAATTTACTTTATATTAAGTGTCAGAAAATATAATTCATTATTTCCAGAATGGTAGGTTTCATGTTATGCTAAATAAATAATAAAAGGAAGTATATAAATTTGGAGAAAGGCACGGGAAGAAAAGAATTGACAAAATGATTTTAAAACACATCTAAGAGAATGCACAGGTAGAAATGCCTATATGTACTACAGAAGGAGTGATTGGAGACATGCTTTTTATTATAGTAGGCACATAATAAAGCTACAGTTATTAAAATGCAGTATGGTACTGACATAAGAACTGCAAGATTGTCAGATGGATTAATGGAACACAAAAGATTAAAACAAAATATCCTTGTGCCCTGTAAGAATCATATAGTATATGATATAATAAGTATAACAAAATAATGCCAAAAAAGTCTATGGGGGATTATGTTATTACAAAGGCAATGTATTCAAAAAGATTAATGAGTTAAATATATTTAGAAGAATAAAATAAAAATTAAAATATCAATCCACATTTAACTGATGTTGGTAAGAATGAATTTCAAGAATATACTACCCAAAGCAATCTACAGATCCAATGCAATCCCTATCAAAATACCAGTGACATTCTTTACAGAAATAGAAAAAAAAAATCCTAAAATTTATATGGAACCACAAAAGACCCCAAATAACCAAAGCAATCCTGAGCAAAAAGAACAAAGCTGGAGGCATCACATTACCTGACTTCAAATTATACTACAAAGCTACAGTAACCAAAACAGCATGATACTGGCACAAAAACGGACATATAGACCAATGAAACAGAATAGAGAACCCAGAAATAAATCCACCCATTGCAGTTCAACTCATTTGCAACAAAGTTGCCCAGAATATATACTGGAGAAGGGATAGTCTCTTCAAAAAATGGTTCCGGGAAAACTGAATATCCACATGCAGAAAAATGAAACTAGACTGCTGTCTCTTGACATATATAAAAATCAAATCAAAATCAATTAAAGAGTAACATCTAAGTCCTAAAGCTATAAAACTACTAGAATAAAACATTGGGAAAACACTCCAGGACACTGATCTGGGCAAAGATTTCTTGAATAAGACCTCAGATGCACAGGCAACCAAAGCAAAAATGAACAAATGGGATCACATCAAACTTAAAAGCTTCTGCACAGCAAAAGAAATAATCAACAAAGAAAAGAGACGAACCACAGAATGGGAGAAAATATTTGCAGACTATCCATCTGACAAGGGATTAATACACAGAATATATAAGAAGCTCAAACAACTCAATAGGAAAAACAATCGGATTTTTAAACGGGCAAAAGATCTGAATAGATACTTCGCAAAAGAAGACATACAAATGCCCAACAGGAATATGAAAAAATGTTTAACATCACTAATCCTCAAAGAAATACAAATTAAAACTACAATAAGATTCAACCTTACCCCAGTTAAAATGGCTTTTATCCAAAAGATAGGAAATAACAAGTGTTGATGAGGATGTGGAGAAAGGGGAACCCTCCTACATGGTTGCTTGGAATGTAAATTAGTACAGCCACCACAGAAAACAGTATGGAGGTTCCTACAAAAACTAAAAATAGAACTACCATATGATCCAGTAATCCCATTACTGGGTATATACCCAAAAGAAAGGAAAATCAGTATATTGAAGAGATATTTGTACTCCCATGCTGATTGCAGCACTATTCACAATAGCCAAAATATGGAATCAATGTAAGCATTGATCAACAAATGAATGAATAAAGAAAATGTGATACCTACACACTATAGAATATTATTCAGACATAAAAAAAATAATGAAATCCTGTCATTTGTAATAACATGTCAGGAACTAGAACTAGAGGACATTATGTTAAGTTAAATAATCCAGGCGCAGAAAGACAAATATTACATGCTCTTACATGTGGAACTAAAAACAGTTGAATTAATGGAAATAGAAAGTATAATGATGGTTACCATCTGCTGGGAAGGCTAGTGGAAAGGGGAAATAAAGAGTGAATGGAAAATTGGTACAAAAATACAGTAAGATAAAAGGAATAAGATCTAGTGTTCAGTAGCACAATTGGGTAACTATAGTTAACAATAATTTATTATATATTTCAAAATAACTAAAAGAATGGAATTGGAATGTTACTAACACAAAGAGGTGATAAATGCTTAAGGGGATAGATATCCCAATTACCCTAATTGATCTTTCCACATATGATTGTATCAAATTTGACATGTACCCCATAAATATGTACAAGTATTCTGCATCCATAATTAAAAATAAAAATTTAAAAAACTGATATGAAAAAGAGAAAATACAGTGAAAAAAATTTTTAAAATTATAAGAAAGAATAAAAACAATGGAAGAAGCTCCTACATAAATATTTGAAACAATAAAATCATCAACAACAAAAGTCCCAATACAAATGACATATTAGGTCATATTTGCAAGAATAAGACAAACTTTAATATTCTTAAGACATAAAAAGAATGTTTATTAATAGGAACATCACAAATAATCCAATTAAAAGTAGTTTAAAAACATCAATATATAATAAGCATGACAAACCATTCAGTCTCACAAAGGAAGAAAACTGAAGCATAAATGTGAGGTTTTTTATCCCCATCATATTGTATAAATTTTTTTTTACTTCGTCTTTAATATTTTTTCCTGCCAGCAAAGGCATGTAAAACAGAGACTCAAATATATAATTAGACATAGTAATGTAAATTGATGAAGCTTCTCTAGAAATCAATCTGAAAATATTTACTAGAAGTCATAAAATGATACACATCTAGAAACCAACCTAAATAAATAATTAAAATGTGATTAAAGATTCATGTGCAAGGATAATGATTACAGAAAAAGGTGGCAAGATAGCAATAATCTAAAAGTTGAAAATAGAGCATTGTTAAATAAATACGTATCTGTATACAGAGATAGTATATATTTTTATTTTATTTTATAAACATCTTATATATCTTTTATATTTACTGTATTATATGTCTTTATAATTGTTTTCTTAAATATTTAATGACATGAAAAAATGCTCATAATACAGTTGTAAGTAGAAAGAGACAGAATGCAAAACTACATGACCCTGGTATAGACACATACACACACACACACACACACACACACACACACATACACACCGCGAAAAGAGACTAGAAGAAAATACCAAAATATTAACAGCTGTTGTCTGGAAGTACTGCATTTATAAACCAAATGTTCATACATTTTACAAGTATCTATTCTTAATCACAAATAATGAGTCAACATTTAAAAACTACTGCCAAGTATAATGATTCTTTTTAAAGGTACAAAGTGATATTCCAAAACCTCCTCCAACTCATTAAGGTGGTGGAGCCCTGATTCACATGTAAAATGATGGCTTTGACATTTTATACCCCCATTGGTGAAATGAATAATACAGTGTCTTCCACCACTAGACCAGCTTCTAAGCTATCATCTTAGAGTCATCCACTGAAACCCACCTCCCCATTGTTTCTCATAGGTCATCAAATTCATAGTCACCCACTCTGGTGCAGTAGTACTTCATTATCCTATGGTTGGATTACAATACATGTCTCTTAATGTTAATTCCTTGCCTTCCATTCTCCAACTCATCCTACTTTCCATTGTCAGATTAATCATCCTAAAATTCCAATTTCATGAAGTCATTTGTCTGCTGAAATCCTCCACTGATTCTCCATTTCCTATTGTCCTGTCTTAAACTCTCTCCTTAAGCCTTTCTAAGGGAGCTGAATATCTGTCACTTCTAATCAGATCACTCCTGCCCCTTAGATGTGCTCATTGCCATCTCTGTGCTGTTCTCACCCTATTTCATTTATTACCCTGTTCATTAACTCCAGTATGCACCAATCTATTCTTATATTTATCCCCTATAATACACATACTTATGTAAACTTATGTCAATGACTATTTAATAGTAAGTTTCTCAATTCCCCTCCAAGTGGCTCTTGTGAATAAAAGTCTTTGCCCCAAAAAACCAAAATGTTATGGGAGATCAGGAACTGTATTTTCCCACTAACTGCTGCACACAGCACACTACACAGAAAAGAGTTCATGAACAGTGTGCACAAAGAAGGCAGCTGGTAAAGGGTAAGAAATTCTCATTCTGTAGCTTTGGAGTCTGGTCCCATCTCACCATTTCTTAACTAGCACTTCCCTAGCCAGGTCGTGGGCTGTGCTCATTCCACATATTATTTAATTTGTTGATAAGATTTTATCTCATTGATACTTGTTTCTTTGTCTGAATACCTTTACTACCCCAAAAATAGATAAAGTATGAAAGCACTTTGAACATGTAAGGTTTTCTATATATTTAAGAGTTATTATAATAACCATTATTGGTCTTGAGAGCAGTTTAATCATCATATGATAGAGAAAAAAACAGATATGCTGTCAGAGGACCTGACCTGGGCTATCACTGATTCCACCTGGTTAGGAGATCATGAACTGTTCCATTTAATTATTATGAATTGCCACTTCTTATTCTATAAAATCAAAATAATAACTCCATCTCTCTCATAGCATTTCATTTATTCACCTACAAAAAAATCCTACATACTCATATTTTGGCCAGTACCTAAATGACAATTAGGACCAAATGATTAAAACAAAATAAACACAGACAGAGAACAGAGTTCTAGTCACAAGGAGCTCACAGACAGTGAAAGCAATATATATGTAAGCAAAAACATACAACATACTATGATAATTGCTGTATTAGACGAATTGACTGAGTCCTATGCACTTTAACCATATATGTGGAAGTCAAGAAAGATAACACTTGAGCTGTGTCTAAAGAATGTTTTGAGTATTCCAGGCAGAGGGAACAAAGCGTGTTTATTTGAGGGTGAGGCCAAAGTGCAGCCCAGCAATCTTTCCATATTGCCACATTCAGAAGCTTTTCTCTTTTCTTCAACACAGGCGGACTTTTATTTACCCCACATGCCTGACTCCACTACCTCCATATTTTTATCCTCACAAGTTAACCTTGACTCCTAATTCCTATAAAACTTCGAAGTCATCACATGAATACTTCCTTAACTTCCTTTTTCCATACCTAATGATAAATCTTCATCTGCTGCCATTTTCCCCCAGCGTAGACATTTCAATACTGTTCCCCACTTGTGTCCTTGATTCCTTTCCCACTTCCCATCCCTACATCCTTCCCAGAGATGTGACTTCATCCTATATCTCATCTCTCCTCTCTTCAGTAATACCTTCTTCATTAACGACTCCTAGCCATCAGTATGTAAACATGCTTGTCTCTTCTATTAACCCACCCCCAACCACCCACACACACAGTTTTCCTCTTCCCCACATCCTCTTACAGATACAGTCCATCTCCTTCCCTGAACAATCTACAGAAATGATGTCTTTTTTTTTTTTTTTTTTTTTAACTTCCACTCATCCCTCAAACCACTCTGGTCTGATTTCTGCCCTCACAGCCCTATTGAAACTGGCCTTGTCCAGTTCACCAAAAAACCCCCTTGTTAATATATCTTCAGTTTTCATAATACTACACACTTCCTTTGTTCTCCTCCTTTCCCCTTGTTAGCATTCTTTAAAGTACTATTTATGTCTACTTCTCTTCTCAGGGTGTACCCTCTCCATTCATGGTTTTAATGATCATTTACTTGCTAACTCCCAAATCTCAGCCTCATTTCCTTTCTAAACTTCAGACCCACTGTATTATTCTTGTCCTGCTCAGGGCTCTGACCTTTATTGAGCTCATTAGAATTATTTAAAAGTGTCTTTAAGCAGGAGACTGATTGAACCATGTTTGCGTTTTAGAACTATTACTCATAAAGATGTAGAAAATACATTAAAGGAATAAGAAACTGGAGTCAAAGGGACTAAGAGATCTATAAGGCAAGCAAGAGAATGTGGTAGAGAATGGAATGCTGTATTATGTATCCTTACCTTGAACGGAGGACTAGAGTCACTTGGCCTTGCAGAAAAGTCAAAGGAGATTATGAGATCAACCCCTCTCTGAGGTCTCAGTATCAAGGGATACGGCAGGTTAAATGTGAGCCCACTGTCCACTACATGAATCTTTTTACTTTTGACATCCAGAGGCTCATATATTCGCTCAAATTCATCAGGATCTTAAAAACATAAAAGAAAAACAAGAATGAATTAAATGATCATTCATCAGTATTTATCATCTAAAAATGTTGGTTTCAAATTTGAAAGAATTTCATATGATTAGGCCCTCAGGCTTTGGAGACAAATAGAGCTGGGCATGAAACCAACTTTAGCAATTGTAATTATTACCTTTAAGTCTTAGTTTCTTCATCTGTAACATCAGGATAAAAGTAATTATCAAATAAGGTTGCTGTGAGGATTTATAGGGACAACGCATGGAAAGCACTTAGCTCAGGTCCTGGTATTAACTCTAAGCTATGATCACTTCAATAGTATTATCTTACATTACGTAGGTCTTTACATGTTTCTAAACATTTCCTCATGCATAATCTTGTTTAATTCTTATAACAGACAGGTGAGGCAGAGGACATCTGTAAATGGAGGGTGAAGCCAATGAAGAGTCATCTCGAAGGTGGCACAACTGGGAGGTGGCAGACTCTGTATGGTTCCCAGGCTGCCTCTCTTGAGGGTGAGTGTGCATTCCACCACAAGGTGGGAGTTCAAGGAAATCATCCAGCCAACACACCCAGCAAATATATGTTGGCTACTACCATTCAGATATGATTCCAGATGCTGAACAAGATAGATACATGCTCTGCTCTGATAGAGCTCATATTGCGAGTACACCTCCAATAAGTAAATAAATGTATCAAGAGGGCACTTCATAACGTGATAAATGCAATGAAGAAAATGATCAAGGACACTATAATAAGGAGTAAGTAACTTCAGGTGGATGGTCAGGGGAGATGCCTCTGAGAAGAAAACCTTACACTGAAATAAGAATAATGATACGGAACAGGCCACCTAAAGATTGGGAGGGTGGGATCCAGAAGTTACCAGGGAGAGGGAGGAGCTAGAGCAAGGGTCCCAAGGCAGAATCAGGCTGGGTGTGTTTGAGGACAGCAAGGAGCCTGCAGTCTGAGGACAGTATGGGAGGAGAACAGATGAGATGGCAAGGGGTCTGAAGAAAAAGAGGACCTAGAGATCATCAATTTTATGAAAAAATAATACTGATAACACATTACTCTTCACATTTATGTGTGGTGCTCCTAATTCACTTGCCAGGAAAATAAAACATGACCAGAATTGAACTGGTTTGAATTGAACTGGATAAAATGCCATACAGCTGTTGTGCTCTGTTCCCTTGTCCACACTCTTGTTTCCTCCTGCTGTTAGAAGAAGGCTGGCAAAGCCCAAGAGGGAGGCCTATGATAGTAGAATAAAGTGAAGATGGTCACACCAGATATGAATAAGGATCTCTGACTTAATACCTATGTACATACATACATGCTCAGCACACAGTAGGAACCTAGTATATGTTAGTTTCCCTTCATAGATTTCTAAGTAAGAATAATACTATAATTCTCCTATAGTCAGTTTTACTTATTAGATTTTAAGAGCATGAAATCAAAAAGGAAAGCAAATCTTTAAATTCTTCTTGTCCAATTAAATCCATAATCCTCTTTATAAATAAAAGTTGAAGTAAAAACACCAATGAGACAGTCATAATATTTTATTCAGTGTAAAGTGAAAGAATAAGACTTTGGCATAGTTATTAATACTTTAAAGAAACATTAATATCCAACGTTCTACAGTTAACAAAGTCATCTGTTTCCTTACATCTATTAAAAATTCCCATTTCTAAAATACTGAATAACAAATAAATGTTACAAACGCTTACTAGTGATGCTTATAAATAAAGAAGAATAAATTTTATGGCTGAGGCAATTCATACGGCCCAGAATAGGTGAAGCAAAGAGGAAATTTGTGAATAACGGTCTTGAATAAAACCAAATGTGCTAAAAATAAAGCTATTTTTAAAGACAACGATAAGGTAATATGGCTAAATAATAAAGGCTGGCTGTGTCCAAGGCTAACTTATAGGGCAATAAGGAGAGAGACGAGAAATAGTTCTTTAAATAATTATCTGTAGATCAATTCTGTTTTCTTAATAAGTATTTACAAACAGTAGTGAGAATGCACTTTGCCATCAGCCAAAATACTAGACTACCTATCACAGAACCTGGAATGTAACGATGTAAGACTGAACTATATAAACTGTCGAGCCCAATTTTAATATTTATTCCTCTGAAATTTTTAGTTTAACAATTACATATGTGAACATCTTACAGGTAAAAATATTCTTTGGCTTAAATTTATTTTTAAATATTTTACTAAAAAGTTATAATTCATTAGTTGGTTACTTACATTTATCCTAATGATGACTTCATTTATACTGAGTCTATTATGTATCAGAAATTTCATATATAAGATTTACTATTCTTATACGACTCTTACAAAGGAGACAGCCATTTTAAAGATAAGGAAACAATCTTACAAAGGAGGTAGCCATTTTAAAGATAAGGAAACTGAGGCTCACAGAGGTAAAATAAATTGTCTATTTTCAAACAGATAGTGAGAGTCAAGATTCCAAGCCAGGTTCACAAGGTCTAAGCCCTAAGCACGGTGTGACACTATTACTTTAGAAAGTGGCATGACTAACTAAGAGGGCTTGAAATGAATAGTATAAAAAATAATAACACAAAGTGACCGGGCGCAGTGGCTCACGCCTGTTAATCCCAGCACTTTGGGAGGCCGAGGCGGGTGGATCACGAGGTGAGGAGATCGAGACCATCCTGACTAACACGGTGAAACCCCGTCTCTACTAAAAATACAAAAATTTAGCCGGGCGCGGTGGCGGGCGCCTGTAGTCCCAGCTACTCTGAGGCTGAGGCAGGAGAATGGCGTGAACTCGGGAGACGGAGCTTGCAGAGAGCCGAGATCGCGCCGCTGCACTGCAGCCTGGGCGACAGAGCAAGACTCCGTCTCAAAAATAAATAAATAAATAAATAAATAAATAAATAAATAAATAAATAAATAAAATAAAATAACTACAAAGTATAGAGTTTATCAGCACATAATCCTATCAGTTATTAAAACCACATTAATATGTGTATTTTATCGCAATTCAACCTAACATTTAAAAACACAATAATGGGAGTATGGTAGTCCCTACTTACTTGGGGGGATATGCCACAAGACCCCCCAGTGGATGTGCGAAACTGTGCATAGTACAAATCTCTACATATACTATGTTTTTTCTTACACATGCATACCCATGATACAGGTTAATCTATAAATTAGGCACAGTAAGAGATTAACAACAGTAAAGATAAAAGAGAACAATTATAACACTATGTCAGCATCACTACTCTTACACTTTGGGGCCATTATTAAGTAGAAAAAAAAAGGTTACTTGAATACAGACATTGTGATACTGTGACAGTCAATCTGGTTAACTGAGATGGCCACTGAGTCACTAACGGGCAGGTAGCATATGCAGCCTGGACAGAGAGATGATTTGCATCTCAGGAGGAAAGGCATGAGAGTTCATCATGCTACTCAGAATGGCATGCAATTTAAAACTCTGAATTATTTATTTCTGGAATTTTTATTTTTTTCAAACTGTGGTTGACAGCAGGTGACTGTGGGTAACTAAAACTGAGGAAACTGAAACCTTGAATAAGGGAGGAAGATTACTCTAATTTTACATGCAGTGATTTTCCCTAATCTAATGAAAGTATAATTATAATTCATAAAATTTTTTGGCTTCATAAACTCAGTTTTTAAAAAAAAATTTAGCTGAAAGTGTAACCAAAAACATGATTTCTCTCATATTCTGTTTGGTTTGCCCCTTATCATCAGTAAACTGGTAGTATCCTTTTATCCTTTCTTAAATCCAAGAGTGAGGGCATTTGAGGGGAAAATCATGTGGACCAATTCCCAGCTTTAGTCTGTAGCTAAACACCATTGTTTCCACCTTCAAGATAAATTGATGGTAAGTAGTGTTCCTTTTATTGTTATTTTATTTTTAAAACAATTTTTATTTTGTAGACAAATAATAATTGCGTATATTTATGGGGTAAAATGTGATGTTTCATTACATGCATACATTGTGGAACAATCAAATCAAGCTAATTAACATATTCATAACATCAAATATTTATCACTTCTTTGTGGTAAGAACATCTAAATCCTCTCTTTTAGCTATTTTGAAATGTACATTATTATTAACTGCAGGCACCATGCTGTGCAATAGATACCCAGCACTTATTCCTCCTCTCTCACTGAAACTTTCTACCCTTTGAGCAAGGTCGCCTCTTTCTCCATCTACTGCCTCCTCCCCAAATCCCCCCCCAGCTTCTGGTAATCCTCACCCTATTTTCTACTTCTGAGTTCAACTTTTTTAGATTGCACATAACAGTGAGATCATGTAGTGTCTGTCTCATTTCACTTAGTATAATATCCACTAAGTTCACCCATGTTGCAAAAAACAAAAAAACCAAGCCAAACCAGTAAGTAGTGTTTCCTAACTGTGTTGCAAAAAGCATAGTTATGCAAGATATAAACTGATGTCTCATATACAAAATAAGAGTGCCATGATTAAATAAGGTCATGTCTTGAGAAAGACAAAATTCAACAACTTAAAGTACTAGCCAATTACATTGCGCATTCCCTATTCTCCTTCCTATGGCTTCCACTAACAGCACTTTATATGAAAATGCTAACCAATCCTCCAAATAATTCTATAACATGGGTACCATTGTTATTTTTATTTTATAAGTAAATTGAGGCTTATGCTACCTGACTGCCTAAGATTGCCTGCTAGTAAAGGGTCCAACTGAGATTCAAATATAAGCTAGTCTCCTTTTAAAGTACTATCCTCAAGCAGCTTTAAGTAGGACTTAAACTCAGTAGGGTATCTCATTGTATTTGAAGAAGGAGATCGAATTGTAAATGTTCCCAAATTTATTTGAACTTAAACCCAATTTACTGTATAACATCTATTAAATGTCATAGAGTATTGGATAAATGCCGTTATGGAAGAATATCCTCCTACAATTTAAAACGTACAAGGTTTCTAAACGTGTGAATGAATTAATGCGGTTGTGGAAACATAACTCTGTTTTAGAATTATGTAACATTTCCTTAAAGCAGGTCAGCTTTGGATATTTGTAATGACCATTTTATAAATACATCACACAGATTCAATGTACAAATATTTGGATGTCTGTGTTTTGAACTCTAGCCTAAATTAACTCATGTCTTTATTTCTTATTTCCAGATGGTGTGTCACAGTAAGTAGGATAAACACAAAAGTAAACAGGAAAGAAGTCATATGACTAATAAAAAGCTCTCCAAAATTTGTTTCTACAGGTACACAACTATTTTGCAGTAAACACATGAGTGGAATTTTATCCTATTATAATTTCTTCTGTTTACAAAATACAGTCTACAAGATTAAGTAGTAGGCACAAAAATAGCGCACTTTTACTGATTTTAGGTTGAGAGATTGCTTTAATTCTAAAACACCCACATTTTAATTTATATAAACAAAATCATCATAGGTTAAACAAATGTAACATTTTTCCAACCTAATATCTAGATTAGATAAAAATCTTTTTTTTGGCATGGGGGTTGCAAAATTTAAAAAGAAATGTGCTTAATTAATGTTTTAAATAAGTTGTGGCTAAAAGTTTTAGTTGGTATTCTTTAAAATAGGAATTTTAAGGAGGACCTTATGAACCAAAATTATCACAATTTGTGATAAATGTTTTAACTTTTCATTCCAAACATATGATTATTCTAAAAATTGGAAACAACCAGAGGGAGGTAAATCAGATCTATCTTTGTAAGGACTCTTTCTGAAAAAGCACTAGTTCATTCAGTAAATTCAGTCTAAAATGAAATTATTTTTAGCAATGTTGGCCTGTAAAGCATAAAGTTGAATGAATCTGTGAACTGACTGAACTAAATTTTTTAATGAAATCAATACCCCATATACATTTTTCAACTGAATACATAAAAATGAATAAAGTGTAATTTAAATGAAATACACACAATGAAATAAAATGTAAAGTTCTTTCCAAACGTCATTAATTTAAAATAATTTTAGCTTAGAACATTTTCAGGTATCTCAAAAAAATTGGTTTATATAATGCCATATTTGGGGATGATATATTTCCTTATGTTATTTTATGAAAACTGCCTATAACTCTTCTTTCAAAGGGCACTAAATGAAGAAAGGAGTCGACAAGGTGGTGTACAACTATTATTCTCCAAATGCGAACACCCGCAATCAACTCATATTCTTTTATTTTTTTTTTGAGATGGAGTCTGGCTCTGTTGCCCAGGCTGGAGTGCAGAACCAAGCACATTATAAGTACTCAGTAAACCTAAGTGAATGAAAGAATGAACAAAAGACAGAAAGAAGATGAAAATTCCTCCTTTCTCACTGAAACTTTCTAAAATAGTTTAAAAGGAAGAGGCATACATCCTAAAGTTGCCAAATTTAGCTAAAAAAATACAGGATGCCCGGTTTAATTTGAATTTCAGATAATCAACAAATAATTATTTAGTGTACATCCTAAATGCTGCAAGAATGATATATAAATTATCCATATACATATTTAAAATTCAAATCTAACTGGGTATTCTGTATTTTATCTGGTAACCCCAACACCACCAAATCTACATAAAATATTGCAAAACTTCCAGGAAGTTGTTAAAATGTGGAGTGTAGACCTCGTGCTGTGAAAACTACATAAGGAGCTGGTGCAATCCAAGTAATAATGTAAAACAAATAGAATAAAGTATACACAAAGAAAACTTCCATTTTTACATAAGCAAGTGGATGACTAAGAAAACCAAGGGCTAAGGGGAATGGTATGTGGCCAAGGGAAAAGCTTGGAAGCAATGTCAAGAAACCTGTGTCCCAATCTCAGCTCTGTTGAGAAATTTTAGGCAAAGATGACAGAATTATCTCCTTTGATCTTCGCTTTCTATAGAGTAAAATAACTGAAGATTCTCTATATATCGACATGCTCTATGAATTTGTAGTTTTTTTAAGCTCATCATCATTAATCTATAAAGCATACGTTTCTAGAAGAGACATATTTAATTGGTATTGCGATGGCAATAAGCATAGTTATGTGACTAAACAAGAAAAATAATGTCACTGAATGTATGGTTAAGTGTATTTTTATTTTGGATGAATTTAAAAAGAGATATTGACTTTATAACAATTAGAATTTCATTATAGTTAATATATTAGTTAATATGCTATATAACATAGTGAATCCTGTTGGGATTACCGGTATATAATCAGACATACCTCATATCCTAGAGTTTGATGCCATAAACATAACACAAAATATAATGAGTTTGCACTAATCTTGTTTAAACAACAGGGGTCATTTTTGCCTCTGTAATACCTTTTAAGGGGTCAAGCAACAAATAGAAACAACAATACCAAAACAACAACAAAATCCAAAGCTATATCCTAAATTTCACAAGTATGTTCTAGGTATGATGCTTAAACAAAAGGCAGTAGAAAAATTTTTTGGAAATATCCCATTTAAGTTTTTACTGCATCTAATCAAAATGTCCTTAGACATAGATGATTGAGGAATGACATTTGGACGTTAAGGAAAAGATGATGGTGTGGTGAAATATAAAAATTTAAAATGACAGAATTATCACCAAAAAATTATTGTATATTGATTGGTCACCAAAGCAAATTTAACTTTATAACAGGCATGGAACTGAAAACCAAAGGGAATTATTCTTGAGGATCTGGCTAAGTGACAAACCTGAAAGTGACAAGGTTCTTGCTGGGCAGTTTTAAGAAAGTTACCTAACCTTTCTGAGAACTGGAGAGATAGTTCCAATAGCCTAGTGAACACTACAGGCTGGCTTACTCAAGCCCTATGTTGCACTAGGGAGTCAGGCTAAGAATGTGTTTGCCAGATTCCCTTGCAGCTCGAGTTCTCCTGAGACCTGGCCTCTGCCAAAGAGAAACAGTCAGTCACATAAAATCTGAAACAGAAAATGAGACAGAAGCTACATTTCCACTATTTCTGCTGCCAAGCACAGTTGCCAACACATTTGTGGGGATGATTCTGAAGTGGTTTTTGAACCATTCCTGAAAGCTCAGCCTAAAGCTTGCTCCCTGAAGGTTTGGAACGATTTTATAAGCACCTAATTCCCTTATTTAAATTCCTGAAAGTTTGGAACGATTTTATAAGCACCTAATTCCCTTCTTTAAATCCCTTTCAGAAAATAGGAAATAGTTTCCAAATTTCTGCAACTGAACTGTGACCAGTACAGAGAAGATCTAACATCTCCCTCAATATTTTTTTTATTTTTTATTTTTTTGAGACAGAGCTTCACTTTGTTGCCCAGGCTGGAGTGCAGTGGTGCAATATTGGCTCACTGCAATGTCTGCCTCCCAGGTTCAAGCGATTATTGTGCTTCAGCCTCCTGAGTAGCTGGGATTACTTAGTAGAGACGGGGTTTCACCATGTTGTCCAGGCTGGTCTCGAACTCCTGAGCTTGGGTAATCCACCAGTCTCGGCCTCCCAAAGTGCTAGGATTACAGGAGTGAGCCACTGCTCCCCGGCCGTCCTCCTCAATATTATTAATGAAAATTTTCTATACTGACATGTCTAGGCCATTTCCTCTCCAATGTAAATTTTTCTTTAAAAAAAAATCCAGGCCAGGTACGGTGACTCACACCTGCAGTCCCAGCACTTTGGGAGGCTAAGGTAGGAGGATCACTTGAGCCCAGGAGTCTGAGACCAGCTTGGGCAACACGGCAAAAACCTGTCTCTACAAAAACTACAAAAATTAGCTGGGTATGGTGGTGTGCACCTGTAGTCCCAGCTACTCAGGAAGCTGAGGCAGGAGGATTGCTGCAGCCCAGGAATTAAGGATGCGGTGAGCCATGATTGTGCCACTGCACTGCAGCCTGGGTGACTGGGTGAGACCCTGTCTCAAAAATACAAACAAACAAACAACAACAAAAAAAAAACCCTAGTCATTTGAAGCCCTTCACACATTAAATGCAGGTTGTAATAACTGATAATAAATGAGTAAGTGTTAATAATAATTAAAATGCTTCTCTCCAGAGAAGGAATAAAGATCTCCTGCATTAGCTCCCACTAATTATATTTGTACACTTACCTGCTACAGCTGCATCCAGTTCATCATCATCAAAGGAGTCCTGTGTGGCAAAGTCACTCAAAGGAGACAGTGGATAAGATGTATTGAGATTCAAGCCCAGCATGAAGTTGTGTACCTTCCCAGCACGTCCTTCTCTGGTATTGAATAAAGCTGAATCACTCACCAAGGCCATTATCATACGATGAATCCAACTTGCTTGATTATCACTTTGATAGTCACTTCCAGCATCTTCATTTTCAGTGCCTAGGGAAAAATAAAAGGTCACCATACAGACTCCAAAATACATGTTTAAAAAGGGATCTTTGGGCTGGGCACGGTGGCTCACGCCTGTAATCCTAGCACTTTGGGAGGCCAAGGCGGGCGGATCATGAGGTCAAGAGATTGAGACCATCCTGGCCAACAAGGTGAAACACCATCTCTACTAAAAATACAAAAAAAAAAAAATTAGCTGGTCATGGTGGCGTGCACCTCTAGTCCCAGCTACTCGGGAGGCTGAGGCAGGAGAATCGCTTGAACCCGGGAGGCGGAGGTTGCAGTGAGCCGATATTGCATCACTGCACTCCAGCCTGACGACAGAGCAAGACTCTGTCTTAAAAAAAAAAAAAAAAAAGGGATCTTCTTTGGATAATTGAATGTTAAAATTAACAATAAAGCTCTATATTTGGTTTAACATGTGTATTTGCCTAAATTAATATTGCAGTTAATCATTTTTGTTCTTAATTTGTTCTTAGTTCTCCTTTTACCTACAGTGCGTGTAAGGGGTATATTCTCGACAGTGCCACTTGATCTATGCTCAGATTTCCAGGTAAATTTCTTTCATGTTCCCCCTTCCCTTCTTTCCTGAATTGATTTCTTCCTTTTCTCTGGCTTCAAGTGCACGCACTTGCATGCACACATATAACTTACACACAGAAAATCCAGTGGTTAATTCTATCCTCTACATTTCTTAAGTTACCTTAAGAAATCTTACCCTGTTTAACAAACATTCAGGATTTCTGCAAAATGAGGAGAGAGAGCTAAAGGATTCAACATATATTTGCTACTAAATAAACACCCTTATGACCTATTGATCTTATGACCTGTCATTTCATCCTTGCTTATAAAGTTTGGGGATTTAAAAGCCTTTAATTTAAACAAATGCCTAAACATTTTAAAATTCAGCAATCACCCCAAAGAAGCAGTTTTAAATGACTTTTTCCTTACCACCTATGCATACACCATTACTCCTGGGAAATTATATTGTATGGTCATTTATAGCACTGCCTCCAGAATCAGAATCCTTGGGTCTCAACCCTCTCTCCACTATTTTCTAGTTACTTTCCCCTTCTCTTCCTCCATTTCCTCACTGATAAACCTCCTAAAGTTGTGAGAATTAACTGTGTTTGTGCATCTATGTAATGTTCTTAGAAAAATGCCTGGCTCGTATTAAATTCTTAATAAACACTAGCTAGCAGCAGAAACAGTTGTAGCAGCAGCAGCAGAAGCATCATAATCATCAATCTTATTTATTCATAATCAAAATCAAAGAATAATTTATGGTAATGTATAACTTCACCTGCCTAAACCCCGTTTTTTTCTGATTTCTAGGAACCCTGTATATAAATAGTCACACATTTATAAAACTGTGTGTGTATGTGTGCGTGATTGTGTGTGTGTGTGTTGAAATAAAGAGAAAAAAGAGATTCTATAGTCAGCTTCATAATTTCCAATAAATGTAAACTAAACATACATAAAACCATAATAAATATATATTTTTATTACACTTAAAATTATAGGGTACATGTGCACAATGTGCAGGTTTGATACATAGCTATACATGTGTCATGTTGGTTTGCTGCACCCATCAACTCATCATTTATATTAGGTATTTCTCCTAATGCTATCCCTCCCCCAGCCCCCCACACCCTGACAGGCCCTGGTGTGTGATGTTCCCCACCCGGTGTCCAAGTGTTCTATTGTTTAATTCCCACCTATGAGTGAGAATATGTGGTGTTTGGTTTTCTGTCTTTGTGATAGTTTGCTGAGAATGATGGTTTCCAGCTTCATGCATGTTCCTGCAAAGGACATGAACCCATCCTTTTTTATGGCTATATAGTATTCCATGGTATATATTTGCCACATTTTCTTAATCCTGTCTACCACAATGGACATTTGGGTTGGTTCCAAGTCTTTGCTATTATGAATAGCGCCACCATAAACATACATGTGCATGTGTCTTTATAGTAGCATGATTTATAATCCTTATCTTCACAGGTATTTGTTTAACTGAGCTGAGTAAATGAAGAGATCTTTCATTCAGTAACCAGTCCAGATGACTATATAGTCACCAAAAACAAATACACTACTTTCTACTCTTACACTTTTCTAATGCCAAACAGGACAAAATATGTCTTTTACTAGAACAATTCAGGCTTTAAAGTGAACGATTTCTATCTCTAGTTACACAGCATATAAATAGGATATGCAATTATTTCCAAAGATTTTGGGGCTGTCGCTTCTTACTTTTCTTCTTCTTATTCAATAAGCCCTCACTTCCATACCAGGATACCTTTGATAATGGCATCACTTGTGGGACAAACCCAACAGTCAACATATAAATGATACTTATTGCTTATTAATCATAACAGTAATAGTACATTTCTATTTGCATCGCCCTTTACAACTTAGAGCCCTTTTGTATGCATTTGCTAAATTAATGATTGCAACAATTCTGTGAGAGAAGGTAAATGGTTCCAGGATAGGTCTGAAGAAACTAAAGCTGAAAATGCCTAAAACTTTGCTCAAAATCATATGACTAAACATGAAAGAGCCTCAAGAGAATAAAAGGATAACCCACAGATTGAAAGAAATTATTTGCAACAGACATATTTGATTTAAAACATGTAATATAAAACATACAAAGAACACTTTAAATTCAATAATAAGAAAATAACCCCAATCCAAAAATGGGCCAAAGGCCTGAACTGATACCTCATCAAAACGATATACAGATAGCAGATAAGCATATGAGAAGATGCTTCAAGTTAAATGTCATTTGAGAAATGCAAATTAAAACAATAAAAAGATACTACTACATACCTATTAGAATGACCAATATCCAAAGCACAGGTAATACCAAATGTTTAAAAGATGTGGAGCAACAAGAACTCTCATTCATGGCTGGTAGTGGAATGCAAAATGGTACAGCCACTTTGGAAGACCATTTGGCAGTTTCTTACAAAACTAAATATACTCTTACCATATGATCCAGCAATTGTGCTCCATGGTATTTACCCAAATAAACTGAAAAATCTGTGTCTGCACCAAAACATGTACATAGATTTTTCTAGCAGTTTTATTCATAATGTCCAAAACTTGGAAGCAAACTTCAAGTTTTCCAAGTTCACCTTCCTCAGCAGGTGAATGAATAACTAAACTGTGGCACAACCTGACAATGTAATATTATTCAGTGCTAAAAAAATAAGCTATGAAGCCAAGAAAAAACATAGAGGAACTTTAAATGCACACTACTAAGTGAAAGATCTGAAAAGGCTACATTATTGTTTGATTCTGACTACATGACATTCTGGAAAAGGCAAAACTATGGAGAGAGTAAAATGATTAGTGCTTGTTAGGGGTTGGGGGAGGAGGGGACGGGGCAGGAGACAGGATTTTTAGAGCAGTGAAACTAGTGTGTGTGACATGTATAATGATGAATATATGTCATTACATATTTGTCAAAACCCATAGAATATACACTAACAGTGAGTCCTACTGTAAACTATGGACTTTGACTGATAATAATGTCAATTTAAGTTCATCACTTGTAACAAATGTACCACTCTGGTGTGGAATGTTTATAGTGGGAGAGGCAGGGGTGGTGGAAGGTGGACAGGGGACATATGGGAACTCTGTACTTTGTGCTCAGTTTTGCTTTGAGCCTAAAACTGCTCTAAAAACTCTATGTAAAAGAGAAAAAATAAATACTAAGAGCCGAAAAGAAAACCTTAACCACATACTACATATCATGCTGTAAGCAAGGCTGATCCTAAAACCAAAGCAGCCATATTCAACAGTCCTTGAACTTCTCAGCCTTAAGACTCAGCTAGTACTGTAGGGGTTATCAAATGTACTGACTATCTATAGAAATACTTAATAATGGAGAAACCATTATTCTGTCTCCTCAGTAGTCCCTAAATCAATACACAAATAATTCTAAAGATGCTAGGCATGTGATAGCTATCCCCTTTACAATAGCTAGCTTCCTTCATTAAAAGGAAATTCAAAACAAAAAGGACTTAAACAACTAAAATATATATAAATTTTAAATTTTAAAAATGAAGGAGCCAGGATGAAGACTTGCTTGCTTCCAGGACAGGGTTCTTTTGGGGTTCCTGCTTAATGATCAGGGCTGCTGGTCATTATTTGATTAGGCAGATCATGGGCTACATAACGCAGCAGGATAGGGGGGCAAATCAGGGCTGAACCCAACTTGCACTCATCTAGCCAAGCCTCATGCCCAGATGAAAGCGTTGGCTGCCCAGGGAAGGAATCCTCTTTTTTAATGTTCGCAAGACAACATACACTAGCCAAGCCATGGCCCTGTGCAGCTACATTCTCCAGAGAAGGCAGCTTTTCTTTAATTTACACAAACACATCTTCTGAGGAAGTAATAGCCCAGCTATGAAAAAAGAATTTTAATTTTAGTAATAATTAAGCAAGGATAAAACAGGCTCTTCCATGCCTAGTGGAATTAATTAAGTTTTGGACCAGAAAGCATTTAATATCTTCTAAAATCTAGATGATCATATTCAAACTGTAATAGGACAGATATATCCAGTTCTTATAAAGCCTTCCCTTTGTTTTGTTTTTTGTTGTTGTTGTTTTTGTTTTTGTTTGTTGGCTTTTTTTTAACTATTGGGAACATTTTTATAAATGGCTGTCTCAAAACACTGTGTCAAAATAATCTATTTTACCACAAAACATTTACAACAAATATGACTTTCATATTTGTTGCAAATCTGATCCTCACCTTATCTCTGCCCCAAGTCCATCACTGACTATCATAATCCACACCAAACTGCAAACTACCTTGTCAAAATGTAAAAGGGCTCATTTATACTATGAAATAATATACGTATCAAGTTCTTGATACTTTTACCCCACTTCATCACTAATCCTTTCTCAAGAGGGAGGGTGTAGCCAGTGGGATAAGGGTCAGGAATGGAGTGAGAATATAATTTTTCATGTTACTTAATAACAAAATTCTGAAAGACAAAATGTTAATTTTTAAAGCCATCTAAAAATGTTCCCAAATCACAGTAACCATGCTGAGAAGCCTAGTGCTCTAATCAGACTTAAAATAGAATTCAGCATTTCTACCATCTTGGATCTGTTCATTTGTTCAACTTATAGTATTTTTGAGGTATTAAAACAAAATAAATTAGGGATTTATATGTGCTGCCTATTTTATTAGACATGCAACATGCAATCCTCTCTCTCAACAGAAAGCTACAATTTTATCACTTCCGTGTCTGAAGTGAAGATTACCATCAGCATCTTGAGTGAGAAAATCAGACAGAGTGTTCATATCCTTTCCTCATGGATCTGGGCCAGAAAAGTTTCCGGCTCACTCACCTTTGGGTTCGTGTGATTCATCATCACTGTCCGAGCTATCATTACTCACAATATGCTTTGTGGTAATATTTTCTGTGAAAAGAAAACAAAAAAATTGAAGCATTTCAGGTGTCAAAATTAACAATTAATTTTAATATAAAAAAGTAATCTGAGCAAAACCACAGAGTGAGATCTACTAGCTCTACTAGTATAAATTTAAATCCATTTAATAATTCTAGATTTATTAGATTTAATCATGTTCTCAGATTTCTCACTGGAAACAAAATTTCCTGGGACATGAAAAATTAGTTTATATTTATTAATTCATGACTTAAAGAGGATAATTTTATGTTTATCATAATTCTGACAAAAATAACAACTTGATTATAGGAAGCTCCTTGTTATACCAAAAAATATGCCTTTTTCTTTATTAGATATTTTTAAGTGGTGTTTATGAAGATAAAGGATAAAACCAAAATCTACAGGTGAGCTACCAAACAGTTTTCTTAAAATGAATGAAAGATACTAACATAAATTATCTTTTGACTTTCAATAATATTGAAAATTGTCAGTTGAAATTCACCTTTTGGTGTCAAGAATTTGTGCTTCCTGCAGAACATATTAAGAGAGCAGTTATAAAAACTAAAATAACAACCAGAAATCCTTAAAACAAAGACAGCAGTAAATTCTAGCATAATAACTAGTTATCTTTCTTCTTTATGTTTTTTAAATGGTTACCCAGGCTGGCCTGCAGTGGCATGATCTCTGCTCATTTCAACCTCTGCCTCTGGGCTCAAGCAACCGTTCCACCTTAGCCTCCTGAGTAGCTGGGATTATAGGCATGGACCATCATGCTTGGCTAATTTTTTTAATTTTTTTTTTTTTTTTTTGGTAGAAATGAAGTCTCACTCTATTGCCTAGGCTGGTCTCAAACTCCTGGACTCAAGTGATCATCCTTCCTTGGCCTCCCAAAGAACTGGGATTACTGGTGTGAGCCACAGTGCCCAGACTAGTTGTCTTTTTTCAAGTAAAATGTGCGTGAATGAGCAAGAGTTAGTAATGGAAGGGTTAATAAATGCTTAAGGCAATGGATTGACATTTATTTTTTAAGTTTTTACTGGCATGATTATACATAAAAAATTTGATTAAATGTTCACAAGCTAATATTATTAGTTTCATTTCATGGCTATCATCAATAGTAATTTTGTTACACAGAGGTGTGGGAGATGTTAAGAAATGATCTATCCCAGGTGCCATATACATTAGGTGTGTTTCTAGTCCTACATTTATTTTCTTTTCCTTCCTTAAGTATTTTCTTTCTTTCTATTGCCTTTCTTTCTTTCTTCTTTCTTTTTCTTTTTTCTTTCTTTCTTTCTTTTCTTTCTTTCTCTTTCTTTCTTTCTCTTTCTTTCTTCTTTCCTTCCTTCCTTCCTTCTTTCTCTTTCTTTCTTTTTCCTTCTTTTTCTTCTTTCTTTCTTCTTTCTTTCTTTCCTTTCTTTCTTTCTGTCACATATGATAGTTTAAGAAAATAGTTCACCAAAATACTGTCTTATTTGTAAGGAAGAATTCACGATATGAATAGCTAACTATTCTGAATTTACATATTTTCCATCCTAGTATAATGTACAACTCCATCTCTCAAAAGTGTAAATTTTTCACATTCATTCAAAACTCCTTAGAGAGTAAGTAGTTTCATTCAGAGTTACCTGATTGTAGCCCAATTTACCTTAAAGTCTTTCTTCAGAAGGAAGAAAACAAAAAAGTAAAAATCATCTCTGAACACTCCTTTAGGAGATAGACTTCAGTCAGCCAAAGGATAGAGTAGTCACCAGGAGTCCTCAGAGTCCTCTTGGTCACCTCTCTGGTTTCATTTCTGGAAATCCTTACTTAATCTGAGGTAACATGCTTCCTGCTGACTGGCGGATCACACATACACGATATTCCCCCTCAGTCTGACACACAGTCCGAGTCAATAAGCTGCCAGACTGCCGGCCTCTAAAGAAACTTCTCAACAAAGAACCTTCTCAAAACTACCTAGTATAAACCTCCTCCTTTTCCTTGGCTTTTAGCCACTGTCTCACCCACATTCAGATCTGTTATTTCAGTCCTATTCTCTTCCTGCCTTAAGAAGAAAAAACAGCAAACCCTGGGTTATCTGGATTATTCAACAGAGGGGCACAGGAAGCAAGCCTCAATATGTGATCTTCTCTTTCTTCTTCTTTTTTTTTTTTTTCTAAAATCTTCACATAACTTAGAGAAAGGGTTTGTTATTTCCACAAAGAGTTGGGAACAGGACATTCATCTGGGATATAATGTTCATTAAAAGAAATCAAGTAAGATCATTTTATCATTATACACATTGCCTTGCAGTTACTCTTAGGAGAATGTGCCCCGTGGTAAATGTCACAGCAGGCTCATGGGTGCCACCTACCTTGTTTGCTCATTAACTGGGTGATGATCAGAGGACAGAAAATAAACAAACACAAGGTGCCTTATTTGTGTGTTTGTTTTTATTTTTATTTTAAAATCTTTGGCTCCAATGAAATTATAAGATAACTTTTCCATTATTCATTAAGAACTAACAAAAATACAAATGACACTCTTGAAAATATTATGAACTACAGGAGTTTACCACACTAAATACAAATATTAAATAAATTATCAAATAACTAAAATCAATTGTAGGAGCAGTGGAAATACTGCTTATAAGCCAACTTAATGTTCCAATTAATGTTACAATTGTATTCTCTTTTGCATGTAAACTTAATTAAATCAACTGACATTGCCTGGGATAACCAAGGACAGCTTGTTTAAAATTCCTGCAGGAAGCTTTTTGTATGCAAGCATTCTTCAAATAAATTAATTATTTAAAAAGTCATCAATGTTATTCTGTCGACTTCTTTGTTCTCAGATAGATCTTTGCTACTTCCCAGATAGAGAAGAGATAGTAGGTAGTTGTGTTGATAGTCCATCAGGCACTTCTCCCAGGTCCCTGCTGTTATGGCTCCAAATTCAGATTTAGCATGCCACCATTTCTTTATGCTATCAGTCAAAACAGTCAACCCAAAAATTAATGTTGATTAAAATACAGGTGGCAAGGCTTTTGGAAGAAACTGAATATAAATTTTTTGTTTGCTTTAAGTCAAATTTATTAATTTAAGAAAACATGTTTCTATGGTATTCCTATAATGAATGAAAACCACTGGTCCCCAGTTGAGATTGTCTACTTTCTCAGGTTTTGTAAATATTCGTAATTTATTATAGGCCAATAGGTTAGATTTAATGAAAATCATTAGTTTAAGTGTACTAGAGGTGATTTGATTTTTTTCCTTCTTTTGGGTATAGATTAATATAAGATGCTAACAGAATTCTGGTGAGTTAATATTTAAGGGTTAAATAAACTGACAAGCATAAGCTTCAGTGTTACATTGTATTTAGCTGTTGGTGAATCTAATCTTTAAAAAGCTATTCTTATTTGATAAAAAGAGGACTTTCTAATACAAATAGTATGTTTAGCAGTATAATGCGAAAAAGGAATAGAGATGTGTTCTATTAAAAATTACTCTTAGAAATCAATGATTTTTATGAGTTTTATAACCTCAGTGTCAAAATAATACTTAAGAAGTAACATATTATTTTTAGGAAATATTTAGATTGATTCAACCAAATTATTAATAAATTTAGAATAGTTGAAATATTTACAAAGATTTAATATTCTCTCTATATATGTCAATAAACTTTATCAATGTAGCAAGATTTGTATCAATGTAAGCATATCTTTAGGATACCTAATTCTTCCTCCATTGTGGAGCCTCTGCTTTGTGAACCAGAAACGCCCAAAACTCTGTTGAACAATATGGAAAAGGCACTGCCCCAGACACCTAAAATAAAACAGAAACAGAAAATAACTTAAAATATCCCAGGTTTCAAAATAGTCAAGCAAGTCAATGATATATTTTTATTTTGATCACTTACCCATTAAGAAATGCAAGGGGTTTTCTTCATACTTCTTAACGACTGTTCCCATAAAAAATTTGCTTCCAAATAAGTCGGGAGCCATAAAAGTACCATATTTAGCCATGCCAATTTCGTATGGACTAAATTCAACCCAATCTGAAAGTATTTTAAAAACAAGGCAATCCATTAATAGGAAAATGCTATGGCATGGTGTGCACAATTAATGATCACTTTAATAATGTTATGCTTATTCTCATTCATGTATTTAAAATATCAAAATGAAAACATTAGCCAAATGCCCATTATGTATATGACATTGTGTAGAAGTTGGGGGAAAAACGCTTAGAGGTGAATAAGACAAGACGATACAAAAAGATCCCTTCTAATTTGCAGAAATTAGATGCACTTTTCTATTTAAAAACTCAGATGTCTTTTTGAAGCCAGTTTTCATTCTACAGAACAGGAAACTGAAAACTGCTAACTAGATATAAATTTCATGGAGCATACAGAATAAATTAAACTCTTCTAAGCAATTCAAACAGTTTATTAAAATGAAATAAAATGTTTTCTAACATTTATCTTTTCTTCACCTTCACTTCAATTTTGCTCACTAACTGTCTATTCTAACTCCACAAGATTGCAATACAAAGTTTTTAGGTTGAATGCCTTAGAAAAACATGGTAATAGTGCCAGAGATGTATACTGTCTAAGCGCGGGGGCTCTGGAGCTGGACTGTCTGGGATCAAATCCTATTTTGCTGCTTATGAGCTGTGCTTACTGACTTGGGTATTATTCTCTCTGTCTTAGGTCCCTAATCTATAAAATGTGAATAAAATCACATATCACAAGTAGATAGTGTGTAGGATTGTTTTGAAGATCCACTGAGTTAAGAAATGTAAGGAGCTTAGAAGAGGACATAGCACATTTTAATTGCTCAATAAATAGTAGCCACTTTATGTTTCATGTATTCCCATGGCTACGACTATGTCTAATTATCATCTGCATCTTGATGTCTTCAGCAAGAACTCCTGGTTTCTGATTCCCATTTTCTACATTTGCAACTCCTTCATTCTTCTTCTTGTTGGTAAATGGTACTATATTATTCATGCCACTACTCACTTCAGGATTACCCTTGATGGTTCTCTTTTCCCTTATAGCTTACACAGGAAAAATCAAGTGCTGTAGGCTCTATCACGAGGTATGTTTAGAACCTGGTCACTTATCCATTTGTCCACTGTGATCGTACTGATACAAATTGCTGTATTCTCTCTCCTGGACCTCCACAATAACCTCCTAAAATGCTTCTACTCTGTTCACTTATTATCTTTTTGATATCCCATAGCCAGAATAAATCTTTAAAAATATAAATCACAGCACACCAGTGTCATCTGAAAGCTTCCCATTACACTGAAAATAAAAACAGGGCCGACAAGTTTCCGTCCTGGCCTAGATCCCACTCCCTGTGTGATGTGACCACATCCCTCCTAACAATGTTCTATCACATTTTGTCTTGCGTATCCCACTTCACTTCAGCCACACGGCACAGATCTTCTTGCTGTTCCTCAAAGAAGTCAAGTTCATTCCCACTTCAGCACCTTACACTTGCTATTCCCTTCTGCAGTTATAATGCTTGCTCCTACTTAATCTTTATTTTAGGGTCTTTGCTGATGGTCCATTTTAAAATCCCAACATCATCCACCCCTGCCCAACTCATAATTCTCTAACCCACTTCATTTTTTTTTCTAGCTTTTCTCTTTCTGAAATTATAATATGTCTGTAATATCTTATCCAACAATACAAAATCCAAACAATTCAAAAATTCATAAGCTTCTTTGTTACTCATTTGTTTGTAAAATCTAATCTGAATTCATTTAGTGAGAAATCAGGCTTGAATGTTAGTGGGGGCTCTTATAATTCATTTATCCCACTCAATGTGGATATTTATATATCCTATTGGAGAAATATCACTGATTATAAGAACCCAATGGGGTATTAGGTAATACACAATATGAGTATCTTTATATCTCCAAAATCCAAACATTTTGAATTCTAAAACACATGTCACCAAAGGTTTGGAAAAGGAATTGTGGATCTATATTTATTGTTTGTTCAATGGTAGGTCACAACACCTTCCTTTCATGAAGGAAGTGATGAAATCACAATTTTGATAACATTGTAATTCATTATATGTCAAAGCCAAATGGTACATATATTCTTCATCAGAAAGTGGTGTGATTTACAACGATTTACGTGGAATTTGTGAGACATAACTAGCAATGAATCAGAGGCTGTTAGGAAAATTCCTGTATTCATACAAGTAATTTCCTATCTCTCAATTTCACAACCCTATCATGGGAACTGAGGCATAACAACTTCCTGGTTCCTGCTTTTCTAGCGATCTCTTCTTGATTAGCGCCATGGCCTGGGCACATAGTAACTTAGGCATTCTCAAAAGCTAAAATGAGCTCTGCACCCCTCACTGAAGAACTCACGGTGTTAGTTTTCAACTAATTCTCTCCTGCTGGTGACTCTACCTTTTGACTCCAACCTCTCTCCTGCGCTTCCATGTACTTTCAACTTCCTTTGGGGCCCTTACACTCAGATATTCTGTCATCTCCTCCCACTATACTTACCTAGATAAGAACTCATCACCCTTCTTCCCGGGCCAGCTTACCTATTTCAGTAAACCATGCTATCACTCTATCAAATCCATCATTGCATCACACCGATAACCTTTAGGCCTCTCATATCCATCTATTCTTTTCTTATCAGTATGTCCCTAGTTCCAGGGCCTTATCACAAAAGCACAGTGATATCTCTGCTTCCAGTTTCATTCCTTTCCATTCTGTTTTTATTGGTCACCAAAGTGACTTTTTCAAAAACACTACATAAATAATTTTATTGCCCTGCACAAAAGCATTAACTATTTCCATTATCATCAAAATCAAATAAAAATATTTCTGTCTGGAATTAAAATCATTCCATAACTTGGGACTATTGGTGCCTCCAAATACAACACCTTTTCTTCACCAATGTGTGCATAAGTCCTAGACTAGTTGTTTTTTTTAATAGTGATGCCCAAAACATAACTCTGGCTTCCCTTCTGAGCATTTTCTCATATTGTTTCCACACAAAGGTATCTTTTTACCCGTACTTGATAGATCCTTCTACATTCGACTTAAATCCAAGTTTCATCACCCTTTCTTACAACTATACTAAATCTCTATGACATCTCACCCTTATGTCAGGTCTACACACTTATGTCAGGTCTAGGTATATTATAGGAATTTTTCCATGCTTTATTTTTGTCTCTTTCAATAGGATTATAACTTTCTTGAGGAAAAATACTATATTTGTACTTCTAAAGTGTCTGTCAAAAAATTTAGCATGATGCTAAGTTCATAACCATAAGTTGTAATCCATAAATGCAGTTTATTCACCAGTGGAAATTTTTAAATGAACGTTTTAAGTCCTTTCAGCAATGTGATGTAGTGGAGGAGTCAGGAATTTCTAACAGTTTAAACACCAATGTTTATTTGTTGAAAATTTCCAAGAAATTTCTAAATGAAAGGTGTGTTTAAAATTATTCCAAGAGGAAGGGAAAATATTATCCGGTATTGTTGAAGTAAAATTGTTAATAAAGCTTCTGTAAGCTAATTTGATTATTTGACTTTTAAAAATATAATTCAGAGACTATCTCAACTTTTTCTTCTACACAGCCACTTTCAATCTAAGCATATATTGGAAGAATAAATTACAGACGTGTCTCTATTCTTTTTTTCCCAGTAACTCAAGTAAAGCTACTTGAACACTCAAGACATGTACCTTAAGATGTCTTATCTGGGTACAAGATTCATATAATTAATGTTTAATGATTTTGTCTAAATCTGTTGGAAGACACAGCTCAACCCGCCTTATGACAGAAGCTTAACAATGAAGGTTAATGATGCACCACTCATCTCAGTAGCAGTACTGCAGTGAAGCAGATGTCAAAAGAAGACACATCCAGGTCCAAAGACTACTAACTGAATATAAAACAGCATTTTTTCAGTCTAAAAGAACCCAGAATATCCACTCACCCAAATATTATTTATTCTTTAATTATTTTAGTTAAGTTTTCTTGGAAAATGGCTATTGACTAAAAATTCAGAATAAAATATAACCACCGTGAAAAGTCCAGAACAATCATGACAATAAAAACAAACTTTTATATTTGTATGCCTCTTTATAGTTTTCAGTCTCATCTTATGCATATTTCATATTATTGCCTTAATAGCTCTGGAAGATAAATCTTAGGGTTAATATATTTTTTAAAATAAGGAGGAAAATAAGAATCAGAGATTACATGACTAGCCTGAGGTATTCAGCTTAGAAGTATTGTAAGACAAGGCTTTTAAATTAGAATGTAGTGTTCTTTTGACCATGTAATTCTTTCTGGGTGAAGGATGATTTATTTGGCCATGCAAAAATCTGACTAGCATGCAAGTGTTATAGATCAAACAATTCCAAAAATTTCAAAGCTCCACAAGATAATAGCTATGGCTGGGGGGAAGCAATTTCATTATGGCGCTTACTTTTCTATGTAATAAAGTCTCAACTCTCTACTATGAACCCCATTATAGCCCAAGATGTGTGGTTCCTTGTTGCCATTGAGCACACCTGAGTTATCCCTGACCCTGCTACATGCCCCCTTCCACAATCCAATAATTAAATGTGCCTTTCATATTCAAATCCTATTAATCTTTAAGATCTAGACCTCTGACTTTTCTTATACAGCTTTCACAGAACATTCTAAATTGTTAAAATGTACTGGAAACTTATTATTAGGGCCTGCCATTGTTTACATACTTTGTCTCATTTTTTGGCAAAACATTGTGAGAAGTCTCATCTTCACTTAACAGATGAGAAAACTGGGTCTAACGTAGATTATATAACTTGGTCAAAATGACAGTGTATAGTAACAGTTCTGTACTCTCTTGTGCCTTAACTTCTTTAATAATTATTGTAAATTTTCCAAACAGACTATAAGGTCTTATAGGGTAGGGACAATATATTGTGGTGAGGAAAGAGGAATTCATCCTTAGCGCCCGGCAGACTGCTGCAATCTATATAGACGGTAATCACTATGTACACATCAGAAGTTAGTATGGTAAAATAAAAAGAACAAAGGATTTTTGAAACCAATTTCAGCACTGCTAATTACGTTCTAAGCAGCAATGTGCAAATTATTTAATCTTTATGAGGTTTTCGTTTTTCTTCTGTTGAACAGAGCTAAAAATACCTACTCCCCGGTTGTAGGAAACATGGAATAAAATAGCAAATGTGATAAGTGCGTTCTGAACCATAAGCATGACAAACATTTTAGCCAATATTTTAATAAACATTTGAATGAATGGATCCCATGTGTGCTAATTTTTGTAAACTATTCAAAATTTTTGTCTGAGAGGCAGTTGAGAGAAAAGTGAAAATTACAAAAGGATTCTGGATATATATGTGCCAATTACACACCACTCATGATGGTTTTTTAAGCTCATGGGGTGTCTGAAGTCACTGAGATAATTTTCCTAAAAATAGAATGAAGCCCACCAGCTACAGTCAGAAATGCTATTGTGCTGCAGACTAACACTGACAGAGGCCCCCCCAAAAGTATGCTGTTGTGCCCTTTTTTTTTTTTTTTTTTGAGACGGAGTCTCGCTCTATGGCCCCGGCTGGAGTGCAGTGGCATGATCTCGGCTCACTGGAAGCTCCTCTGTCTCCCGAGTTCATGCCATTCTCCTGCCCCAGCCTCCCGAGTAGTGTTGTGCACTTTTATAGTATCCAAGAAGCAAAGCTTGAGAAGAAACAAGTGTTCACTCCTGAGATTTTAACAAAATGAGGCATTGGTTCATCAACCACTACAAATATACACTAGAACTTTTTAGGTGCTGAATTATAAAAATTACAACAGCACTTTGAATGGCAAACATACAGTTGGCTCTATATACCCATGAGTTCAGCAAATTCTATCAACTGCAGATCAAAAATATTTTTTAAAAATTCCAGAAAATGTAACGTTGTTGACATGTACTGTTTGATCTGTACTAAACATGTACAGACTTTTGTTCCTTGTAATTATTCCCTAACAATATAACAACTATTTACCTAGCATTTACACTGTATTAGGCATTGTAAATAACCTAGAGATGATTTAAAGTATACATAAGAATGTGTGTAGGTTACCTGCAAACACTGTGCCATTTTGTATGTGGGGCTTGAGCAGCCACTGAATTTGGTATCCACAGGGGGGCCTGGAACCAATCCCCCATGAGTACCAAGGGAGGACTGTAGATCATATTACCCAATTAATGAAAAGATAACCAACAAGTAAAACAATTTGCACTACCTAAAAGCACTAGGCATATTATTTTGTCAAAAGTTACTGAGGAGTGGATAATTAATTGACTGTATTGATTGATTGTATCCATGATTTTTATTTTACTATAGTAAATGAAAATACATTAGTTACTAGTTTCATGGAATATTCTCTACAACCAGGAAATCATCTCACTTAATATTTTCTTATATCTTCAAAGTCTTATGTTACAGAAAATACATTAAAATAAACAACTGAAATTGCTTATGACCTTCCTCTAAGGAAAACCATGGGAAACTGCAATTCAGAGGTTCCAGGAAGTGTTCTGAGAAAGGAAACAGCATACCTGCAAACATCAGCTCTGAAACGTCAGGTTTGACATGAAGACAGGTGAAAAGAGGTAAAGGGCATTGTGCAGTATTAACTTTTTCCTTCAAACTGCTCAGAGTAGTATTCATTCTCTGTCCACAGAAGAAAGAAAAAGATGACTTTAAATTTATAAACAGACACAGAAAGAATGCTATTCAAAATAGTACTTCCAATCAAAATCTTATAACTTTATAATAAAAATAAGTCTTATTACTTCTAGAAATTACTAGGTCCTGAATGAACAACAAAAAATAAGCTCTATGGAAGTAACTATCTTCATTTAAAAAATAATCATAACTCTAGATTATATGTCTACATCTGAACTGGAGAATGAATTAGCAACTGTGGAGCCTGGAAGAAACTTAGCCCCTGGACTCCCTGTCACAGGCGCTCCTCTGCTTTATCTTCAACGAAACATCAATGCAATCATGCATCAAGCGAGTCTGTTCTATGCGATCCCCTTCCTTTCTTGACTCTATTCAGGCAAACTTCATTCTTCCTCATCTAAAAATGTTACCATTCTTGGAGGGAATGGGCAGTTAAGGGTTAAAATGTGAATTTTTTTTTTTTTTTTTTTTTCCAGAGAAAAGGAATACAAAAGCACTTCCTCACACATTCAAAATCTTTACATCATTGAAATGAATTAGTAAGCACTAGTTTGAAAGGTAGAAGAATTATAATCTCTGGTGGGGAGAATGGGCTCAGTACGCATAGTTGGACAAATAAGTAGAGTCCACTGACTTTTATAAAATGTATTACATTTTCTTTTATTTAAAATATAATATTATAATATGTTCTGTCTACTTGTTATAAAAGCAGTGTAGATTGAACTGTAACTTACATTATGAATTAGTGTTTCTCCTATTAACATCCCAAAGATATCAGTAAAGGTGACAGGTTGTCCAGAGCTTTTCTTCTTCCATAAAGACTCAACATATCTTTTAACTTTCTGTGGTGTGAGAAGTAAAAGGGGATTGTGGCTAACATTTTTCATTAGTTCTTCATTAATCTCCTCTGGCCCTTTCTCTGGAAAATCAGGGTGAGAATACAAGGTTGACATATACCTATACAGAAAACAAAACACAATCAGTAAAGATAAAGAGCATTACACAACAGTCTCCAAAGAAAGAAGGCACACTCTGTAAATAAAGCATGGTGGACATATTTGGTTAACTTCATTATCTGATTGCAGATATTAAAACATTTAAGAAAAGAATGTGTCAATCAGACAGGAGCTAGTCTACCATGAAGGTAAAGAAAAAAAGAGGTGTCAGAGGAAACACTGAACTTTCATCCACAGTCCAAGAGAGAAGGTGCCCTACTAGGACTAGTGTCCATTGTCTGGTGTGCCAGGAATGGAGTATCTCTATCAGAGTATTAGAGATTGATGACAGAGCACATCTGAGTCATGTAAATGAATTGACTTGTCTGGCTCCAAGACTAGTCAAGCAATCTGATCATCTAAATTTCCAGGATGATTATCTACAGGTAGAAAATATGTTGTCCCAACTATTGTAAATTCCTAATTCCCTTGAAAAATCCTTTTTTCTCCTTAATTATCCATTGGCCAACTAGACAAAAATCTCAAATCTTGTCAACTGTAGGTCTCTAAATTTCTGAACATATGAATCTGAAGGCAAAATCCTAAAGAGAAATAAAGTCTTTAAAGTAAATGCTTTCTTACGAAGCCTCTTGTCTGCCAGCCATTTGGCCACTTCTGGTAAAACTGGAAATCACCATGAGCCTTGATATTTGATATCTAGATAATAAAAATTTAGTTATGGTGCTCCTACCTGTGAACCAATACCTCTAGTATGGTAGATCTCATGCTGACTATTAATTACTCGTTTACTTATCTGTTTCCCTCAAGAAATTGTGTCCTCCTCCTTCAGGAAATAAACTTTGTTTATTCATCTTTTTTAGCCTCAGTGACTAGCTAATGTCTGGCATATGACAAGCACAGCTTAGGAAACTCACAGAACAAAATAAAAATAGAATATGTAAACATTCCATCACTTCATCCAACCAAGGAGAAAATAGCACATGTTTTAATCTCTTATTTCCTTGGGATTCAAATCAAAATGTCTACTATAATGGTTATCGTCCCTTCGAGGGGAGAAAACTAATTCTTCTTAGGCCCCTACTATATTCTGGGCACTGTGTTGGTTAATTGTTCATAAGCTGTTGTCTTGAAGACTCACGGTGGCTTTCAAATATTCTATTTTAATTATCAAGAAAAAGAGCATTGGGAAATTTAAATAACATGCTCATATTCCCCAGTTTATAACAGCAGAACTGGAATTCAAAATTTATCCTCTCCCCAGTAGGCTATTTTTTTTTTAGTCTATTATACAAGACTTCAGTTGTTAGAGACCAAACTATTCCTATTTCACAATAAATTATAATTCCTTATTGGGTTTGAGTTCCTTGGAGACAAGCTGAGAATAATAATCAGTTAATAAATGGAGGGTAACAGACCCACAATGGATCACATGTGCAGAAAAAAAAAACTTTAAATGATTTTTGTACAACAAATTGAATTTGAAACAGTTCCCTCAACATGTGATAATGATAAATCAAATAGACTTGCTCAACTCAACTTAGTATAATCACGAAATATCTATAAAAATGCAGCTTTGAATACTTGAAAGATACACAGTTCATTTATTCCTATAGTTATTCCAAAGTCTACCATGTGATTCATCCAAATCAAAAAAGATATGATATTCTGGACCTTCTCATACTTTTAATAAATGCACAATGTACTCTCTGAAGATTGAAGTAATCTGGTGTTCTCTCTCTCTCTCTCTCTCTCTCTTTTCCCGTCTCATGAAGCAGTTGGCTTGGAAATACAAACCCTGGCGAGAAACAGAAAAACCTAGAATACTTCAACCATTGGCATTGGATTAATGGTCTCTGCTTGTTCAGCATTTATGACACATATTCCTTAGAATTCACAAGGAGAGTTGGATAATCTTTTCATGGTGTCCCTGCAGTTACATCTAACTGAGTGAGATTATCTCAAAAAATAAAAAAAAAAAAACATAAAAGTATCACCCCAGTTTTTAACTCTATAGTTAAGCCTTAATTTTCATCTCTTTACCAATAATGTTTCCCAATTATACCATCAAGTTTCAAAAAGAGAGTAGCTTAGACATAGCAGGGCCTCTATAAATTAGTTAATTAATGAGTGAAAGGGACTTAGGTTTATTTATATAAAAATCTGGAAATATTTGCCTCAAATTTTTCAACATATTTATATGATAAGACACCTCATTCTTTTTATCTATATGCATTTTAGATTTTGTGACATTTTAAATCTAAATCATGCCAGAGAGGAAGTGATGTTCAGTTCAATGCTTGTCTCCAAATCAAATGGTCAGTGTTTTAAAATATCAGTAGCTAACTACCAGGACTTGCTGAATCCAAACCTTCGGGGTAAACATTTAGGGTTAAACATTTAGAATTTTTGTGCTTAAAAAAGAGCAGAAGTGATTCTCATCTGCAACTAAGATTTGGAATGACTTGAGAAGACCCTCAACATCTGTTAAGGAAATATCTTGAAACCCTTTAAAAACCCCTAAATTAATTTTCCCATAAAACGCAGTCACTTAACACATCTCTTCATTCAGTGATTAAGCAACTATGACCTAAGGAAAGTCAGGCACTGTGCTAGGTAAGAGAGATTCATTAGGGAAGAAGACAAACTTAGCTGTTAAACAACAAATTTTCTCTAACACATATCTTGACCTTTGATCCTGTCACACCTTATGTGACAATTTCTGTTAATATTGTTTCTTTTTTCATTGTTCTAAGAATTTTTTGTACTGTTAAACTGAAAATTCTCACTCTCAAATTCTATTTTAGTTAGTTCAATAAATTGGACCACACTGTTTATAGATGCAGAGCTGTTCTGATTTCTTTTTAGATGGTAATACTGTACAAACTTGGCAGTCAACATCCAATAGCCCCTTACAATGCTATAAAAGAACAGCTGAGGAAGAAAGCTGTACTAATCCTGAGTAAAAGAACACAGGATTACTGTCCTGTTTTTTTAGTTCACTCATTTCGGGTCTCCAGGTTGGCTAATACTTATATTTAATGAATCACAACTATCATCCAAAATTAATTTCAGAAGTAATTACCATAAAGGTAGTAGCAGGTATAAGGGAAGCTTTGTCCTACCTAAAATTCTCTTTTGTGATCACAGAAAACTTTCTGGGAGGTCCAGGGCTTCTCCACATATTTCCGTATTACCTCACTTATACCAAATAATGGCCGTGTATCAGCAGAATATAAAAGGTTACACAACATAGAAGCGTAATGTGTTTTTCCAAGACTTTCCGAATTCCTTCCTTTGAACTTTTTACCTTCTCACCTGTACTTTTTAAGAGAGAACTGTGAACATGAATCATCCTGGCCACCTTTTCTTCTGGTAAGGGAGCATCTCTTCTTTCCCTGGTTAACACCTTCACCTGTGCTTTCAATCTTGTGTCCTGTCTCTGCAGGAGTCTTTTTCTATCTATTTTCTTTACCTTCTATCTTCTTTTTATCTTCTACTATCTTCTATTTCTTTATCTTCCATCTATGCCTCTACATTATTTCCTACATCTCAGACATCTAGAAAATGCTCAACTCTCTTAAATTCTGAAAAAAAAAAAAATAAAAACCCTTCCCTGGGCCCTATGTTCCCTTCAAACAATGACCGAGCTCCTTCCTTCCCTTTCCAAACAAAGTACTTGAAATAATAGATGGCTTTTATGAGGTTCATATGCCTATTTTTTGTACTCTCATGTTTTATTCACTTCTTATTTTTTACAATCTCATGTTTAAAAGTATCTTTTAATTACTTTTACTAGTGGTTCCTGCTAAAACCACTAACCAAACCCAGTCCTTTGCTAAGCTTTTCACAGATTTTCAACATTATTAAAACACCCACTCCTTCTTGAAGCATCCTTCCCTCTAGATACCATCTTTTACTTGATTCTCCTCTATGACAGCTTATTTGCAGTCTCCATTAGGGTTTTATTTTCTTTTTATCTATGAAGTTTTGGAGTGTTACAGGGTTCCATGAATTAAATTCTTGGTGGTAATAGCTAAAATGGCAGAAGTTGGTGGAATTACCTACGGAGGACATATGGATATAATGGACCAAAAGAGAAGCCATGAGGGAAAGCCCACATTAAGGAGAGAAATTGTGGAAGTGGTAGGGACAATATATGGAGGAGAGGCCAATCAGAGAGGATGAAATAAAACTGAAAAGGCATGATAGGAACAATTAGAAAGAAGCACAAATCAATGTGTGAAATGTCTCAATCTCCAATCCCTCCCTCCCCTACACCACATACACTGAGAAGTCAAGGAAAATAAGAACTTTGCAAATTAAGTGGTCTGTGAGTGAAAATTTATTACAAGGAGTGAGCAGCCTTTTAAGGAAATGAAATAAAAAGGTAAAAGCTGATCTTTATGGAAATAAGACTGTGA